>NC_000016.10:24547092-24850122 GCF_000001405.40 Homo sapiens
TAGAATTAGGTAGTATTGTTTGAAATTGGAACAAATTATTTTGAGTCAATGAAAAATTCTAGAATTTGCCAGTGCTAGGGAATGGAAAGTGTTCTTGAAATTAAGGTAAAAATAAAGTCATTTCTTGGAGCTTTACCTCATATGGGCAAGTATTCTAAGATTTTTCTCATTAGTTTGTTGTAAAGTTATATTCCATATCTTAACACTTAGAGGTCCTTTTGTGCAGTATCTTCCATATAATAGCTACTTTAAAAAGCTGAATACTTTCCTTGTTGTAATTGCCAAGTGAACTTTTAATGGTGTGTGTTCTTAACTTTAAATGATTCTAAGAATTATATATATATGTGTGTATATATATATATTGTTTTGTTTTGTTTTGTTTTTTCCTGAGATGGAGTCTCACTCTGTTGCCCAGCCTGGAGTGCAGTGGCACAATCTTGGCTCACTGTAGCCTCCGGGCTCAAGCGATTCTCCTGCCTCAGCCTCCCAAGTAGCCAGGATTATGGGTGCCCACCACCAAGCCTGGCCAATTTTTGGATTTTTAGTAGAGACTGGGTTTCACCATGTTGGCCCGGCTGGTTTCAAACTCCTGACCTCAGGTGATCCACCCAACTTGGCCTCCCAAAGTACTGAGATTACAGGCGTGAGCCACCGCACCCAGCCTAAGAATTATAAATTTATGGGGAGAATTAATTCCTACAATCCAGTGTGAAATTTTACTTTAATTTACCAAGTGCTTTTTAAAAAATGGCAAATGTATTTTCTGTAGATTTTTTGATAGAAACTCTTAAGAATTATTTGAAGTACATGGCAAAATAAGTTGCCTCTTACACAGAATTATATGTTAATGTACAATATATAGGGTTCTGTTTGTAATAAATTTGCCTCATAAAATGCATCTCAGTTTTTTTTTGAGCAAATACTAGAAAATCAAAGCTCAGTTTTTTTTTTATCTCAAATTCCAAATTATACACACACCTAGAAACTCCTGTTAGATGCTAACATTTCTCTATAGTCAAGATACCTTAAACTTTAAGCATTAAAAGGCTATAATCTAGCAACTCAACTTCTTCCCCTTTCCTGTGTGGATTAAAATAATTTCTTTTGGGGTTTATGTCTTTTAAACATCAAATTGTCCAGTTCTACACAGCCATTTAAGTCAGTTCTTTTAACTAAAATACTCTGATTATATTGTGTTTTTCTGGGAGTGAGAATTTTTGTTCAGTTTTTTTTTTTTTTCTGTTTTTAAGAGATGGGGTCACTATGTTACAGCCCAGGTTAGTCTCAAACTCCTGGGCTCAAGTGATCCTCTCACCTTGGCCTCTTGTTCAATCCTTGATTGTTGTTTTGAGACATTTGAAAAATGAAAATAGCTATCAGCCTGGCCCTCCAGATTTGAAAATTAGTTTTGGGAGCACAGCAATTTCTCAGGGATTCAAATTACAAATGTTAACAACAGCAGTCTTCCTGATGTGTGAAAATTTACGCATTCAGAAACTGGGAAATTATATAATTTAAAATTTTCAGTTTATTAAGAATAAACTACGTTTCTAAACATAAAATCCCTATACTACCTTTCAGAAAACATTTGTTTTAAGTGGCAGGGTACACCTATTTTTGAATTCCCTAGTATGGAATTTTTTTCCAAACCACAAATCTATCTTAAAACTGCTCAAAGGTGGTAAAGATTAATCAGAGTAATTTATTCATTCAGAAATTGGCTGTTAAATATTTATACCAAAGGAAAATTAGGTTCCTAAAAATGTATTATTGAAGATAATGTGTTAAAATTTATTAGCACAAAAATTCATAAATAGCTAATGTTAATTTTTGTTTTTATTTTGTGTTTTAGAAGTCGAACTGAACCAGCGATGGCAACTACAAAAGCAGTATGTAAAAACACAATCTCACACTTTTTCTACACATTGCTTTTACCTTTATAATGTAGCAGTGAAGTAAATCATTTTAGAACTTAATATCCAACTGATCATAGTACATATTGTAAATAAAATGTATTTTGATGACAGCTCAGTTGAATATGGATAATATGTGGCATCACTTGCACACTTATTTTGTAGAAATGGGTAATTTGTGCCCGTAACACTGTTTCATATTAAATATGATAGCATTATCCCTGTATGACACTGTGTTGTACAGTTAATGTATGATCCTTTTTAGATCGTTTAGGTTTTACACTAAGGAACATGATGACATGTTCTACATTTGTCTGTCTATAGTTAGTATTTTGTATGTATGTACAGGCTGTTGTGTGCTTTTTGTTTCTTGCAATAAAAAATGTTTGGAGTGTATATTTTGCCATTTTCACGTTGTATCACTTAGTTTTTGTTAGTTTTTTTTTTCCTGCCTGATTTATGGCTTCCAAAAACGCATTAGCAACATGCAAAGCTTATATTAAAGTTTGATGCTTTCTCCAAGTTCAAACACATCATAGAAAAGAGCTTTCCAGAGACCATTGATGCAGCTTTATTATTTAGTCTTGCTTTATTTGGCATTTTGAGCTCCTTCTTTTGTTTACATCTGTACTATAAAGTGAAACCTGAACCTGGGGCCCCCTATGAATATATAAGTGTCTTAGTGATTTTGAGTTTATATAAACTGATTATATTGTTTTCAAAGTTTAATGAGATCTTCCACTTCTATCTAGTTAGTGCAGATGTCCAAATTAAAATATTTCCCTCTTATACTAAAATGCTGCGTTAATTTTAGGCCATTGAAAGCTGTACCTTATCAGAGGTAACTCCCCTTAACCAGGATAACTGGTTTGAAGAAAGTTAAGCTTAATTTTTGTAATCACAGATTAACTTAATTTGTGATACCATTTTAACTTTGAGCTCTTAAGTAAAAAGTAGCAGCATTCCTAAGTTGTGGGGTGAAGCATCTGTTTCATAACACAGGTCTATCATAATTGGGTTCTGTAAATGTAATGGTTCTCTAAACATTTTAATGCCCAGGCTTGATATTGTACACAATGCAAGATGTCTAAAATCTTCATTTAGAATTCAAGGGTATTGCTTGCTATTTCACATTATATACTTTTTAAATACTATTGCTCTTTGTATATGAGGCATTTCACTAACCTTGGATCATTGGATCTTAAACATGATAATATAGAATATCTGAACATTGGACTTGTTCTTTAGAGTATATGGCCTTTAGTTCTTGTGGAACTAAATACAGTGATTCTAAGATCAAAAGTCTTAGTGTTTGGGGTTTTTTTTTCCTCTTTTTGGATATGGGGTGTTTTTTTTTGTTTTTTTGTTTTTTTTTTTTAAGCATAATGCTGTAAAAACTGTCCAAGCTTATGTTTTGCTGGTGATTGGTTTAAAACTGATTTTTATGTATCCAAATGCTAGCATAAATTAGATTGACTATCCTGGTGACTGTAGTAGTTAATGTAACACATTTTGTATAAAGTACAGTTTATATAGTATTTAAACTAATTCAGATGAAGTTTTATTTCTTGAAAACAGTTATTTCCTTTTTGTTTATTAGCATGTGTATAAACACAAATCACATGTTCATAAATAAAGTTAACATTCTTTTAGCCTTGTGTGTTCCGGCATGTCTGTATTACATTTATAAGAAGCAGTTTATTTAAGCTTATTTAGGTTTCTCTTTTCTTTTCTTTTTTTTTTAATACTTTAAAATTGGCTTTAATTTTTAGGTAGAATTATCTGAAATAGAGATATTAGATAACCTTGTTGTCCCCATCATTTATTTGCTTGGGGTACATTTGCTGGCATTTAAGATGAGAATATATTCATCAAGCATAATTAGTGCCCATCTTAGGAGATTTAGAGTCACGTGGATTGTACACATTCACAAAAGCAAAGTAAATAGAGGCGCTAAGCCAAATTTTTCTTATCCTGATTAGTAAAGTAAATGTATAGTTTTGGTAATGGAAGCGAACTCTAATCAAGAATGGATGGCTGTTTCCATATTCCCCAGTCTTGTTTTTAGTCATCCATCCATGTTGATACCCCAAAGCTGGATGTTCTTCTTGCTAACTAAATATCAGAGTGGTATTTTATAGGATTCTTTAACTTCAAAAAGCTAATATAATTGGCATAAAAGATTTTAGATCCTTGCTTCCCAAAACAAGACCCCTAATTAGGTACAGGGAGGTGGGTTAATTTTAATGTCTACGGTCTGCATCAGTCCGTTTTGTGAGGACTTTAAGTGGCAGACTTTTTTTTACCATTAGTATCTTACCAAGAGTCACTATTTTTATTGATGTTTAGTAATACAAATTCCTAATCATTTTTAAACCATTCTTTGTCAACATTTTTTGCTCATTTCTGAACACCTTGCTATATGTAGGAAACATTTGTTTGCTTTTCTAAATTTGAGGTAAATTTGACTTCTTTGTGGACTATAAGATATTTAGGGGCAATAGTGATTACTTGGTGGTAAAAAGGTGATTTAGGTGCAGTTGCATATCTAAAACCACTTCAAAGTCAATAAATACATAATACTAATAAGTTAGCAGAAAGCTTAAAAGCACACAAAAGCCCAGCATAAAAACAAAAAGGATACTATATCTTAAGTGTTAGGAGTGGGAAGATTTTTTTTTTATTCTTAAGTTTTTTAGTTCCAGTGGTAAGAAAGTTAATATAATTGTTTTCTTTCCAAGGAAATCATCAGTATTTATATTCTATTCTAGATAGTAATGGGCTATTTTTAAAGACTATTTGTTTTATTGGTTAGAATGTAGTATAGATGATGGTTGACAGCAATTTGTCTAGTCCTTGTTACTTAAAATCAAGTAACTTCTGGTTGGTATAAAATCTTTAAAATAGATTGAGTAGGTCAGAACTTATTTTAGATAAAAAGAGATATGTATTATTTAGAGGTTTTTTTCTACTTACCACTTGAGATTAGTTCTTAAAGGAAAAAAATACTTAAAAGCTGGACAAAAATGATAACCCATTGGCAAATTATGTAGATATGCATTAAGTTATAGGGTTAGTGCATCATGAACTCTTTTATAGTCAGTTCCTTAATGTGGAGCAAAGAACCTTTTGTCTGAATAAACATCCCAGTAATATCCATCAAATTAACTTTTAAAACCCTAAGATATTTGTGAGATGTGTCTTATATTTAGCCAACATTATTTTTTATTTACATTTATTGAATCCCTACTGTGTGGGCATTGGCTAAGAACTTCATATTGAGACTGGTTACATTTGTCTTTGGGGCTCTTAAGTCATGTTGCTTTTATTTTAAAACTTTTGGTTCTCTGGAACAGAATACCTGATGAAGACTTTTTTCTTTGATCCAGACATCTTGTTACATTCTCCATTTTAAATGAAGAGTTCTGACCTTACGACATGTTAACTAAGCAACCCACTTACTACGTAGGAAGCTGTAGGGAAATCATATCTTCAAGATTGTTTGCTAAAGATTTTTTTAAAAACTGATATTAAAATCATTTCAGAGGATCAAATGAAAAAAATTAGTGTTCAATTTAAAATACATTTTTATTTTTATTTTATTTTGAAAGAGAAATGTTTTATTCCTCTTTGCACAGAACAGTTTATGAAGGTGGCTCTCTCCTGACTCCATACATCTTTTACACAAAGATGCCTCTTCAAATATGCCCAGTTATCTCCCCCTCTTCAGTGTTAGAGAATTGGCAGTTAGTGAGTGGGGCAGAATGCTTAAGGCTCATTAAAATACCTTTTTTAAAGCCCTCTTATATCCTTTATGTACACTTGCTCTGTGTGATTAAATTAACTTTCTTCAAATATTAGAGTCCATCATAATAAGTGACAGCTCTGTTGGCCTTCTCCTCAGGGTGCCATTGTTTTCCCTTTTTTTGACTTAACATCTTTGCCCTGAGAAAGCTGTGGTTTCTTTGACAAGAAGCTATTACTCTTTGTATGAGAGAATAAACAAACTTACTCAGACTGAAGAGTATGTTTTCAAAAATTAAAGAAGTAGCAATTATATGGGAGCTGTTATTTATTAAAGCAATTATCTGAGCCCTTAAAGGGCTGTTTGTTTTTACAATGTTGTATAATGGCCTTGCAGGAAAATTAGATTTCTTATTCTCTCTTCCAGTGTACATTGTCTTGAGTATTGTCACATTTAGAGACCATAGGGAGATATGGGACTCCTAGTATTCAGTCGACACTCTGAACAGATTTTCTGTGTGATACATTTTTTCATTTTAATTGAGTCCCCTCTTCCTCCCCTCCAACTGATAGCTTTTTATAACTGTGTGAAATATCTAGAGAAGAATGAAGTAGGCTGAGCTACATTTTCAAGCTTAACATTCTTTAGAAAACTAAGAAAATGCCCAATATTTCAACATTAAGGTGTCAATAGGGGCTAAATGATCACTTTAAGATGTTTTCAGTTTGGAACTTGAATGTGTGTTTAATTTTTTGTGAACAGATTGATGACTCTTCCGCGTCTATTTCTCTGGCCCAGCTTACAAAGGTATATATATATATATATTCTTGAAAATATAAGTTTTTTTCTAACATCATATTTTTTTATGTGGAACGGTTTTTTAAGAGGGGTTGGGGGAGGACATATTTTGCAAAAGCATTGTACATATTATTACTATCCTGTAAAGAGTAGTTGCTGTTTTGAGAAGATAGGGGAATACTTTGTCAGCCTCAGCGTATTGGAGTATTGTTCATCTTCAAGACAGAAGAAACACTTGAAGCTACACTTAATTATTTTTTTTCCCTCATACATTTTGTTTAATTATACATTGGAAACTAACAAGGTTCTGGAGGAATTTCCTGGTTTTGGCTATAAATTATGTGGACCTTTTTTAAGCAGCCAAAACAGAAGATTTCCTTTACACGGACGATTGCATGGTTATTTCTTGAATATTTGACTTGATCCCATGAAGGTCAATATTTTAAATGTGATGCAGTTGTTTCTTTATGCTATAGACTTGTAGTCTGTCTGCATTAGGAAAAGTTTTGAACAACCTAATTTGTTTGAACACAGACTACATGAATTGTGTAAGTGTGTAAAGCTGTTTGCAGGAATATACCAATGTGTATGTTTGGCAGAGGGGCAAATTGTTACCTCCTGAATCACTGTATATGCCATGTTTTGCGATAAGATTGCTTGCATTTTCTGCTCAACAATGTGTATCTTCTGTTTGGGAAAGCACTAGTGATGGATTACTTTTTAAAGCAATACATTTAGCTTGCAAATTGTGCCTTTAAAAAAAAAAATAGGCAGACTTTTGAGGGCCAAGAAGGAAGCTGTCCAGTTTTCCAAAAATCCTTTTTCCCTGCTATCAGAAATGTGAAACCAAATTTAGCAACCAAGATTAATGAAAAGATGGGTTTTCCATTAGTGCTGTCCCTATCTTGTTCTTGGCTTTGTTATGTCCTTTCCCCTAGACTGTATCCCGACAAAATGTCCTAGTAACAAATTGCTTTTTAAGCTCCTGTTCTGGGAAAACTAAGCATTAAAATTGATTATTCTAAAACATAAAGTGGACTAAAGCCATCCTATTTTATAATTTTCTAATGCAAAGTGGTTTAGTATAGAGTTAACACTTAGAAGTTTATAGTTTACTGTTTTTATTCTTATGTACTGTAAGGACCATATTTGAGTTTTTGGTCTATTCCTACCATTGTTTCTTTGTGGGGAGGAGTTGGGGCGGTTTGGGGGATTGGTTTTTTTTTTTTGTTTTTTTAAACTACAGGTATTTGTAAAACAATGTTTGGGTTCAAACAAATTAGTTGTTAAACATCTGTAATCCAGTTTTCTGTAAATGTTGCTGTTGTTCTAAGCTCTGTTAATGTTAAGCATTCTTTGTATATAAAATTACAATAAAATGTTAAAACTGGTTGCTTGTTTTGTGGATGAATGTAAAGACAAACCCCAATGAATGGCTGATATGAGTGCTAAATGCCTGAAGATTCAACTTAACTAGAAATCACTCCCTTAGACCCTGCTTACATCTAGACCTTGTATATCATACCTCAAAGATGAAATTCATAAAACTTATCTGAAGAGTTTAATTTAAAATTATAATGCTCAATGCACATCTTTTGCACTTGAGTTGAAACTAACATCACTACCTAAAGAGCCTTCTACTTCTAATATCTGCTGCATAATACGTTCAGTCATTCTACCCCCATCCCTACCTCCACATTGTAAGTATAAATTAGTCTTAATGCTCTGACACTTGAATTATTTTTAAAACATCAAGTGTTTCTATTCTAACTTAATATCAGTCTTTAACTTGTAGAAAAGTAGTATGCAAGTCTTAATGTAAGGTACAAACAGGGTCTAAGGTTTGAGTGCCCCCAGAATGACTTTCTTCAGCCTTGCAGACACCTAAACATCATGTAATTACCTAAGGAATTCCCAAGTGCCTCTTCCAGGTTATACGTGTAAATAGCTGTTTTTATGCAAGATTAGTTAGATACTGCTCTTTACAGGATGAGTGGTGTTGTCTTTGGCTGTGTGGTCTTAAATGTGTTTCTAATGTGTGTGTCAAATAATTACCTGTTAAACAGACTGCCAATCTGGCTGAAGCCAATGCTTCTGAAGAAGATAAAATTAAAGCAATGATGTCGCAATCTGGCCATGAATACGACCCAATCAAGTAAGTTCATAAATATTTTATACTAATAGGAACTTTTGGGGTGGGTTTTCCCCCCCAATCAAAAGCACTATTTTTTCAAAGTCCTCGTATACATGTAATTTTTTTTCCCCCTTTTAGTTACATGAAGAAACCTCTAGGTCCACCACCTCCATCTTACACGTGTTTCCGTTGTGGTAAACCTGGACATTATATTAAGAATTGCCCAACAAATGGGGTAAGTTCAAAGCAGAAACTATGGTATATCTTACTTTTTTTCCTTTGGAATTGTTCCTTAGCTATCTTATTTTTCTTGGTTAATACTGCCTTCTGTAGACAATGGCAAATGAGCATGGTCTCTGGAGCCAAATTTGCCAGGCTTCAAATCTTGGTTCTGGCACTTGGCTGAGTTTGGGCAAGTTACTTGATCTCTATAAGCCTGTTTTTTCTTCTCTAAAATGGAGATAAAATAGTACGTACTTCACATAGCAGTTACAAGGATTAAATGAGATCACATATGTAAAGCACTACAAGTAATATAGTAAGCACTGTATAACATTAGCTAATTTATTAAATAAAGATAACTGCTTTTTCTCTTCCTCCTCCTCTTCCTTTTTCCTCTGAATAGGATAAAAACTTTGAATCTGGTCCTAGGATTAAAAAGAGCACTGGAATTCCCAGAAGTTTCATGATGGAAGTGAAAGATCCTAATATGAAAGGTGCAATGCTTACCAACACTGGAAAATATGCAATACCAACTATAGATGCGTAAGTATGCAAATTAGGTATGACCTGTGGAGACTCCAGTCAGTCCCAGGGTATAGTGTTTTAATCTTGGGCTTGTAACTTTGCTACTTGGATTCCTTGAGAACTTTGTATACCAAAGCCATTAGTCTCTACATCTTGCATTTCTGTGAGGCTGCAGTCTGCTCCATTTAAAGCAAATTTAAAATGGATTTGGGGATTTTTTGTTACCAGTGAGTGCCACTTCCCTTGTAGTCTTCTAATTTTTTCTTTTTCTGTCATTCCCTGCTTTCTTCCTCATTCACATACATACTCCCACATAATCTTATTATATATGCTACTTGCATTTTTAAGTGAACAAAACAGATTGTAATCATTTTGAGAAACAGGAGGCTTAAGAATAAAAGCTCTGCATGATGTTGAGGCAAATTTAAGTGTCAGGCATAAATGAAATACTGAAGTAGCTTGAATAAGTTTGGATATGCCATGTGAGTCTTAAGATTCTCAAGTAAGGTTTATTTTATAAACCACTAGTTCAGATCAACTATAGCTCTATAAAACACCTTAATGCCTTTTTTTTTTTTTTTTTTTTTGAGACCAAGTCTCGCTCTGTCCCTTAGGCTGAAGTGCAGTGGCACAATCTCGGCTAACTGCAAGCTCCACCTCCCAGGTTCACACCATTTTCCTGCCTCAGCCTCCTGAGTAGCTGGGACTACAGGCGCCCGCCACCACGCCCGGCTAATTTTTTGTATTTTTTTAGTAGAGACGGAGTTTCACCGTGTTAGCCTGACCTTGTGCTCCACCCGCCTCGGCCTCTCAAAGTGCTGGGATTACAGGCATGAGCCACCACGTCTGGCCCTTAATGCCCATTTTTAATGTGTATTCAGATTTTATATTATGAACCAGTTTTTAATGAAATGGACAGACATGAAAATTCAGTGGCAGGGTTCAACTAGATAACCTCCCATTTTATCTGCTTTTATTAATGTAGTCAGTTACTTTTTTGATTACCTTCAACAGTTGTGATCTCACATACTATACAGCATAATATTAAGTGTTCTTTGGACTGCTGTTCTCTAACTTTGTTGAGCATAAGAATTTCCTACAAAAGTATGTTAAAAGGCTGGCCAGGTAGAGGGACCTTGGGCAAAAAAAAAAAAGATCCTGGTTGCTCCGCCCCCAATTTTGATTTAGAAGTTATGTGATAAGACCCTGATTCTACATTTTTAACAGGTTGTCCAAGAGATTGTGAAGTTAGGGGATCCTCAGGGCATCAATTTACAGAATTAGGTGTTCATGTTCTCAGTGAAAAAATACATACATATATAAGAACAGTTCCTCAGCTTCATGCTATAAATATTGTTGAAGTGTAGTGTAGTGAGCAGGTGGGGATGATGATGAAAATAGCTATGCCATAGAATGATATTGAAAAGATCTTGTGTTTTTGAATATGTACTTCAGCAAATAGTGTTTTCGTTCACAGATAAGAATGTTTTCCTAAACTCCCAACCCTGCTCACTTCCTCAACTTCACCCCCATCTATTTTTTATCAGTCACCATCCTGTGTTTTTGTGGTTCATCATTGAACAGTCTGTTGTTATGCTGTTTCTAATTCAGAGACATTTCATAGATGTTTCCAAATAACTTTAGCTTGAAATTGATTATTTTTACAGACACAATTAAGAGCAGACCGCTTCATCTATATTATGTAAAATTTTTAAGTAAAAATTTGTGTTGGAAAAATTAGTATCACCTGTAAACCCTAACTAATAATTAACTTCATTGCTTTTGAATGCTGAAATACAAATGCCCAATTGTGCCAGACACACAGCAAATACTGGGGAAAGATGGGAATCTAAATATTTTAAATGAAACTTTCACCCTCTTCACTAACACCACTGATAAGCAACTCAGACTCTTCTTCTGTTTCTTTTTCTATCCTCTGTTCTCCTCTTTTTTTCTTTTTTTTTTTTTTCTTTTTTCTCTCTTTTGGGCAGTGGGAGACTCCTCTTTCACAAATTGGGAACAATGGGGCATAAGCAAATTGATACTTATTTCTGGAATCGTGGTGATGTCTATGGAGCAACTGCAACACAAATAACACACCTAAGGTACCCTACTCTGTACAGCCGAGATTCTTTCATTTTCAGCATTGAGATAAACACACTCTGTTCCTGAATGAAATAGAAAGGGTTTCTCTAGGGATTCCTGTGTTTTGCAAATTTGCCTGATTACAGAGAAGATGGGGGTGTAGAAGCAGTGGTGACAAGTCTGAGAATAGCTATTTTTATTTTTTAATACTATATTTAATGCCCAACATTTCTGCAAAATGCATTTCTACAAAAAACTGGACCTAGAATGTCTAATGAGGTGTTACTTTACATTTTTGTAACACCGATTTTGATCATTTAAGTCACTAATGCTTCTTAATTGACTATAAATTGATTAACCTCTCTTAAAATACTAATAAGTAGATCATGGGTTTTGGTATCTCATTTTATTAATTATTTGTGTGGTAATGACATAATATTTCCCTTGAACTATCTTTCCTTAATTGTATAATGTCAGTACTAATTTTAATTTCCCGTCTTGTGGCATTTACTCCAATACCTTCACAGGTTTGAGAGACTTTTGGGTTATGGAGAAGGGGAGATTTTTTGGGATTTTTAATTTTAATTTTCATTTTTATTTTTTTCAAGAAACTTGATAGAGTAGGAAAAATTGTGATTATGGTGTTGTCTAAATTCAAGTCTTGTCTTTGTCACTTAAATAGAACTTTATGGCACAGAACATTTCGCTTTATTTCTGGCCCTCAGTTCTTAAGAGTGACGGGTTCTAAGATCCTTTTATTGTTTTTGTAGCATTTCTTTGCTTCTTTTTGTTATGCTTGTTTAGACTTTTGTGTCTTTGTTTAGGGTTAGGTTGTACATAATTACTCCCTTATTTTAGAAGATATGGTGCTTGTCTAAACTAATTTGGCATTGCGCTGAATTATGTGTTCCCATTATGTTATAGTAGAACATGTAGCATGAGTACTCTGCCTTCTTAACAATGGTAAAACATGAAAACTTTCTTTTACAGAGAAGCATATGCAATTGGGAAGAAAGAGAAACCTCCCTTCTTACCAGAGGAGCCATCTTCTTCCTCAGAAGAAGATGATCCTATCCCAGATGAATTGTTGTGTCTCATCTGCAAGGATATTATGACTGATGCTGTTGTGATTCCCTGCTGTGGAAACAGTTACTGTGATGAATGTAAGAAGTGCTGAATCTTGGAAGATGTATATTTTAGAATATTTGTATTTACTTGGAATGGCTCTTCCCAACCTCATATGTTTTAATAATAAAATAAATAATGTTGATGACAAGTGTTGATCAATGAGCATTAAGTAGTGAGAAGTCTGTTTTTCTTGCTGTATCTTTTTTAAACAATAACCTGTTTGTCCTTTTAAATTCTAGAATTGACTTCTGTACCTTCATCAGGGTGACTATACTGAGGTGTTTTTCTTAATATAGACTTTTTGTTTCCTGTATGTTTTAAGTGGTATCCAGAATTTTAAAACTTTTTTGGGCCTTAGATAATTCTGGAAATATTTTTAAGTGGTATCTAAATCTTTTTCCTGGATTGTGAATAGCTTATCCTAATATTTCTAAGTGTATTAACACCTGATTCCTGTAGACAGTTTTTGTTTTTTTTTTTTTTTTTTGAGACAGAGTCTCACTGTCTCCCAGGCTGGAGTGCAGTGGTGTAATCTCGGCTCACTGCATCCTCTGCCTTCTGGCTTCACACAATTCTGCCTCAGCCTCCCAAGTAGCTGGGACTGCAGGTGCCCGCCACCACACCCGGCTAATGTTTTGTATTTTTAGTAGAGACGGGGTTTCACTGTGTTAGCCAGGATGGTCTCGATCTCCTGACCTCGTGATCCGCCCACCTCGGCCTCCCCAAGTGCTGGGATTACAGGCGTGAGCCACCGCGCCCGACATCTGTAGACATATTTATTACCCAGCATTTACCATGCAGTTGTGACTTTTTAAATCACTTATATTAGCACTTAGTTGTTTCCTGCCACTTATCCTAAGTTTGTGCCTTCTTACACAGAAGAAATCAGTGTTACCTGAAAATTTGCTCAAGCCTGCTCTGGCCTTTTTCATTTTTAAAGGTAGTTTTGAAATATACAGTCCTCATACACATGGTTCTGCATCTGCAGATTCAAAACCACAGATCATAAATATTTGGGGGCAAGAAAACAGTAAAAAATAATAGTAAAGACTAATACAGATTTTAAAATAAGAGTATAACAACTATTTACATAGCATTTATATTGCAGCAGGTATTACAAGCAATCTAGAGATTATTTAAAGTATACTGGAGGATGTACATAGTATTATATGCAAATACTATGCCTTTGGGGCAGTTGAGTGACTTGAGCATCTACAGACGTTATCTTCAGAGGGTTCTGGAACCCATCCCCTTTGGATACCTGTAAATCTTTATTTTTTGACCTCTTCAGTGAAGACCAAGGTCAAGAAGAGGTTGCTAAAGACTTGTTTCAGATTATATCTTAGATTTAACATACCACTTGGTATTACTGGAGTTTTACTACATTGAAGCTTAATCTTCGTATCTGTAATTTAGTGTTGCTCCCACGTACTGTGCTGTAGGTCTCTCATTTCCTTGCCTGAATAAAAACCCCAAGTTAGCCATGTAAAATTTTTGTCTTTCTAGACTATCTTATATTTCTCTTTTGTTTTCTACAATATTCCAGTTACTAGCTAAACAAAGAATAGTCTTTGAGAAAGAGTGCTTTTGCTCTCAATTCAGACATTTGTTTAAAAAAAAAAAAAGATGGGGTGGGGGATCCTTGCTATTTTGCCCCAGGCTAGCCTTGAACTTCTAGGCTCAAGTGATTCTCCTGTCCCAGCCTCCCCAGGAGTGGGGATTACAGGCACATGCCAGCACACCCAGCTGTGACTTCTTTTTAGCGTAGCATAGGTCATATAGAAAAGAGCAGAGGAGTACTGTAAGATGAGAGATTTTACTTAAGTTTCTTAATCTAAGAAATGATTAGCACGACATGCTTGGAAAACAGTAATGTAACTGAACAAATGTGGACCATCCTTTTAATTCATTTCGTAAACACTTTGAGTTCCTACTATGCTTTTATTAATATTTGAAATCTTATACATAGGTATAAGAACAGCACTCCTGGAATCAGATGAGCACACATGTCCGACGTGTCATCAAAATGATGTTTCTCCTGATGCTTTAATTGCCAATAAATTTTTACGACAGGTAACTGTCTGTATCCATTTTATGAAAAAATTCTTTTTAACTGATTTAACTGTACTTCAGTGAATACTGCATAACATTTTTCTGCATTATTATGCTTGGTATCTGTAGGCTGTAAATAACTTCAAAAATGAAACTGGCTATACAAAAAGACTACGAAAACAGTTACCTCCTCCACCACCCCCAATACCACCTCCGAGACCACTGATTCAGAGGAACCTACAACCTCTGATGAGATCTCCGATATCAAGACAACAAGATCCTCTTATGATTCCAGTGACATCTTCATCAACTCACCCAGCTCCGTCTATATCTTCATTAACTTCTAATCAGTCTTCCTTGGCCCCTCCTGTGTCTGGAAATCCGTCTTCTGCTCCAGCTCCTGTACCTGATATAACTGCAACAGTATCCATATCAGTTCATTCAGAAAAATCAGATGGACCTTTTCGGTAAGCCTGTGTGTTTTTCACTGTTAGAAACCAAATGAGGTCAATGATGTAGTGTTTTGTTGTTGGTTATCACTTTTAACAGCTTTCTTAGTGGACCACTGTGCTCAGTAATGTGGGATGACTTGTAAGAAGTGACTTAGTCTTATTGGGGGAAGAGGAAAACAAACGTGATTGATTTGGCAAATGAGGATTAAGCATCCTGAGGTCAAATACTACACAGGTTGCCAACCAGCCCCTATTAAACGTTGAATGTTCCATATACCATAACAGCTCTGAACTTAACAGAGGTGGGAGAATTCACTTGTGATCATAATGATAGTTTTGGATAGGAGTAGTTTTGAGTAGAACTAAGAACAGTTTAGATAGGTAGAGAAGAGGGGGTAAAAACACAGGTAAGTAGAGAAGTCAGGAATAGTGATTGTTTTGGAGCATAATTATTATGTAGGAGAATAGTGAAAACTCACAGCCTACCACTTCAGAAATGAGACTTTTGTCCATGTAGTTTAATGTCTCATAAATTCTTTAAAAAAAAAAAAAAAAGGTGTAAGAGGCCCATTTCAGACACACTGAAGCAAAATCTTTAGGATGAGACCTTTACATTTACATTTAAGAAATTCCACTGATCTGGTGGAATTTATTTGGTTGATAGTGGAAATAGGCCCAGAGAGTTCTATGGCTGACCCAAGATTATCCTTTCAGTTTAGTGGTAGAACTAGAGCTAAAACTTAACTCTTAATCCTAGGGGGATTTTTGTCTTCATAGGCCAGACTTTGATTTTAAGTTTTACTATTCTTGCAACTGATTTCTGTCATAACTGTAGTATCTTCTTAAGGAGGTCCTTCATTTTACTTTTCCACTTACTACATATAGAGAACTCTTCAAAGTTTCAGCCTTCTCTCACTTTCCTCAGAAGTATTCATCATCTTTGACTTAACTCATCTTAACTGCAGGTGATGGGTAAACAGCAGCAAACTTTTTTACTCTTAATTGTCCATTTCTGATAATTTTTAATGTATTATAATTTATGTTTTTTAAAGGGATTCTGATAATAAAATATTGCCAGCTGCAGCTCTTGCATCAGAGCACTCAAAGGGAACCTCCTCAATTGCAATTACCGCTCTTATGGAAGAGAAGGTAAATTTTACTGGTGCTTTAATTTGGGATTTTTTTTACAGCAGGGTTTTGTTTTTCTGGCTTTGTTCTTACCTCTTTTTTTTTTTTTTTTTTAACTATTTCTGTTTATTTGTGGTTGTTTCTAAAGGGTTACCAGGTGCCTGTTCTTGGAACCCCATCTTTGCTTGGACAGTCATTATTGCATGGACAGTTGATCCCCACAACTGGTGAGTAAGATCACTTTGGTTTAGACCTTTTTCCCTTTAAAAAATAATTTTAGCTTGATTTAATGTGCAATTTTGTATTTACCTACTGCTTTTATTTTTTGTTTCTAGGTCCAGTAAGAATAAATACTGCTCGTCCAGGTGGTGGTCGACCAGGCTGGGAACAGTGAGTAGATGTTTACAATAATCTTCAGATGATTGCCTGCAAACTAGATAATGGAAGGTCCAAACTAGGCAAACTAGATAATGGAAGGTCCAAACTAGGCAGCGGGTCGCTGCTCTTTATTGTAAACTTTCATGTGCCAGATTAACATTTTTTATGTAAAATGTCAAAATTCAAGCTTATATGAGGGTTTTTTTTAAATGAGCAAATCTTTTCTAAAATACAAAATTTTAAAAGTTTTTTTCTACTTTCATATCCAACAAATGGGGATCTTGACAGGACTTCAGTTTAATGAATAGATAAGAATTACTTGAAAAGTTATTTTAAATATGGTGGCAGTTATTTTCCTAGTAGGTTTAACTTTTTCTACCCTTAATTTGGATGATCAAAGTTTGATTTGAGTACATAAATACATAATAAGATTAACGTCTACCAAACAAAAATTTTTTGTCTGAAATCGAGTTGTTCTTGCCACCCTAAAATACAAAGAACTTTGATTTTCTCTGTGGGATATTTTATGGCATTAAAAATCAGCAGACTTACTTAATGTATTTTTAGTTATATAATTATTTCTGTTTATATAATCCGATTGAAAATTGATATATTCTTAAAAGTATGAGTTACTAGCAGGATGTATCAGTAGAAGGAACATAGGATTTAGAAACAGGTAGACTTGGGTTTGAATCCCATCTCCTTCATTTCCTAGCTGCATGACAGTGGTCTTGTGGTTTTACTCCCTAACATCCATTTCCTCGTTTGGATTTGGAATGACACTACCTACCTTAACATGTAAAATGACTTCATTGTGCCCAGCAGACAAAAGGGCTCTTTTCCTTGTATATAACAATAAGTTCACAGAGTAATTTATAGAGTGCTAATTAAAATATAATATTACATAAAGTAATCTATTTTGAGGTCTAGTTATTGTTATGATACAGTTAATTGGTGGGGGAAAGTTAGTTTTAAGTAAATATAATATTTACTCAGCTCTGTATCCGAAACAAATTTAAGAACTGGGGAGTAGGAAAAAGTTTTCAGAGTAGTTAAAATTGGTGTCTTAACAGCTATGCATGGAAAGGTCATGTATTATACCCATGGAGAAATACTTGAGCCTATTTTTTTTTCTCCCACACAGTTCCAACAAACTTGGCTATCTGGTTTCTCCACCACAACAAATTAGAAGAGGGGAGAGGAGCTGCTACAGGTAGGCATGCTAAAAATCTTGGAAAATAATCATCTTATTTTTTATATATATATCTCACCAAAGAAATTAAAGCACAGCAGTGGCAGGAAGGAAGGGGGTCATTTGTTTGTATTGTGCTTATCCCTCTTAAGTCCTGGGTAGTTGTCCTTAAAGAGGGCTAGAAAAGAATAAATTATATATAGTATCTTAAATGATGGTTTTTAAGACATTTTTAATATTCCTTCCCAGTGATTACTTTCTCCCTGTCAGCAAACAGCAGAGTATTGGCTTGCATTTACCCTCTTGGAAGTAGAAGAAAGTCAGGGGTCAGACAATATCTAAGATACCAGTTTAATTTAAGATTAAAGTTAACAAGCTCAGCTCCCAACTGTGAACAAGAATTGCAACTATTTCTCTTCTAGACCCCACTGTCCCAATCATCTCCCACCGTCTCTTTTCCAAAAGAAGAGACAGGAGATTGTTAGAGGCTCCTGCCCTAGTGGGCGGGTACAAGCAATATTAATCTAAGAAGTAAGAATCTTACTGTCTAGGTCAGGGGTCCCCAACCCTGGGCCACAGACCAGTATCCATCCTTGGCCTGTTAGGAACTGGGCAACACAGCAGGAGGTGAACAGCAGCTGAGCGAGCATTACCACCTGAGCTCCACCTCTTGTCAGATCAGCAGTGGCATTAAGATTCTCATAGGAGCATGAACCCTGTTGTGAACTGCGTGTGCAAAGGATCTGGGTTGCACGCTTCTTAGGAGAATCTAATGCCTGATCATCTAAGGTGGAACAGTTTTTACCCCCCTGCCCCCGTCCATGGAAAAATTGTCTTCCACAAAACAGCTCCCTGGTGCCAAAACGGTTGAGAACTGCTAGTCTAGGTCATAATCACCACCAGGATAAAGGAGCCTCCAAAACTTCATAACAAGAGTTTTGGCCAGGCATAATGGCTCATGCTGGTAATTTTAGAGCTTTGGGAGGCTGATGGGGGAGGATTGCTTGAGGCCTGAAGTTCAAGATTAGCCTGGGCAACATAGCAAGACTCTGTCTCTACCAAAAAAATAAAATAACCAGACATGGTGGCATGCACCTGTGGTCCCAGCTACCTGGGAGGCTGAGGCAGGAGGATCACTTGAGCTTAGGAAGTCAAGGCTGCAGTGAGCTATAACCACATCACTGCACTTTAGCCTAGGGGACAGAGTGAGACCCTGTCTCCAAAAAGAAGGAAATTCGGGATATCTTCTAGTGCTTCATTGCTAAACTTATGAAAGTTTACTATGTCATTACTGGATCACATTTTAAAAGAAGGTAATAGTTATTCATGGCTCACTGAAAAGATGCTTAAAATCTAAACCCCTACTGTTGCTGTTGTGTACCAATTATTTATAATTTAAAGCACCTCTAGTTTAACAGAAGTAACCAGTTCTGTTTGGTGAGGCACAAATTAGAAACTTAGCCAACACTGTTATTTTTACTTAAGCTTTTGAGAGAAAGCGTTGATATTTTCATTGTTAATTATAGAAGTTAAAACTAGAATTTATTCTGCTTTGTATGATCTTTACCCACTTCCTCCCTCAAAAAAGAGGTTACAGGAGTTGGTTTTCCTTCATTTAAACTTTTGGGGCCAGGTGTGGTGGCTCTCACCTGTAACCCCAGCACTTTGTGCAGATCACCTGAGGTCAGGAGTTTGAGAACAGCCTGCCCAACATGGTGAAACCCTGTCTCTCCTAAAAATACAAAAATTAGCTGGGCATGGTGGCACACGTCTCTAGTCCCAGCTACTTGGGAAGCTGAGGCAGGAGAATTCGCTTGAACCCAGGAGGTGGAGGTTGCAGTGAGCCAAGATTACACCACTGTAGTCCAGCCTGGACGACAGAGTGAGACTCTGTCTCAAAAAATAAAAAATAAATGAATAAGTAAGCTTTTGGGGAGAGCTAGGTCATAGCAGCATTAACCTGTCAGTGCCTTCAAAAGACAGTTTAGGAAGTAACAGGTAGTAATTAGTGGAGTGATAATCAGTCTGAACTTCATAAAAGAGAACTTTTAAATACAATATTTCCGTGTAGAGAAGGTCCTATAAACTTGCATCATCTCAGTCGAGACATGGCCTTAAAAATTATGTTGTAGAGTTATTTTTACAAATAAATTGTACTAATGTTGCTACACTAGTTGAATAGTTGGTTCTATTCCACTGTTTTTAAGTTTGAAAATAATTATGGATAGAAGAGATAAGCTTACTTGTCTCAGATGACTTTAGTTTGAAGAAGTAATATCTTGGAATTTATTTTTCCAGAAGTATAAACCGTGGGCGACACCACAGCGAAAGATCACAGAGGACTCAAGGCCCGTCACTACCAGCAACTCCAGTCTTTGTACCTGTTCCACCACCTCCTTTGTATCCGCCTCCTCCCCATACACTTCCTCTCCCTCCGGGTGTTCCTCCTCCACAGTTTTCTCCTCAGTTTCCTCCTGGCCAGCCACCACCCGCTGGGTATAGTGTCCCTCCTCCAGGGTTTCCTCCAGCTCCTGCCAATTTATCAACACCTTGGGTATCATCAGGAGTGCAGACAGCTCATTCAAATACCATCCCAACAACACAAGCACCACCTTTGTCCAGGGAAGAATTCTATAGAGAGCAGCGACGACTAAAAGAAGAGTATGTATTCTAATTTGAAATTATTATACACTTTTTTCATTTTCTGATAATAACATTAAATAGGTGTCTGGAAACGTTTTCCAGTGTTTCCAGTTAGTATGAGAAATTCACCTAAAATTTAAACCAAAGCCATACAAGCAACTTCTCAGGGATTCCTAGTTTATAGTTTTAAAGTGGAAAACTAATGGCAATTTCATTCATTTCATTCATGATCTAATTACATTTGTCTTGTTAGTTTTCTTAAATGGTTTTTGTTAACTTTCACTCTTTAACTTTATTTTACTAGGGAAAAGAAAAAGTCCAAGCTAGATGAGTTTACAAATGATTTTGCTAAGGAATTGATGGAATACAAAAAGATTCAAAAGGAGCGTAGGCGCTCATTTTCCAGGTTAGTGTTTTGCAAGCCTTCACAACAGAATTACAAACGGGACTTTGAATATCCAGGGATTAGCTATGGATATAAAGAACATTGCACTTAGGAATTTTTCTGATTCGGTCTAGGTGTATAGAAGTGAAGATGTAGCTTATTTCCCAATATCTGTTCATTGAAATAATGTCTCAGTGTAAATTTTATTGTGTAGAACTAACAGTTGTGGGGATTAAATTGCCCTTGTCCCTTAAAGTTATTCATAGTATCAAATAATTGGGAAATGTTTTTGGAAGGAAAGAAATAGGGGAATAGCCAAAAAACAGTTCCCAGGACCCTTTTACCATAAGGCTACAGCTTCTTGCTGGAACATTAACCTGCGTAATTATGAAGTAGTAGTAGAATACAGATCGCTTTATTGATAGAAAAAGTGAATTATAAAAATTCCCTGGAAGTTTGTTTAAAAGACTTTATTTTTTAGCCTTACACTTGAAATGTGGTTTCTTTTAAAACTAGGCTGTTGGCCAGTATAGGACAAAAAACAGACTCCTACTTCAATATTCAGATAGGAAGTGAAATTTAAAATTAATTGACATTTTGTTTAATGTTAGTTAGCTCATATAACTCACGGTACATTAATGCACTTCACTCTAATTGTTAAGACTTCACTTTTGTTTTGTAACAAGTGATTGCTCCGATTTGTGTACTTTATTCCATTCCAGTAGAGGTCACTGTGCCTCTTTAATCATCTAAGATGAAATTTGATATAAAGATAGATGAAACCGTGAGGAAAGAATGCTAGAATCTGAGAGTCTGTGTTTTATTTTGTATGTATTTCTCAACTATCAACTATTGTTTTGTTTTGTTTTTAGGTCTAAATCTCCCTATAGTGGTTCTTCGTATTCAAGAAGTTCATATACTTATTCTAAATCAAGATCTGGTTCAACACGTTCACGCTCTTATTCTCGATCATTCAGCCGCTCACATTCTCGTTCCTATTCACGGTCACCTCCATACCCCAGAAGAGGCAGAGGCAAGAGCCGCAATTACCGTTCACGGTCTAGATCTCATGGATATCATCGATCTAGGTCAAGGTCACCCCCTTACAGACGCTATCATTCACGATCAAGATCTCCTCAAGCGTTTAGGGGACAGTCTCCTAATAAACGTAATGTACCTCAAGGGGAAACAGAACGTGAATATTTTAATAGATACAGAGAAGTTCCACCACCATATGACATGAAAGCATATTATGGGAGAAGTGTTGACTTTAGAGACCCATTTGAAAAAGAACGCTACCGAGAATGGGAGAGAAAATATAGAGAGTGGTATGAAAAATATTATAAAGGTTATGCTGCTGGAGCACAGCCTAGACCCTCAGCAAATAGAGAGAACTTTTCTCCAGAGAGATTTTTGCCACTTAACATCAGGAATTCTCCCTTCACAAGAGGCCGCAGAGAAGACTATGTTGGTGGGCAAAGTCATAGAAGTCGAAACATAGGTAGCAACTATCCAGAAAAGCTTTCAGCAAGAGATGGTCACAATCAGAAGGATAATACAAAGTCAAAAGAGAAGGAGAGTGAAAACGCTCCAGGAGATGGTAAAGGAAATAAGCATAAGAAACACAGAAAAAGAAGAAAAGGGGAGGAAAGTGAGGGTTTTCTGAACCCAGAGTTATTAGAGACTTCTAGGAAATCAAGAGAACCTACAGGTGTTGAAGAAAATAAAACAGACTCATTGTTTGTTCTCCCAAGTAGAGATGATGCCACACCTGTTAGAGATGAACCAATGGATGCAGAATCAATCACTTTTAAATCAGTGTCTGAAAAAGACAAGAGAGAAAGGGATAAACCAAAAGCAAAGGGTGATAAAACCAAACGGAAGAATGATGGATCTGCTGTGTCCAAAAAAGAAAATATTGTAAAACCTGCTAAAGGACCCCAAGAAAAAGTAGATGGAGAACGTGAGAGATCTCCTCGATCTGAACCTCCAATTAAAAAAGCCAAAGAGGAGACTCCGAAGACTGACAATACTAAATCATCATCTTCCTCTCAGAAGGATGAAAAAATCACTGGAACCCCCAGAAAAGCTCACTCTAAATCAGCAAAAGAACACCAAGAAACAAAACCAGTCAAAGAGGAAAAAGTGAAGAAGGACTATTCCAAAGATGTCAAATCAGAAAAGCTAACAACTAAGGAAGAAAAGGCCAAGAAGCCTAATGAGAAAAACAAACCACTTGATAATAAGGGAGAAAAAAGAAAAAGAAAAACTGAAGAAAAAGGCGTAGATAAAGATTTTGAGTCTTCTTCAATGAAAATCTCGAAACTAGAAGTGACTGAAATAGTGAAACCATCACCAAAGCGCAAAATGGAACCTGATACTGAAAAAATGGATAGGACCCCTGAAAAGGACAAAATTTCTTTAAGTGCGCCAGCCAAAAAAATCAAACTCAACAGAGAAACTGGGAAGAAAATTGGAAGTACAGAAAATATATCAAACACAAAAGAACCCTCTGAAAAATTGGAGTCAACATCTAGCAAAGTTAAACAAGAAAAAGTCAAAGGAAAGGTCAGACGAAAAGTGACTGGAACTGAAGGATCCAGCTCAACTCTGGTGGATTACACCAGGTAGCTGAGTGTAGGGGGTGGGTGTGGAACTTTGTTGGGAGAAGGATTTTCTTCAGTTTTATCCATGCTTGTGCTTTTTATATTAATTATGAATGCTGATCTAGGGAAGTAGGCTGGTTTTATGTAGTCTTTTGTTGTCTTTGAAGAAGGGAATTGCCAAAGACAAGGTTGTAAATAGATTTTGGGGGTGAGCCACATTTGTGTTGATACAATCATAATCTTAAATTGTGTGTCTTCCTTAGGGCAGAATAAGTTTTTTGTTTTTTTTAATGTTAAAAGGACATTTGTGTTTAAGTTAGCATTTTTATATTTATCAGTGTTTTATAATTAATAGTAAATTCTTCATTAATTAAAAATATTTTGTTATTCTTTTTAGTACGAGCTCAACTGGAGGCAGTCCTGTGCGGAAATCTGAAGAAAAAACAGATACAAAGCGAACTGTGATTAAAACGATGGAAGAATATAATAATGACAATACCGCGCCAGCTGAAGATGTTATCATTATGATTCAGGTTCCTCAATCCAAATGGGATAAAGATGACTTTGAATCTGAAGAAGAAGATGTTAAATCCACACAGCCTATATCAAGTGTAGGAAAACCTGCTAGTGTTATAAAAAATGTTAGTACAAAGCCATCAAATATAGTCAAGTATCCTGAGAAAGAAAGTGAGCCATCCGAGAAAATTCAGAAATTCACCAAGGACGTGAGCCATGAAATCATACAACATGAGGTTAAAAGTTCAAAAAACTCTGCATCTAGTGAAAAAGGGAAAACCAAAGATCGAGATTATTCAGTGTTGGAAAAGGAGAACCCTGAAAAGAGGAAGAACAGCACTCAGCCAGAGAAAGAGAGTAATTTGGACCGTCTGAATGAACAAGGAAATTTTAAAAGTCTGTCTCAATCTTCCAAAGAGGCTAGAACGTCAGATAAACATGATTCCACTCGTGCTTCCTCAAATAAAGACTTCACTCCCAATAGAGACAAAAAAACTGACTATGACACCAGAGAGTATTCAAGTTCCAAACGTAGAGATGAAAAGAATGAATTAACAAGACGAAAAGACTCTCCTTCTCGGAATAAAGATTCTGCATCTGGACAGAAAAATAAACCAAGGGAAGAGAGAGATTTGCCTAAAAAAGGAACAGGAGATTCCAAAAAAAGTAATTCTAGTCCCTCAAGAGACAGAAAACCTCATGATCACAAAGCCACTTATGATACTAAACGGCCAAATGAAGAGACAAAATCTGTAGATAAAAATCCTTGTAAGGATCGTGAGAAGCATGTATTAGAAGCAAGGAACAATAAAGAGTCAAGTGGCAATAAACTACTTTATATACTTAACCCACCAGAGACACAGGTTGAAAAAGAGCAAATTACTGGGCAAATTGACAAGAGTACTGTCAAGCCTAAACCCCAGTTAAGTCATTCCTCTAGACTTTCCTCTGACTTAACTAGAGAAACTGATGAAGCTGCTTTTGAACCAGACTATAATGAAAGTGACAGTGAAAGTAATGTTTCTGTAAAAGAAGAGGAATCTTCAGGAAACATTTCTAAGGACCTGAAAGATAAAATAGTGGAGAAAGCAAAAGAGAGCCTGGACACAGCAGCAGTTGTCCAGGTGGGCATAAGCAGGAATCAGAGCCACAGCAGCCCCAGCGTCAGCCCCAGCAGAAGCCACAGTCCTTCTGGAAGCCAGACCCGAAGCCACAGTAGCAGTGCCAGCTCAGCAGAAAGTCAGGACAGCAAGAAGAAGAAGAAAAAGAAGGAAAAGAAAAAACACAAGAAACATAAAAAGCATAAGAAGCATAAGAAACATGCAGGCACTGAAGTGGAATTGGAAAAAAGCCAAAAACACAAACACAAGAAAAAGAAGTCAAAGAAGAACAAAGATAAAGAGAAGGAGAAGGAGAAAGATGACCAAAAAGTGAAATCTGTCACTGTGTAAAAAGACAGATTTTTTAAATTGACTTAATTACTAAGTCATCTGTATTAAATTTTGTTATAATGTAAAGAGATTCAAGCCTTGTAAATAATGACATGGAAGACCCTGTGCTGCACTTAAAATATTGCTGCTTGATTATTTGATTTTTACATCAGAGCTTTATAACACGAACTTTTGTACAGAATTGTGAGTTGTGACCATGTAACATGAGAGGTTTTGCTAGGGCCTATTATTTTTAACCACCATTAATTAGTTGGGGTGGAGTTTACTGTAATGTGAAATTTTCACATTTGAATTTTTTAATTGCCTGGCAAAAGCTGATATAAGTTCTAAAATATCAGCAGAATGATTTGCTGAATTCATTACAACCCTGTTATGTCACTTTTTGATTACAATAAAAGTTTTCAGTAAACTTTTCAAATGTTGAGTATTTGCATTATTTACAGAAAGTAGTGCCATATCTGTATACTTAACCCACCAGATGCAGGTTGTATGTGTGTCTCCATTTTCCTATTTTAAAATTCTTAGTTTTTAATACAAGCTGAACTGAATATACAGAATTCTAAATTAAACATGGAAGATACATTTCATAGGTGGGCAGGTGGTAGAGGCCAGAAATGAATCAGGATTAATTGGAGATGTGGTTAAATAAATCTAGGAGAGTCTTGAATTACATAGAAATTCGAAGTTTGAACTTTCAAAATGGTTTGGATTTGAATATTAGAGATGCAGAATTGTGACTCGTTTATGGCCACGTATTTTTCTGGAAACCCTGATAAATAAGTATTAAATTCCTTGATAAAGGAGAATGCAGCTAAACCAGTGAGTGCTTGTGGCCTACCCAATCTGCCCAGTTGACAAGCAAGCGGTCATTACTTACGATGAGTTTCCTTTATTGCTGTGGTTCGGGAAGTGTACCTGGGGACAGTGAAAAGGTACTGAAAGGATGTGGGGAATGAGGGAGAGTAGGAATGGCACTTTAGAAACATAGTGGTATAAGTAGGGATTGAGATAATCTTTTTTTTTCTTATTTGAGATGGAGTCTCACTTTTTTTTTTTTTTTTTAATTGATGATTCTTGGGTGTTTCTCGCAGAGGGGGATTTGGCAGGATCGTAGGACAATAGTGGAGGGAAGGTCAGCAGATAAACAAGTGAACAAAGGTCTCTGGTTTTCCTAGGCAGAGGACCCTGCGGCCTTCCGCAGTGTTTGTGTCCCTGGGTACTTGAGATTAGGGAGTGGTGATGACTCTTAACGAGCATGCTGCCTTCAAGCATCTGTTTAACAAAGCACATCTTGCTCCGCCCTTAATCCATTTAACCCTGAGTGGACACAGCACATGTTTCAGAGAGCACAGGGTTGGGGGCAAGGTCATAGATCAACAGCATCCCAAGGCAGAAGAATCTTAGTACAGAACAAAATGGAGTCTCCTATGTCTACTTCTTTCTACACAGACACAGCAACAATCTGATTTCTCTATCTTTTCCCCACATTTCCCCCTTTTCTATTCCACAAAACCGCCGTCATCATCATGGCCCATTCTCAAGGAGCTGTTGGGTACACCTCCCAGACGGGGTGGCGGCCGGGCGGAGGGGCTCCTCACTTCCCAGAAGGGGCGGCCGGGCAGAGGCACCCCCCCACCTCCCGGACGGGGCGGCTGGCCGGGCGGGGGCTGCCCCCCACCTCCCTCCCGGATGGGGCGGCTGCCGGGCGGAGACGCTCCTCACTTCCCAGACGGGGTGGCTGCCGGGCAGAGGGGCTCCTCACTTCTCAGACGGGGCGGCTGCCGGGCGGAGGGGCTCCTCACTTCTCAGACGGGGCGGCTGCCGGGCGGAGGGGCTCCTCACTTCTCAGACGGGGCGGCTGCCGGGCGGAGAGGGGCTCCTCACTTCTCAGACGGGGCGGCTGCCGGGCGGAGGGGCTCCTCACTTCTCAGACGGGGCGGCTGCCGGGCGGAGGGGCTCCTCACTTCTCAGATGGGGCGGCTGCCGGGCGGAGGGGCTTCTCACTTCTCAGATGGGGCGGCTGCCGGGCGGAGGGGCTCCTCACTTCTCAGACGGGGCGGCTGCCGGGCGGAGGGGCTCCTCACTTCTCAGATGGGGCGGCTGCCGGGCGGAGGGGCTTCTCACTTCTCAGATGGGGCGGCTGCCGGGCGGAGGGGCTCCTCACTTCTCAGACGGGGCAGCCGGGCAGAGACGCTCCTCACCTCCCAGACGGGGTCACGGCCGGGCAGAGGCGCTTCTCACATCCCAGACGGGGCGGCAGAGCAGAGGCGGTCCCCACATCTCAGACGATGGGCCACTGGGCAGAGACGCTCGTCACTTCCTAGACGGGATGGCGGCCGGGCAGAGACGCTCCTCACCTCCCAGACGGGGTCACGGCTGGGCAGAGGCGCTCCTCAAATCCCAGATGGGGCGGCGGAGCAGAGGCACTCCCCACATCTCAGACGATGGGCCACCGGGCAGAGACGCTCGTCACTTCCTAGACGGGATGGCGGCCGGGCAGAGACGCTCCTCACCTCCCAGACGGGGTCACGGCCGGGCAGAGGCGCTCCTCACATCCCAGATGGGGCGGCGGAGCAGAGGCACTCCCCACATCTCAGACGATGGGCCACCGGGCAGAGACGCTCGTCACTTCCTAGACGGGATGGCGGCCGGAAAGAGACGCTCCTCACCTCCCAGACGGGGTTGCAGCTGGGCAGAGGCGCTCCTCACATCCCAGACGGGGCGGCGGGGCAGAGGCGCTCCCCACATCTCAGACGATGGGTGGCCAGGCAGAGACGCTCCTCACTTCCTAGACAGGATGGCGGCCGGGAAGAGGCGCTCCTCACTTCCCAGACTGGGCAGCTGGACAGAGGGGCTCCTCACATCCCAGAGGATGGGTGGCCAGGCAGAGACGCTCCTCACTTCCCAGACAGGGTGGCGGCCGGGCACAGGCTGCAATCTCGGCACTTTGGGAGGCCAAGGCAGGCGGCTGGGAGGTGGAGGTTGTAGCTAGCTGAGATCACACCACTGCACTCCAGCCTGGGCAACATTGAGCACTGAGTGAACGAGACTCCGTCTGCAATCCCGGCACCTCGGGAGGCCGAGGCGGGCAGATCACTCACGGTTAGGAGCTGGAGACCAGCCCGGCCAACACAGCGAAACCCCGTCTCCACCAAAAAAATACGAAAACCAGTCAGGCGTGGTGGTGTGCGCCTGCAATCGCAGGCACTCGGCAGGCTGAGGCGGGAGAATCAGGCAGGGAGGTTGCAGTGAGCCGAGATGGCAGCAGTACAGTCCAGCTTTGGCTCGGCATCAGAGGGAGACCGTGGAAAGAGAGGGAGAGGGAGGAGGGAGAGAGGGAGGAGAGGGAGGAGAGGGAGAGGGAGGAGGGGGAGGGAGGAGGGGGAGAGGGAGGAGAGGGAGAGGGAGGGGGAGGGAGGAGGGGGAGAGGGAGGAGAGGGAGAGGGAGGAGAGGGAGGAGGGGGAGAGGGAGGAGAGGGAGAGGGAGGAGGGGAGAGGGGGGAGAGGGAGAGGGAGAGAGAGGGAGAGGGAGAGCCGGAGTCTCACTCTTACCCAGGCAGGAGTGCAGTGGCATGATCTCGGCTCACTGCAACCTCTGCCTCCTGGGTTCAAGTGGATTCTCCTGCCTCCGCATCCCAAATAGCTGGGGTTACAGGTGCCGGCCACCACACCCAGCTAGTTTTTGTATTTTCAGTAGAGACAGGGTTTCACCATGTTGGCCAGGCTCATCTTGAACTCCTGACCTCGGGTGATCTGCCTGCCTCGGCCTCCCAAAGTGCTGGCATTATAGGTGTGAGTCACTGCGCCAGCCAGTCATCGATTTTAAGTGGTATACAGACATACTTTTTTTAAATGTGTTTTTTAAGTGCAATACTTACTAAGTGATTTTAAAATTTTAGAATGTTATATTTCTATAGGTGACAGGCAAGTACTGTAAAGATCATGAAAGCTGTTCAGAACTGAATTAGGGAAATGCTGCCTCTGAATCAAATTAACTTTCTTCTGAAGGGCCCTCCTTTCGTTGTGATGCTTAGATTACATTTGTTTATTCCCAGACACCCCTGTTGCACGGGATGGGATGTCTGGCCTAACCATTCCAACTCTACCCCACCCCACACACAACACACACTGCCATTTTGACTTTAAAATAATCCAGCTAGATTTACTGTTAATTCTTGCTAATCTGGACCAAAAATCTGGATTAGATCTCTCACGTTCATAGGATCTGGCACCCAGAACTTTTTTTATCATACATTCCATCATCCGAGGTCAGTTTCATTACCTAAGCTCGTTGTTCCTTAAGCTAAACTGACCTTTTCTTTAAGTGCAGTCCACTCCTATGATAATTTTCTAGTTACTCAGCACCTGTGGCAATTCCTCTCTTGGAGAAACACTGGAGTTAAGCTCTAATGTTTCATCCACGACTTGGTCTTCCAGCTCCATCCTTTGTTGGTCTTATTTGGGGCTGAAGTTTCAACTCATCCCCCAGTCTCTCTTCTTTCTACTCTTTCCCTTCACTAGTATCCTATGCCCTGTTGTTTCAGCCACACGCTAACATGCCCATAACCTGCTGCTCCTTACTCACCTTGCTGCACCCAAACAGCTAACCTTCAAACCCGGATTAAGGTGCTGAACACTGCTTAACAAAACTAGTCTTTGAAGACAATTTAAGAAGTAACTTATTTGCAAGGCACTGTGCCAGGTGCTTGGACTTCATTTAATCCTTAAAAATTCCAGTTGTACTTGATGTCTTGTGTTAAGCAGGAAAGTCCACTGCCAGTGAAGGCTCAGTCCAGCCTTGGATATTCAAGCCAGCTCCTAACTAATCCAACTCGCCCCTACTATGTGGAAGAGTAAGCCAGCAAGTAAGACTCCACCTCTTGCAGATCCCCAAAAAACCATGTCATGTCTCCCTATCTTTTGCACTCAGCTGTTTCATCTGGCTGGAATTTCCTTCCTCCTTTGCCTGCTTCATAATTTCCTGCTCATTGTTCAAGAGTTAGGTTGCTGTTACCAGGCGCGGTGGCTCACGCCTGTAATCCCAGCGCTTTGGGAGGCCGAGGCGGGCGGATCATGAGGTCAGGAGATCGAGACCATCCTGGCTAACACGAAGAAACCCCGTCTCTACTAAAAATACAAAAATTAGCCGGGTGTGGTGGTGGGCGCCTGTAGTCCCAGCTACTCGGGAGGCAGGAGAATGGCATGAACCAGGGAGGCAGAGCTTGCAGTGAGCTGAGATCGCGCCACTGCACTCCAGCCTGGGTGACAGAGCGAGACTCCGTCTCAAAAAAAAAAAAAGTTGCTGTTTTGGAATTATTCCCTCACAGTGCCCGCCCGCCCCCATACGTGCCTGAGGTGCGGTAGCATCCCTGGATATGCTGTAGTAACACCTTCCAAATTGTTTTCTGTGGGCTGTGTTTGGTTATCTCACTCACTGGACTGAGCATGACTTCCACAAAAAGTCTAGTTTATATTCCGGAAGCCAAACCATGCCTTGCACATAGTAACAAATGTTTGAAATAATGAAATTACCTTGTTTTAAACTTTGAGATTGTGTTTTGCCAAGCAAGTTAATTCTTACCCACACACTGGCCTAAAGAAATATGTGTAGAAGCTAGTAATAAGAGCAGACTTCACAGACAACCGGTGACATGTCCGTTTCTCAAGGGAGGGATTAATTTTTGGCCTACTGCAGGTTTGAAAAGTAGTATCCTTCAAGGACCTAGGTGTTTCTGTGTGCCAAGAATACTCCAGAGTGTTAAAATCAGGAGCTTAAAAATCACTCCTTTGCTAGTGTCAGCATGGCAAATGAAGGGAGCGAAACCTGCTCCAAAATATTTAAGCCAGGATTTCAGAGGAGCAAAAAGCTACTTAATAAACGTAATAGTTTATTCATCCCAGTCTGCGCAAGTGTCTCCGTGTACTTGTCCACTTTCCCTGTCTTTCAGCGCCTTTAATGAATGCTGTTCTTACTGTATAAAGCTAGACATAGAACAAAACCTCTGATTTGAAACATGTCCTTTCTGAGAGTTTTTATACCACTGCTCATTTACTTTAGCTTCAGCAGTTGTCTTATTTTTAACTAGAAAAAAGCCTCCTATATATAGTATGTATATATATACGTATGTATATGCGTGTATATATAAAATATAGAGAGCGAGCGTGTACCCTGCATTTTCTTTATGTCATAAACACATCCTTTGACATTAAATTTTTCCACAAACATTTTTAATTTTGAGAATTGGAATGGTCAGGAAAGAATAGACTTAAGGTCACCTACTTAAATCCTGGAGAAAGTGTACCATGAAGCTGCTGTATGTGAATAACTTCAGCATACGGATCTGAAAGAAATAGGATTAATAGGAACATTCAAAGACTTCAGGCAAATTCTTTCAGTATGGATCTAAAGTATAAACAGCTTATCAAGGCTCCTCTTTGATAAAAGCCTTTGAGATTATTTTTAGGATCATGTTAAAAGGACTTTTTAAAAATAACTATTGCTAATTCCTTTATGCACTTTACCTTTTATTAAATTTAATGAAGGGTGAACAGTGATCTCATATTAAAGCCAACACCAGCGTGAATCTTGCTTTTCCACTTTGCTTGAAATGTGGCTCTTTTGTAATTTACTATGAAGTTGGTTTGGCCAGTGTGAATGTTTTCAATTTAGGTTTCTATTTTTAAAGTCTCTGTGGTAAGATTTTCATATGAGAATGGACATACATTTAGAATTTAAAATCTTCTTTGGTAGAAACAACTGGAACCTTAATAATTTTTGGCGGGGTTGGGGGGGTTGTTTTTTTTTTTTGTTTAGAAACAGAGTCTCTCTCTCTCTCTGTTGCCCAGGCTGGAGTGCAGTGGCACAATCATAGCTCACTGCTTCCCCAACCTCCTGGACTCAAGCAATCTTCCCACCTCAGCCTTATGAGTAGCTGAAACTACAGGTGTGTGCCACCACACCTGGCTAATTAAAAATAATTTTTTTTTTTTTTTGTAGAGATAGGTCTTGCTGTGTTGCCCAGGCTGGTCTCAAACTCTTGGCCTCAAGAAATCCTCCTGCCTGGGCCTCCCAAAGTGCTGGGGTTACAGGGATAAGCCACCACACCTGGCCCATTAACAAAATTTTGATAATTGTTAAAATATGTTTTTACCTAGCTTAATGATATATAAAGCTGGTAGACTGATTTCTTTTTGTATCCTAAAAACTAAAACCAATAAACACAAATATGAAAAATGAAGCCAGGGAAAACTGTATTAGTGCTAGAAACTCAGGAAAAGACAGAAGGGGCAGACATAGCTAAAAATATGGCATTTCTGCCATAGCACCACATCTTAAAAGTTTTTTGTTGTTAATGGAGAGAAGGCGAAATAAAGACAACTGACAGTTCTCTCCTTGAGAAGGCAGATGGCCTCTTGGAAAGCTTGAATAGAAGATCTTGGGTATTAGGAACACACCATCATCTGAAGAAACAGGGATGGGCCATGGAGCAAATGAAGTTAATTTCCTTTGAAGTCACTTTGAATATGATGAAAATTGCACAAAGGAAACCTGAAGCGTAGGCTACCATGTTGACGGGGATGGAAGAAGATTCTGTCCAGAGACAGATTTGTTATAGCTGGTCTTGTTGCCAGGAAGGAGGCCGGATCACGCAGCCCTCATTCCCCTGGCTATTATGGGGGCTGAAGGGGGAAAATATGCAATTTTCAAAACATTATGGCACTGGTGCCAGAAGAGGCAGACAAGTCAGTGGAATTGAATACAACACCATAAATTGGCCCAAATATAATACACAACAGTTTGAGCATAAGTAAATGTGAAAAAGGATAGGTTTTTCAATAAGCTTTGAGTGAACTGGTTAACCACTTGGAGAAAAAAAAATCACATCTTAAAATTCTAGACTAAATATTGTTTATCCAAAATTTTATATATTTAGGATTTAAAATATTCTTTTGTATAAATTTTGGTACCAAAATAAAATGTTGATAATTGTGTGTTTTGACCTATCATATTACATTCCTGGATTATATTCTTCCCATCTTCTAGGATGACCATTTTTTGATAGGTTAAGAGTTTATTATTTCAACTGGCCAGTCAACTGGAAGCCCAGGAGCTTCCCCGATATTTTTGATAATGGTTATATGAGATCTGGTTTATCCTGATTTGCTCCTTTTTAATTTTCTGATGTCTCTTGTGCTGATTTTTCTCTTCAGAGCTTCTCATTATGGTACAGTCTCAATCTTTATACATTTTGTGACATTTCTGCCTATTTTCTGAGAACACATCACATCCTCTCATCTTCCTGTGCACACCATCGTCCCTTCTTTTCTGTTCTACTTCATAGTTTCTTCATCTCTGAAACTGAAATTAGCCATTATTTTTCTGAACCAAGGATGAATTATGCCATTAGAGGGCAGAAGAAGCTGCTTGTTCTTTAAACTAGCAACTGTTTCCCCCTCTGCAATTTTTTAAAATTACAATCTCAATTATTACACAAATAAACATCTGAAAATTTTAAATGCCACTAGCAGCCGGGTGCGGTGGCTCATGCCTGTAATCCTAGCACTTTGAGAGGCTGAGGCGGGTGGATCACTTGAGGCCAGGAGTTCAAGACGAGCCTGGCCAACATGGTGAAACCCCATCTCTACTAAAAATACAAAAAAAAAAAAAAAAAAAAAATTAGATGGGCATGGTGGTGCACACCTGTAATCTCAGCTACTAGGGAGGCTGAGAATCACTCCAACCCCGGAGCTGGAGATTGCGGTGAGCCACTGCACTCCAGCTTGGGTGACATAGTGCGACCCTGTCAAAAAAAAAAAAAAAGCCACTAACAATAAAACAGAAATGCCAACAAAACAAAATTCTGGTGCCTTCAGGCATTTAGAGTTACCTTTAAGTCCAAAACCAGTGTGATTCTCCATCTTCCCCCTCCCCCCACCGATATTGACTTTTCTACCAGGATATGTCTGTGGTAGTTAGCATTTTCATTAAATTTGCCCAGATCATAATACATTCTCAATTTTGCAGGCTTTAAGAATTTAATTTTTCTCACAAAGTTGTACATTGTTTAAAAAGTCATAAAGTTCTTCAGGACTTACAACAGGCCGGGTGTGATGGCTCACGCCTGTAATCCCAGCACTCTGGAAGTCGCGGTGGGCAGATCATCTGAGGTCAGAAGTTCAAGACCAGCCTGGCCATGGTGAAACCCCGTCTCTACTAAAAATACAAAAAATTAGCCGAGCATGGTGGTGCACGCCTGTAATCCCAGCTACTCAGGAGGCTGAGGCAGGAGAATCACTTGAACCCGGGAGGCGGAGGTTGCAGTGAGCCAAGATCACACCATTGCACTCCAGCCTGAGCAACAAGAGCGAAACTCCATCTCAAAAAAAAAAAAAAAAAAAAAGACTTACAACAAAAACTTCATTCTCCTACTCTAATTAATTATATGCTGACTAATTCTTTACAGGCCATTTCAACTCTGCTAGTTCTTTCTTTAAAAAAGAAAAGAAGAATGTTATATGTAAATAACACACTCCTCCTATTACTTGATTTTTCAGTCTCAAGTATGAGCCACAATTGACTTTAGCAACACCCACACACATACACCTCTACCCTCTCCCACCCTCTCAATAAAAGTTTTACCATTTGGATTAAATAAAAATGGTGGTATACATTATTATATATCTATATAAACAGTTCCACATTGAGTCACTTGGTATAGTAGGATTGCTTTCATGTAAAATGTTGTTTTTCCTGGAATTAATATCAACTCCCGTTTCAAAAGTTTGATTTTCTATGGCTCACTGGAAACAAACCTCCTCCCAGGATATTCAAATAAGTGTTCATCAGTTTTACCCTTTTTCTTGGGATATTCCCCTCCAGAACCTTCTTTCTACCTATCTAATAAAAATTGGGGCCAGGCCCAGTGGCTCATGCCTATAATCCCAGCACTTTGGGAGGCCGAGGTGGGAGGATCAATTGAGGTCAGGAGTTTGAGACCAGCCTGGCCAGCATGGTGGAACCCTGTCTCTACCAATAATACAAAAATTAGCCAGACGTGGTGGCACGCACCTTGTAATCCCAGCTACTCAGGAGGCTGAGGCTGGAGAATTGCTTGAACCTGCGAGGTGGAGGTTGCAGTGAGCAGAGATCACACCACTGCACTCCAGCCTGGGTGACAAGAATGAGAGAATCCATCTCGAAAAAAAAAAAAATGGCTGGGCACAGTGGCTCATGCCTATAACCCCAGCACTTTGAGAGGCCAACATGGGCCGATCAGTTGAGGTCAGATTGAGACTATCCTGGCCAACATGGTAAAAGCCTGTCTTTACTAAAAATACAAAAATTCGCTGGGGGTGGTGGCGCACGCCTGTAGTCCCAGCTACTTGGGAGGCTGAGGCAGGAGAATCGCTTGAACCCGGGAGGCAGGTGTTGCGGTGAGCCGAGATCGTGCCACTGCACTCCAGCCTGGCAACAGAGTGAGACTTTGTCTCGGCAACAACAACAAAGATTGGTTGCCCTCTAGACGTACCCCAAAACTGCCTGCTCCTGGGTCTTCCCCTCGCCCTCTCTTCTGCATTAGATCTTTGCCTTCCATCCTGTGTCTTTCTCTTCCTAGGTTTGCTTCCTCATTTGAGGTGGAGGACATGTGCTCTAGTAAGTTACTGCGGAAGGGTACCTGGGAGGTAAAATTTTTCAGAGCCTAAAATGTCACAAATGTTCTTACTCTACCCCGACACTTGATTTATGGTTTGGTTGGGCATAGAATTCTGCACTGGAAATCATTTGCATTCATACCTGGAGGCATTTCTCTATCATAATCCTGCTTCTGGCATTGCTAACCAGGCGTTCAAGCCATTCTGACTCCTAATCCATTTATATGCAATTTTTGCAATATTTTCCCCTCCCAGGATTCTTTGGTAACTTCCTTTTAACCTAGGTACATTTAGAAAATCCAATGTTGTGATGATGACGTTGCGACCCTTTTAAAATATACTTTGCCAAGTGCTCTATGAGCCCTTTCTTTCATGTCTTTCATGAAATTATGTCTTTTATGATTTTCTTGGAAACATTATTTTATTACTTGTGGGATAATACTCTCCATTCCATTTTTTTCTGCTTTCTTTTTTTGGGACTCATTATTTTGATATTAGATTTTCTGGACTGATCCTCTACTATTTTCCATTCTTGTGTTTTGTTTTGTTTTGTTTGACCAGGTTGGAGTGCAGTCATAGCTCACTGCAGCCTTGACCTCCTGGGCTCAAGCGACCTTCCCGCCTCAGCCTCCTGAATAACTGGGACCACAGGCACACGCACCACACCTGGCTAATTTTTTATTTTTTGTAGAAGTAGGGTCTCTCCATGTTGCCCAGGCTGGTCTCAAACTCGTGGGCTCAAGTGATCCACCTGCTTCAGCCTTCCAAAGTGCTGGGATTACAGGCGTGAACCAGTGCGCCCACCCTCCACTCATATTTTTTGTTGTGACGTTTCCTCAACACTTCAGTTCTTTACTTCTGCTGGCATATTTACAATTTCTTTTTTTCTTTTTCTTTTCTTTCTTTCTTTTCTTTCTTTCTTTTTTTTTTTTTTTTGAGATGGAATTTTACTCTGTCTCCAAGGCTGGAGTGCAATGGTACAATCTTGGTTCACTGCAACCTCTGCCTCCTGGGTTCAAGCGATTCTCCTGCCTCAGACTCCCGAGTAGCTGGGATTACAGGCGCCTGCCACTGCACCAAGCTAATTTTTGTATTTTTTAGTAAAGGCAGGGTTTCACCATGTTGGCCAGGCTGGTCTCGAGCTCCTGACCTCAGGTGATCCACTCGCCTCAGCCTCCCAAAATGCTGGGATTACAGGTGTAAGCCACCACGTCTGGCCCATATTTACAATTTCTCAGGGTTCTATTTTTTTATTTCCTGATTGTTCCCCTTTTCATAACATTCTATTCTTTTTCATGGCTATAATAGGACTTGTAAAGATATTCATTTTGTTGAGGTTTTCTTCTGCTCTTCAAGTTAGAAATTTGTGAGATATGACAAGAGAGTTCTATTATAGAGTGATCTGAGTGTACCACTTCACTGAGGATCTTCCCGGCATTTTTTCTTGTGGTTAGTTTCTTCCAGAGGGGAATCCTCCACTCTTTAGAATGGGGATGAAAAACTATAGTATAATTACAAATCCAGCTACCAGGAATTTTTTGGAGCCAAGTAAGCTTCCATTCAGTATATATAGACAGACTCCATCCTGCTCTTTCCAGTACAGCACCCCTATCCACTTGATGTCCTCAAGTCCAGAGTCCTTCTATTCTTTGGTACCCAAAAGGGCTGCATATTTTGGACTACTTAGAGAGCTTTAAGACATACTGAAGGCTGTATACCTTACCCAGAGTTTTTACTTTAATACATCTGGTGGGGTGGTCTGAACATCAGTCTTTTAAAATCTCTCCAGGTGACTCCAATGTGCAGCCAAGGTTGAGAACCACTGCTCTAGTTGAACCTCTCCAGAGAGTAAGCCTCTAACTTCTGCCAAGGTGTGCTGCTTTGTGTTAACCCTTTGGACCTATCTGCATTCTGGCTTTCAGTGTTCTTTTTTTATTATTTTTTATTTTTTGAGACGGAGTTTTGCTCTTGTCCCCCAGGCTGGAGTGCAATGGCATGATCTTGGCTCACTGCAACCTTCGCCTCCTGCGTTCAAGCGATTCTCCCACCGCAGCCTCCTGAGTAGCTGGGATTACAAGTGTGTGCCACCACGCCCCACTAATTTTTTTTTTTTTTTTGAGACGGAATCTCACTCTGTCGCCCAGGCTGGAGTACAATGGCATGATCTCGGCTCACTGCAACCTCCACCTCCCAGGTTCAAGCGATTCTTGTGCCTCAGCCTCCCGAGTGGCTGGAATTACAGGCGTGTGGCATCACACCTGGCTAATTTTTGTATTTTTAGTAGAGATGGGGTTTCACCGTCTTGGCCAGGTTGGTATTGAAGTCCTGACCTCATGATCCACCCGCCTTGGCCTCCCAAAGTGCTGGGATTACAGGCGTGAACCACCGCACCCAGCCTAGAGTTCTCTCTTGCCTGCATATTCTGATTCACTTTAGGCTTCTAGGTTATGAGTCATCTGGTTTTTAGGCTTCTGATTCAGACCTCTGGTTTTCTGGTCAGCTTACCCCTTGTTCACATGAATTTCACCTTTCAAAAATGTGTTGCGATTATTTCCTCTTCTGCTCTCCCTGTTTGTGCCTTGTTTGACCTTTTATTATCATTACAGTGCACTCTGGAGAAGGAAGGAAGAATATTCGATCCACCATGCTTCGCTGGAATTTCTGTCCTACTCCGTGTCATTAACAGTCATGTTAAAATGTCAGCAGGGGGCTTGCCAAGCCAGATTTAGCAAAAATTGAACCTGTAGAACATCAAAGATTTCCCCAAGACGCTGTAAATTTCTAGGCTGCTTATGTTTTCAAGGCCATTCTAGATTGGTTATTTCTGGCTCCTTGATCAACCATATCAACTTAAGTTCTTTCTATAGATTAAGAAAGTTGTCTTTCATTATTTCTTTTTCTTCTCCAACACCACCACCACCACCATTTTTTTCTTTCTTTTAGTGACTCTGATTGTTTGTAGGGTGTAGCTAAGGGATTTGTCTTCCATATACCTTTTTCTGCCTCTCTTTTTTTGTTTTGTTTTTGTTTTTGTTTTGAGATTGGATCTTGCTGTGCCACCCAGGCTGGAGTGCAGTGGCATGATCACACCTCACTACAGCCTCGACCTCCTGGGCTCAAGCGATCCCCACAACCCTGCCTCAGCCTCCTGAGTTACTGGCACCACAGAACGTGCCACCACACCCAGCTAATTTTTTAATTGTTTTGTAGAAATGGGGATCTCCCTTATATTGTTCAGACTGATCTCAAACTCCTGGCTCAACCAATCCTCCCACCTCAGCCTCCCAAAGGGCTGGGATTACAAGCTTGAGCCACTGCGCCCAGCCCTCGGCAAACTTTTAAATCATTTTTTAAGGTTTCTTTCTGTTGGATAAATCATAGTTTATTTTCCCTAATTCAATGATCTTCATATACAGTCTGCCATTCAGTTTCTCCTTTGTGACTTTTCATTTCAAAACCACCTCTCTCATCTCCATTCCGTCTTCCTTTGCTGCTCCTTTTCTAGGACAACTTGATCAAGTTACATAGATGTAGAATCCACTTCAGTCTTGCTGAGAACATAAAACTGACGTTGGCTCTAATTTTTTGTTATTGTTTCTGAGGAATAGATTTCTGAAGGAGAAAGCAACTCTGAGGCCCCACATACTTGTCATTTAAGTTTTTGGTGTGTGTGTGTGTGTGTGTGTGTGTGTGTGTGTGTGTGTGTGTGTGTTTCTAAAGATGAGGTCCTGTAATCCCAGCACTTTGGGAGCCTGAGGCAGGCAGATTACTTGAGTCAGGAGTTTGAGACCAGCCTGGCCAACATAGTGAAACCCCGTCTCTACTGAAAAAAAAAAAAAATTAGCCTGGTGTGGTGGTGCATGCTTGTAATCCCAGCTACTCAGGAGGCTGAGGTAGGAGAATTGTGTGAACCTAGGAGGCAGAGGCTGCAGTGAGCTGAGATCATGCACTCCACCCTGGGGCACAGAGTGAGACTCTCTCAAAAAAAAAAAAAAAAAAAAAAGAAAAAAGAAAAAATAGTAGTAATAAAATTAAAAATAAAAATTAACAAAAATTAGCCGGGTGAGGTGGCACACACCTGTAATCCCAGCTACTCAGGAGGCTGAGGCAGGAGAATCGCTTGAACCTGGGAGGCAGAGGTTGCAGTGAGCCAAGATCACACCATTGCACTCCACCCTGGGTGACAGAGCAAGACTCTGTCTCAAAATAAAGAAAGAAAGAAAGATGAGGTCTTGCTATGTTGCCCAGGCTGGTCTTTAACTCCTGGTCTCAAGCAATCCTCCCGCCTTGGCCTCCCAAAGTGCTGGGATTACAAGCATAAGCCATTTCACCCAGCCTAGTTTTAAAATTACAGCCCTTTTCTCATAGACCTATTTATTATCCATACAGAGGGAGAGCTATTTGACTTTTTATTCTTTTTTATTTTATTTTATTATTGTTATTTTTTTGAGACACGGTCTCACTCTGTCATCTAGGCTGGAGTGCAGTAGCGGGATCTTAGCTCACTGCAACCTCCGCCTCCCAGGTCAAGCGATCCTTCTACCTCAGCCTCCTGGGTAGCTGGGACCACAGGCACACGCCACCACGCCCAGCTAATTTTTGTATTTTTTGTAGAGATGCGATTTTGCCATGTGGCCCAGGCTGGTCTCAAACTCCTGACCTCGGGTGATCCGCCCGCCTCAGCCTCCCAAAGTGCTGGGATTACAGGCGTGAGCCACAGCAGCCATCTGACTTTTCTTTTTAATGAAAAAATTTCAATCACTTCATGGCATCTTCATGGCATCTTGTTCTTCTCCTTTTTGCTTTTCTTCTTTATTTAAAGCAACATCTATTTTTGTTCTTCTGATTTCAAAAGTAACACACATTTGTTTTGGACGATTTGGGAATCACAGAAAAACACAAAGAAGAAAATTAAAATTAATTTCACAAGCCAATGATATTTTACTTCCAGTTTTTCTAGGTATTTATATGTAATTATCCTGATTCTTTTAACAATTTTAATCACTACTATTTTTATTTTTATTTTACGAATGTATAATACATTCACACGGTTCAAAAATTGTGTATGTGACAAGAGAAAAGGAAAAGGAAAAATACGTATGTATATATAAAGAAGTCTTTCAACACCTGTTTGTACAGCTTCCATCAATAACCACATCTAGGCTGGGAGCAGTGGCTCATACCTGTAATCCCAGCACTTTGGGAGGCCAAGATGGGAGGATTGCTTGAGCCCAGGGTTTGAGACTAGCCTGGGCAACATAGCAAGGTCCTATCTCTACCAAAAATTTAAAAATTATTTGGGCGTGGCAGCACATGTCTCTAGTCCTAGCTGCTTGGGACTCTAAGGCGGTAGAATCACTTGAACACAGGAGGTCAAGGCTGCATTTGAGCTATGATCACACCACTGCACTCCAGCCTGGGGACCTGCTGAGACGCTGTCTCAAAATAAACAAACAACCACACCTAGCCCCACCCCAGATGACCTCTCCGCTATTAGGTTCTTGTATATCGTTCCAAATTTTCTTTATACCTATACTAACACACACACACACACACGCGCGGATATATGCATGCACACTCACACAAACACTTAATACCTTTTTTTTTTTTTTGAGATGGAGTCTCGATCTGTCACCCAGGCTGGAGTGCAATGGTGCAATCTCAGCTCACTGCAACCTCTGCCTCCCGAGTAGCTGGGATTCAGGCACATGCCACCACACCTGGTTAATTTTTGTATTTTCAGTGGAGACGGGTTCCACCATGTTGGCTAGCCTGGTCTTGAAATCCTGACCTCTAGTGATCTGCCCACCTCGGCCTCCCAAAGTGTTGGGATTACAGGCGTGAGCCAACATGCCCGGCTATTTTTTTGTCTGTTTTTAAATTTAACTTTATTTATTTATTTACTTACTTACTTACTTACTTATTTATTGAGACCAAATCTTGCTCTGTCGCCCAGGATGGAGTACAGTGGCACAATCTCAGCTCACTGCAACCTCTGCCTCTGCCTCCCAGGTTCAAGTGATCCTCCTGCCTCAGCCTCCCGAGTAGCTGGGACTACAGGCATGTGCCACCACACCTGGCTAATTTTTGTAATTTTTGTAAAGACGGGGTTTCACCACGTTGGCCAGGCTGGTCTGGAACTCCTGACCTCAGGTGATCCACCCGCCTCGGCTTCCCAAAGTGCTGGGAATATAGGTGTGAGCCACCACACCCAGCCTCACACACACTTAATACCTTTCCTTTTTATACGAATCATAGAGTACTAAGCACACTGTCTTCCTCCTTGCTATTTTCACTTAACTATATACCTGAACATCTTTCTTTATGAATACATAGACAGATTTTCTATTTTTTATAGCTGCACGATATTCCATTGTGTATTGATATAACATTATTTAAGTGGTCACTTACTGATAATTTAGATTGTCAACGTTTGCTGTTACACATAGGGTTAAGTACATTCACACTAAATTTGACAGTGTTTCTCTCTTGGTTTAATTATTGTTTCAAATGTTCAAACAGACATCATGGGCAATTTTAAAAAATTTTTTAACATGAATCATATTATACAATAAACTGCACATATTTAAACAGTACAATTTGATAAATCTCACCATGTATATACCTGTGAAACCATCAACAATCACCACAATCAAAATCATGAACATACCTTCCGGGCACAGACGATTCTCCTGCCTCAGCCTCTGAGTAGCTGGGATCACAGGTACCCACCACCATGCCTGGCTAATTTTTGTATTTTTAGTACAGACAAGGTTTCGCCATGTGGGCCAGGCTGGTCTCAAACTCCCGACTTCAAGTGATCTGCCTGATCTCAAGTGAAGCCTCCCAAAGTGCTGGGATTACAGGCGTGAGCCACCATGACTGGCTGCTCCTAAATATTTTCTTGTACCCCTTTATAAGCCTTTTTCCCTGTCCTCCCATCCCCAAGCAACAACTGATATGCTTTCTGACACGTTAATTAATTGGCATTTTCTGGACATTACTGTGCATGGACTCATATAGTTTGTACACTTTTTTTTGTCTGCTTTCTTTCAGTATAATTATTTTGAAATTCATGCTGTGACATGTACCATTCCTGTTTCCTGTTATTGCTGACTAGAATGTTTTGCTTGTGTTGTTCATCCATTCACTTGACAATGAACATTTGAGTTGTTTCCATTTGGGGGTATTACAAATAAAACTGTAAACATTTATATAAAAATCATTTTGTGAATATATACTTTCATTTCTCATGGGTAAATACCTAGGAATGAAATTAATGCATCATATTTTAGGTGTCTGTTTAACATTTTGAGAAACTGCCCAACTGTTTTCTAAAGTGGCTATGTTACATTTCCATCAGCAGCTTGTGAGAGTTCAAGTTGTTCCACATCTCGGGGGGAGGGGGGAAGGATAGCGTTAGGAGATATACCTAATGTTAAATGACAAGTTGATGGGTGCAGCACACCAATATGGCACATGTATACATATGTAACTAACCTGCACGTTGTGCACATGTACCCTAAAACTTAAAGTATAATAAAAAAATAAAAATAAAAAAATAAAAGAAGAGAAAAAAAAACAGTTGTTCCACATCTCGTCAACACATGATATGGTCAGTTTTTAAAGTTTTAGCCATAACCACAGTAATGTCTGATGGTGGTTTTAATTTGCATTTTCTGCTGAGCACTTTTTCCTGTGCCATTTGCCATTCGTATGTCTTCTTTAGCGAAATATCTGTTCCAATCTTTTTGCCCAATTTTAAGTTGGATTATATCTATCTATCTATCTATATATATAGTTATATATATCTATATATAGAGTTGTATATATCTGGATATATATGGTTATATATATCTATATATAGTTGTATATATCTAGATATATGTGGTTATATATCTAGATATATATATAGTTGTTGTTTGTTTGTTTGTTTGTTTTGGTTTTGTTGTTGTTGTTGTTGGTTGAGACAGAGTCTCGCTCTGTCATCCAGACTGGAGTGCAGTGGTGGGATCTCGGCTCACTGCAACCTTCGCCTCCTGGGTTCAAGCAATTCTCCTGCCTCAGCCTCCCAAGTAGTTGGGATTACAGGCGCACACCACCACGCCCAGCTAATTTTTTTTTATTTTTAGTAGAGACCGGATTTCACCATGTTGGCCAGGCTGGTTTCCAACTCCTGACCTCAAGTAATCCGCCCGTCTCCGCCTCTCAAAGTGCTAGTATTACAGACGTGAGCCACCGTGCCCGGCCCCCAGATTGTTAACGTATTTTGCAACTTCTTTATATGTTCTGGATACGAGTCCTTTATCAAGCACATGATATGTAAATATTTTCTTCTAGTCTGGCTTGTTTTCATTCATTCAACATGTCTTTTGAAGACCAGAAGTTTTTTATTTCAATGAAGTCCAATTTATATGTTGACTCTTTTAAATATTGTGCTTTTGGTGTTGTTTCTAAAAAATCTTAGTCTAAGCCAAGATCATAAAGATTAGTCTTATGTTTTCTTCTAAAAAGTTTTGTGACTTTAAGTTCTACACTTAGATCTATAGTCCACTTTTAAGTACAGCTTTATTGAGATATATTTCACATACCATAAAATTCACATATTTAAAGTGCGCCATTCCGTGATTTTAAGTATATTCAAAGAGTTGTACACTCATCACCACTATCTAACTTCGGAAGACTTTTGTCACCCCAAAAAGGCACCTCATATCCATTAGCAGTCATCCCTTATTACTTCCTTACTTCAGTTTAGGCAACCAATAATTTTCTCTCTCTATGGATTTGCTTATTCTGGACATTTCATATAATTGGAATCATAGATCTGGTCTTCTGTGTCTGGATTCTTTCACTTAGCATAATGTTTCCAAGGTTCATTGTGTTATGCATGCATCAGTGCTTAAATCCTTTTTTTTTTTTTTTTTTTTTTTTTTTTTGAGACAGAACTTGCTGTGTCACCCAGGCTGGAGGGCAGTGGCATGTTCATAGCTTACTACAACCTTGAACTCCTGGGCTCAAGTCATCCTCCCACCTCGGCCTCCCAAAGTGCTGGGATTACAGACATGAGCCACCATGCCTGGCAAGCCATGCCATTTTACATTCTCACCAGCAGTGTATGAGAGTTCCAATTTCTTCATACCACCTCCAACACTTGTTATGGCCCATTTTTTTATTACAGCCATCCTAGTGAATGTAAAGTGATATCTCATAGTGGTTTTAATTTGCATTTCCTTAATGAATGATAATATTGAGCATCTTTTGTTGTTGTAACCATTGAGATAGGGTCTCGCTTTGTCACCTAGGCTGGAGTGCTGTGGCACAAACACAGCTCACTGCCGCCTCCATGTCCTGGGCTCAAGCGATCTTATTACATCAGCACTCCAAGTAGCTGGAACTGCAAGCATGTGCCACCACACCTGACTACTTTTTTGTTTTTTGTTTTTTGTTTTTGTTTTTGAGTTGGAGTTTTGCTCTTGTCGCCCAGGCTGGAGTGCAGCAGCACGATCTCAGCTCACTGCAAATTCCACCTCCCAGGTTCAAGAGATTCTCGTGCCTCAGCCTCCCAAGTAGCTGGGATTACAGGTGTGTACCACCATGCCTGGCTAATTTTTGTGTATGTGTATTTATTTATTTATTTATTTATTTATTTTTGAGACAGAGTTTTGCTCTTGTTGCCCAGTCTGGAGTGCAATAGCCAGGTCTCAGCTCACTGCAAACTCCACCTCCTGGGTTCAAGCGATCCTCCTTCCTCAGCCTCCCAAGTATCTGGGACTATAGGCATGCACACCCATGCCTGGCAAATTTTGTATTTTTACTGGAGACAGGGTTTCACCATGCTGGCCAGACTGGTCTCAAACTCCTGACCTCAAATTATCCGCCTGCCTCGGCCTCCTAAAGTGCTGGGATTATAGGCATGAGCCATCACACCCGGCCTTAAATGTGTTTTTATTTGGCAGAAATGTCTCTTCAAATCCTCTACCCATTTTTAAATTGGGTTATTTGTCTATTTCATATTGAATTATAAGTGTTCTTTTTATGTAGTCCGGATAAGAGTCCCTTATCAGATGTATGATTTGCAAATATTTTCTCCCATTTTGCGGGTTGTCTTTTTACCTCTATGATGTCCTTTGAAGCACAAGCATATTTACTTTTGATGATGTCCAATTTGTTTTTTTTCCTTTGTCACTTGTGCTTTTGGTTTCACGTCTAAAATTCCATTGCCTAGTCCAAGGTCATGAAGATCTACTCCTTCATTTTCTTCCAATAATTTTATAGTTTTAGCTCTTACATTTAGGTCTATGATGCATTTTGGGTTTTGTTTGTTTGTTTGTTTTGTTTGCTTGTTTTGTTTTTTGAGACAGAGTCTCACTCTGTCGCCCAGGCTGGAGTGCAGTGGCGCGATCTCGGCTCATTGCCACTACCACCTCCCGGGTTCAAGCGATTCTCGTGCCTTAGCCTCCCAAGTAGCTGGGATTACAGGCACACACCACCTTGCCGGGCTAATTTTTTTATTTTTGGTAGAGACGGTTTCACCATGTTGGCCAGGCTGGTCTCGAATTCTTGAGTTCAAAGTGATCTGCCCAGCTCGGCCTCCCAAAGTGCTGGGATTACAGGCGTGAGCCACCATGCCTGGCCTATGATGCATTTTGGGTTGACTTTTGCAGATGGTATGAAATAGGGGTTCAGCTTCCCTCTTTTGCATGTAGATGTTCACTTGTCCCAGGACCATTTGATGAAAGACTACTATTTTCCCACTGAATCTTGACACCTTCTTTAAAATCAATTGATCATATATAGATGTAAGTGTTTATGTCTGGATTCTTAATTATACTATTTATGTGTGTATATATATATATATAAAATAAGGCCAGGCACAGTGGCTAACACCTGTAATCCCAGCACTTTGGGAGGCCGAGGCGAGAGGATCACTGGAAGACTAGCTTGAGCAACATAGCAAGACCCCGTCTCTAAAAAAAACATAAAATATATATCCTTATATATTTTTACTCTTATATCCTGAGGACATGTGTGTGTGTGTGTGCATGCGTGTGCATGTGTATATATATGTGTGTGTGTGTGTATATATATATATCTTTATCCTTACGCTAGTACCACAATGTATTTTTATAGTAAGTTTTGAAATCAGGAATGGGAGTCCTCCAACGTTGTTCTTTTTAAAGATTGTTTTGGCTATTCTGGGTTCCTTGCATATCCATATGAATTTTCAGATCAGCTTGCCCATTTCTCAAATTCTAAAAAAAAATAAGCAACTGTAATTATTATTATATTTTTAGAGACAGTCCTGCTCTGCCCCCCAGGCTGGAGTGCGGTGGCCTGATCTCAACTCACTGCAACTTCCGCCTCCAAGGTTCAAGCGATTCTCTTGCCTCAGCCTCCCAAGTAGCTGGGATTTCAGGCGCCCACCACCACGCCTGGCTAATAGTTTTGGATTTTTTGAAGAGACAGGGTTTTGCCATGTTTGCCAGGCTGGTCTCAAACTCCTGACCTCAAGTGATCCACCTGCCTCCCAAAGTGCTGGGATTACAGGCATGAGCCACTGTACCTGGCCGCAACTGTGATTTTGATAAGAATAGCATTGAATCTGTAGATTGCTTTAGGTAGTATTGTCCTTTTAATAATAATAAATCTTCAATTATTTAGAAGAATTTATTCAGATCTTCTTTAACTTCTTTCAACAGTACTTTGTTTTCAGTGTACAAGTTTTATACATTCCTGGTTAAATTTATTCTTACGTATTTTATTCTTTTTGATGCTATTATAAATTGAATGGCTTTCTTAATTTTATTTTTGGTTGTTCATTACTAAGGGATGGAAATACAGTAGATGTTTGCATATTGATCTCGTATTCTGCAACTTCGCTAAACTTGCTTATTTTGTCCGGTAGTTTCTTTTGTGGATTCCTTGGGATTTCTGTAAATAAGTTCATGTCATCTAGAAATAGTGATGGTGTATTTCTTCCTTTTCAATCTGGATACCTCTTTTTTTCTTGCCTAATTTTTCTGGCTAGAACCCTAAATACAGTATTCAATAGAAGTAGCCAGGGGCGGAAGTTCTTGTCTTATTCCTGATTTTAGGGGAAAAGCATTTAGTCTTTCATGATTAAGTAGCACTTTTTCCACAAATGACTTTTCTCAGGCTGAGGAAGTTTCTTTCTGTTCCTAGTGTGTTGAGTGGTTTTATCAGGAAAGGGTGTTGAAATTGGTGAAATGCTTTTTCTGCATCTATTGATATTATCATGTGGGTTTTACTCCTTATTTTATTAATATGACATATTACATTGGTTTATTTTCTATGTTAAGCCAACTTCGCATTCCCGGAATAAATTTCACTTGGTCATGGTATATAATTCTTTTTATATATTACTGAATTCAGTTTGCTAGTATTTTACTTAGGATTTTCTTCATGTATACGGGATACTGATCTATAGGGTTTCTTTTATTATAATGTCTTTTTTTTTTTTTTTTTTGAGATAGGGACTCAGTCTGTTGCCCAGGCTGGAGTACAGTGGTATGAAAACAGCTCACTGCAGACTCAATCTCCTAGGCTCAAGTGATCCTCCTGTCTCAGCCTCTTAAGTAGCTGGGGCTGCAGGGGTGCACCACCACACCCAGCTAATAAAAAAAAAACTTTTTTTTTTTTTTTGTAAAGATAGAGTCTTGCCATGTTGCCCGGGCTGGTCTCAAACTCCTGGCCTTAAACAATCCACCTTCTTTGGTCTCCCAAAATACCAGGATTGCAGGCATGAGCCACGGTGCCTGGCCTCTAATAATGTCTTTGCCTGGTTTTAGTATCAGAGTAATATTGGTCTCATAACATGAGTTTGGAAGTGTCCCTATAATCCATTTTGAGTTAATTTTTGCGTAATGGATTTAAGTTTTGGGGTTTTTTGGCATATGTATATGTATTGTTTAGTACCATTTCTTGAAAAAGACTATACTTTCTCCACTGATTCCCTTCACAATTTTGTTAGGAATCAATTGATGATATTTATGTGGGTTTATTTCTGTACTGTCTATTCTGTTCCTTTATTTTTGTATCTGTCTGTCCACCAATACCACACTACCTTGATTACTGTAGCTTTTTCCTTCAATGTCAGTCTTATTCAAAGTTTTGAACACAAACATTAGCCAGGGGTGGTGCACATGCCTGTACTCCCAGCTACTTGGGAGGCTGAGGTGGGAGGATCGATTGAGCCCAAGAGGTCAAGCCTGCAGTGACCTGTGATCACGCCACTGCACTCCAGCCTGGGTGACAGAGCAAGACCCGGCCTAAAAAAAAAAAGCTTTTTTCCCCCACACTATTCTACATCCTCTACATTTTCATGAATTTTAGAATCAACTTCTCAAATTCTATGTTTTAGTAAAATATGTATAACATAAGATCTAGCATTTTAGCCATTTTTAGATGAACCATTCAGCGGCATTAACTACATTCAAACTTATGTGCAACCATCACCAGAACTTTTTAATCATCCCAAACTAAAACCCTACACCCATTAAATAACAACTTCACGCCCTCCCCTCTTCCCAGAGCCCATCAATCACCATTCTATTTTCTGTCTCTGTGAACTTGACTACTCTCGTGCCTCCTAAAAGTGGAATCACACAATATTTGTCATTTTGTGGCTGACTTAATTCACTTAGTGTAATGCCTTCAAGGGTTATCCATGTTGTAGCATTTGCCAGAATTTTCCTCCATTTTAATATTGCATAATAATATGTGAGTATACCACTTTTTTGTTGTTGTTTGGTTGTTTTTGTTTGTTTTTGTTTTTTCTTTTGAGACGGAGTCTCGCTCTGTTGCACAGGCTGGAGTGTAGTGGTGCGATCTTGGCTCACTGCAACCTCTGCCTCCCAGGTTCAAGTGATCCTCCTGCCTCAGCTCCCGAGTAGCTGGGATTACAGGCACCTGCCACCACACCTGGCTAATTTATGTATTTTCAGTAGAGACGGGGTTTCACCATGTTGGTCAGGCTAGTCTCGAACTCCTGACCTCAGGTGATTCGCCTGTCTTGGCCTTCCAAAGTACTGGGATTACAGGTATGAGCCACTGAGCCCAGCCGATACCACATTTTGCTTATCAAATCATCTGTGGATGGATATTTGGGTTATTTTCACCTTTGGGCTATTACGAATAATGCTGCTATGAACATTGGTGTACCCAACTTCTCCATTTTTTTTTTTTTTTTTTCTGAGACGGAGTCTCGCTCTGTCACCCAGGCTGGAGTGCAGTGGCGCGATCTTGGCTCACTGCAACCTCCGCCTCCCAGGTTCAAGCAATTCTCCTGCCTTGGCCTCCTGAGTAGCTGGGATTACAGGTATGCACCACCACAGCCAGCTAATTTTTGAATTTTTAGTACTCACAGGGTTTCACCATGTTAGCCAGGCTGGTCCCGAACTCCTGACCTCAGGTGAGCCACCCACTTCGGCCTCCCAAAGTGCTGTGATTACAGGCATGAGCCACTGCGCCCGGCCCAACGTCTCCATTTTTACAGAAAAAAATGCCAGCTGGGATTTTGACTGGGATTTTGACTGGGATTGTATTGAGTCGATAGATCAGTTTGGTAGAGAATTGACATCTTAATACTGAGCCTCCCAACACGTAAACCCATGTCTCTTTCCATTTACTTAGGTATTCTTTCATTTCTCTCAATGATGTTTTGTAGTTTTCAGTGTACACGGCTGACACATTTTTTTGTCAGATTTATCCTCAAGTTTTTCACGCTATTGTAAAGGGTATTTCTTAAGATTTTTATTTCTGACTGTTGCTAGCAGAGAGAAATACAGTAGAATTTGGAAACTGGGGTTATATCCTGAAACCTCACTAAACTCACATATTAACTCTTTCATAGGATTTTCTACATAAATGATCATGTCACCTGCAAAGACAATCTTGCTTCTTTCTTTCTAAACTGAATGCCTTTTATTTGCTTTTTTTCCCCTTACCTAATGGCCCTGGCTAGAACCTACAGTACAATGTTGAATAGTATTGGTGAGAGCAGACATCCTTGTCTTGTTCCTGATCTTAGGGGGAGAGCTTTCAGTCTTTTACCATTAAATATGATGTTAGCTGTATATTTTTTTTATAAATGCCCTTTATCAGGTTGATGAAGTTCCCTTCTATTCCCAGTTTGTTAAGAGTTATTATCAGAAATGAACATTTGATTTTGCCAATTTTTTTCAGCATCTATTGAGATATTTATGTGGTTTTTCTTTACTAGTTTATTATTATGTGTATTACATTAATTGAACATTAAACCAACCCTATTTGCTGGGCAAATTCCGCTTGGCCATTGCGCATCAGCCTCCTCATTCACTGTTAAATTTGATTTGCTACAATTTTGTTAAGAATTTATTCATCTAAGTTCAAGAGGGATGTTACTCTGTGGTTACGTTCTTTGTGCTGTCTTTGTCTGGACTTGGTATCAGAGTAACGCTGGCCTCACAGAATCAGCTGAGAAAAATTCCTTCCTCTTCAATTTTCTAGAAGAGCTTGTGTTGAATTAAAATTAATTTTTCCTTAATGATTTGATAGAATTCCTGAGTGAAGTCATCTGGCTCTCCAGTTTTCTTTGTTGAAAAGATCTAAGCTATGATTTCAAGTTCTTTAAGAGAAATATATACTTTCCAGGTTATCTTTTCTTGAGTGATGTTTAGTATTTGCGTCTTTCCAGGAATGTATCTATTTCATCTAAGTTGTCAAATTTACTGGCATAAACTTGTTCATAATATTCTCTGGTTATCCTTTTTAATGTCTATAGAATCTGGAATAATGTTATCTCTCTCATTCTGATATTGGTAATTTGTTCATTCGTTTGTTTGTTTGTTTGAGATGGAGTCTCGCTCTGTCGCCCCGTGATCTCAGCTCACTGCAACCTCCAACTCCCAGGTTCAAGCAATTCTCTTGCCTAAGCCTCCTGAGTAGCTGGTATTACAGGTGCCTGCCACCATGCCTGGCTAATTTTTCTATTTTTAGTAGAGACGGGGTTTCACCATGTTGCCCAGGTTGATCTCAAACTGCTGGCCTCAGGTGTTTCACCCGCCTCGGCCTCCCAGAGTGCTGGGATTACAGGCAGGAGCCACTGCACTTGGCCTCTGATATTGGTAATTTGTGTTTTCTCTTTTTTTCCTGATCAATATGGCTAGAGGTTTGTGAATTTTATTGATCTGAAAGCTTCTAATATTAGCTTCTGATATTTCTGCATTTTTCAGTTTTCCATTTCATTCATTTCTATTCTGGTTTTTATAATTTCCTTTATTCTCTTTGTTTTCTTTGTGATTTTGCTCTCTTTTTAGTTTCTTAAGGTAATAGCTGATGTTATTGTGATTTTTCTTTTCTAAGAAGGTATTTAAAATTATAAATTTCCATTTAAATACTGTTTTAGCTTCATCCAACAAATTTTTATATGTTTGTGTTTTTATTTTCTTTCGGTTAAAAATTCTAATGTCCCTTTTAATTTCTCCTTTGACCCATGGGTTATTTAGAAGTGTATTATTTAGTTTCCAAATATTTGTGGATTTTTCAGTTATCTTTCTGTTATTGATGTCTAATTTAACACCATTTTGGTCAGAAAAGATACTCTGTATGGTTTGAATCCATTTAAGTTTATTTGGATTTATTCTCATTCTCCCCGATTTAATCTAGGAGGGTTGTATGTTTCCAGGAATTTATCCATCTCCTCTAGGTTTTCTAGTTTGTGCGTGCAAAGGTGTTCATAGTAGCCTTGAATGATCTTTTGTATTTCTGTGGTGTCTGTTGTAATATCTCCCGTTTCATTTCTAATTGAGCTTATTTGGATTTTCTCCCTTCTTTTCTTGGTTAATCTTGCTAATGGTCTATCAATTTTATTTATCTTTTCAAAGAAACCACTTTTTGTTTCATTTATCTTTTGTATTTTTTGTTTGTTTGTTTCAATTTCATTTAGTTCTGCTCTGATCTTGGTTATTTCCTTTCTTCTGCTAGGTTTGGGTTTGGTTTGTTCTTGTTTCTCTAGTTCCTTGAGGTGTGACCTTAGATTGTCTATTTGTGCTCTTTCAGACTTTTTTGATGTAGGCATTTAGGGCTATGAACTTTCCTCTTAGCACTGCTTTTGCTGTATCCCGCAGGTGTTGATATGTTGTGTCACTATTATCATTCAGTTTGAAGAATTTTTAAATTTCCATCTTGATTTCATTGTGACCCAATGCTCATTCAGGAGCAGGTTATTTAATTTCCATGTAATTGCACGGTGTTGAAGATTCCTTTTAAAGTTGATTTCCAGTTTCAGATCCACTGTGGTCTGAGTGCTTGATATAATTTTAATTTTCTTAAATTTATTGAGATTTATTTATGACTGAGACTATGGTTTATTCTGGTAAATGTTCTATGTGCACTTGAAAAGAATATATATTCTGCAGTTGTATGAAGCGTTCCATAAATCTCAATTAGGTCAAATTTGTTCAAGTGTTGTTCAAGTCGTCTGTATCCTTGCTTATTTTCTGTCTAGTTGTTCTATTAATTATCAAAAGAGGGATGTTGAAATATCTGCTTATAATAGTAGATTTGTCTGTTTCTCCTTGCTGTTCAATCAATTCTGCTTCCTGTATTTCAAAGCTTTCTTATTTGATGAATATGTTTTATATTTAAAGTGGGTTTCTTGTAGCATATAGTTGATTGTTGCGTTTTCATTCTATCTGACAAACTCTGTTTTTGAGTGGGGTGTTCAAGCCATTTACATTTAATGTGATTATTAATATGAAAGGGTTTAAATGATCTGTTATTTGTTCCACTTTTTTCTTTTTTTCTGCTTTCTTTTGGGTAAAGTGAATATTTTTATTATGCCATTTCATTTTTTATTGGCTTACTAGCTGTCGCTCTTGATTGCATTATTTTAGTGGTTGCTTTAGGGTTTAGAGTATACACCTTTAACCTATCACCGTCTACATTCAAGCAGTAGTATTCCACTACACGTGTACTTAGTATAAGAATCTTATAACAGTATACTTCCATTTCTTTTCTCCTGCTCTTGGTCTTTGTGCTGTTTTTTGTCAAGAAGCTTACTTTATATTATAAACCCCACAAAACATTATCATTTTTGCTTTAATTTTTTTTTTTTCCCCAGACAGAGTCTAGCTCTGTTGCCAGGCTGGAGTGCAGTGGCACGATCTCAGCTCACTGCAACCTCTGCCTCCCAGTTTCAAGCGATTCTCTTGCCTCAGCTTCCCGACTAGCTGTGATTACAGGCATGCGCTGCCATGCCCAGCTAATTTTTTTTTTTTTAAATAGAGACAGGGTTTCACCGTGTTGGCCAGGATGGTCTCGATCTCCTGACCTTGTGATCCACCCACCTCGGCCTCCCAAAGTGCTGGGATTACAGGCATGAGCCACCGCGCCTGGCCCTAAATGGTTTTTTTTTTAAGAGAGTTAAAGAATAAGAAACAAAGTCTGTATATTTACCCATACAGTTGCCATTTCTTGTGCTTGTCATTTTCTTACATAGATCTAGATCTCTGCTTAGTATCATTTTTCTCTGCCTGAACATTTTTTATGGTGTGGATTTGCTGGTGATAAATTCTTTCAACTTTTGTATGGCTAAAAAGTTTTCATTTTTCCTTCATTTTTGAAAAATGTTTTGCTAGTTACAGAATTGTAAGTTGACATTTTTCTTTCTTTTAAAAAAAAATTCTTAAGATACAGGGTCTTGCTCTGTTGCCCAGGCTGGAATGCAGTGGCACAATCATGGCTCACTGCAGCCTCAACCTCCTGGGTTCCAGCAATCCTCCTGCTTCAGCCTCTCCAATAGCTTGGATTACAGGTGCATGCCACCATGTCCAGCTAAATTTTTTTCTTTTGGTACTTTAAAGATGTTCCATTGTCCTCTCTCTTGTGTTGGTTCAAATAAAAATTTTCTGCCATCTTTATCTTTCTTCCTCTGTATGTAAAATGTTTCCCTCCATTGTTTTCTATTTTTCTTTGCTTTTTAATAAAATCTTTATTGAGATATAATTTACATACCATACAATTCAAACATTAAAGTTGTACAGTTGTATGTTGCCCAGGCTCGAGGGCAGTGGTACAATCATAGCTCATTGCAGCCTCAACCTCCTGGACTCAAGTGATCCTCCTACCTCAGTCTCCCAAGTAGCTGGGACTACATTCATGCACCATCACACCGGGCTAATTTTTTTTTTTTTTTTTTTTTTTTTTTTGTAGAGATGGGTTTTCTCTACCATGTTGTCCCGGCTGGTCTCAAACTTTTGAGTTCAAGTGATCCTCCCACCTCAGCCTCCCAAAGTGCTGGGATTACAGGCATGAGCCACTGCACCTGGCCTTTTATTATTATTTTTTTTTCTTTTGATACAGGATCTCACTCTTGTCACCCAGACTGGAATGCAGTGGCGCCAACACAGTTCACTTTCAGTCTCGAACTCCTGGGCTCAAGCAATCCTCCCACCTTAGTCTCCCGAGTAGCTGGGACTATAGGCACATGCTGCCACATCCAGGTAATTTTTAGGTTTTTTGTAGAGACAGGGGTTTTACCATGTTGCGTAGGCTGGCCTCAAACTTCTGAGTTCTAGTGATCCTCCTACCTCAGCCTCCCAAAGTGCTGAGATTACAGGCGGGAGTCACTGCGCCTGGCCAAAGTGTTTTTTGTTTTGTTTTGTTTTGTTTTTGGTTTGAGATGGAGTTTCACTCTTGTTAACCAAGCTGGAGTACAATGGCATGATCTCAGCTCACTGCAACCGCCGCCTCCCGGGTTCAAGAGATTCTCCTGCCTCTGCCTCTTGAATAGCTGGGGTTACAAGTGCGTGCCACCATGCCCGGCTAATTTTTTGTATTTTTAGTAGAAATGGGGTTTCACCATGTTAGCCAGGCTGATCTCGAACTCCTAACCTCAGGTGATCCACCTGCCTTGGCCTCCCAAAGTGCTGGGATTATAGGCATGAGCCACCGCACCTGGCCCAAAGTTTGTTTTTAAAGTTTGTTTGGCTGGACTAGAGTTGGGTTTAGTCTAGGACTATTTTGGTCCCACCACGGAGGTAAAACACTTCTGAGTATCCTACCTGATAGATGCTGTGTGAATTATGAAGCTTTGCATTCTAGGGTAATGGGCAAAAATTACTCCTGGCCATATGTGGCCCTCTAATCCTTTTGGTCAGGTCTTTTTCTAACATGCGTGTCATGATCTGTACTCCACTGAAGACTTGAGGGACATCTCTGCAGATCTTGATCTCTGTGCGGCTCTCTCCTCTCCAGTACCTGCCCTACAAACTCTGTCTTCCTTGGCCTCCCTGGACTCCCTGCTCTGTCTCCTCATCTCAGGGGGAACACCAGCCTCAGTTTGAAGTCCACCTCTCTGCACTGCAATTTGGAAACTTCCTCTAGGCAGTAATATGGGGCAATCATAGAGCTCACCTGGTTTGTTTCCCTTCTCTCATATATCCCTGCCCTTTGTTATCTGATGTCCAATGTCTTAAATACTGTTGTTGTTGTTGTTGTTGTTGTCGTTGTTGTTGTTGTTGTTGTTGTTTTGGGACAAAGTCTCTCTCTGTCGCCCAGGCTGGAGTGCAGTGGCGCAATCTCAGCTCACTGCAGCCTCCGTCTCCCGGGTTTAAGCAATTCTCCTGCCTCAGCCTCCCAAGTAGCTGGGACTGCAGGCAAAGTCACCATACATGGCTAATTTTTTGTATTTTTAATAGAGACGAGGTTTCACCAGGCTGGTCTCGAACTCCTGACCTCAAGTGATCTGCCCGCCTCAGCCTCCCAAAGTGCTGGGATTAGAGGTGTGAGCCACCATGCCCGGCCAAAACTGTTGTTTTATATATTTTATCTTGTTTGTTGTTGTTTCAGGGAAAAGAGTATACCCAGTTTCTGTTATGTCATCTTAATTGGAAGCAAAAGGCACTGCTTCTTTCTAAAAAGTTAAGCATAAAGTTTTATTAATAATCTCCATCCAATTATTTTATTATATGAAATTTATAGGAGTCTAATCCTGCACTTTCTTCTGTCTCCTAGTGCTTTGTAATTTATAACATGTTTTATAATTTTGGATTATAAACTCATCTGCAATGGGAACATAATCTGTGGGAACTCTGTGAGGTCTGGGCTTAGTGAACTTACCTCTAGATCACTTTTATATTTGCCTCTCTGAGGCTCCTCTCTTTCTATGTTATTTCTTATTTTTGGTATTCCAGGGCCATAAAAGTAATGTATGTTCAGACATCAAAACCACTTGAGAACAGGCCTTGGTTATTAATTATCATGGGAGTATTTTTTTTGCCTTGACCCAGAATTCAGGTCAAGTCACACAAGCTTCCGTGTTTCTCTGGGCTTAAAGGTGATCTTTTTTTGTTTGTTTGTTTCACCATGTATTAGTTAGGGTTCTCCAAAGAAGTAGAATCAGCATGAGAGAAAGAGATTGATTTATCCTGAGGAATTGGCTCATGCAATTATAGAGGCTCTGAAGTCTCACAAGTCTGCTCTCTGCAAGCTGGAGATCCAGGGAAACTTGGGGTGTAATTTGGTCCAAGTCTGAAAGCTTAAGAACCAGGGTAGCCAATGGTGTAAATCCCAGTCCAGAGGCTGGACAAGATGAGATGAGGTGTTCCAGCTCAAGAAGGCAGGCAGGAAGCAAAAGGGGAAATTTCCTCCTTCTTCCACCTCCTTCCTCCACCACAGATAACCCTTTTGTTCCATTGAGATTGAATGATTTCCACCCACATTGAAGTGGGCAATGTTCTCTACTGAGTCCATCCACTGAAATGTTAATCTCATCCAGAAACATTCTCACAGACACATCTAGAAATAATGTTTAATCTGGGCACCCCGTGGCTAGTCAATGTGACACATAAAATTTACCACCATGCACATTTTCACTGAGGATACAGCACTTTTAAGAGTCCCAAGCTGATGTGGAAGTTTCCACTCCCAGGCACAAGACTTTGTCTCCTGTACCTGCTTGGAGTTGCAACCCAGCCTCCCAAGGCTGCCATGTCCCTGCCAAGCACTAAATCCCCAGGGTGGATACAGCGTTAACTCGTATGCCTAGCTCTCTAGTTTTCTGGGGTTTTTTCTTCCCTTTTTAAAAATTATTATTATTAATTTTTTTAGATGGTCTCGCTGTGTCTCCCAGGTTGGAGTGCAGCGGCATGATCTCTGCTCACTGCAACCTCTGCCTTCCCCCGTTTCAAGCAATTCTCTTGCCTCAGCCTCCTGAGTAGCTGATATTACAGGCACATGCCATCACACCTGGCATTTTTGTAATTTTAGTAGAGATGGGGTTTTGCCATGTTGGCCAGGCTGGTCTCGAACTCCTGGCCTCAAGTGATCTCCCCACCTTGGCCTCCCAAAGTGCTGGGATTACAGATGTGAGCCACTGTACCTGGCCCTTTTTTTAAATTAATAACCTGTTTTTATTATACCAGTAACACCAACTCCTTGTAGGAGAACAGATGAGCCAAAAGAAGAAATAATTGTTAAAGTCTGTGTACATACTACCAGGGCAAGACTTTCTAAATAGTCAAAAACCAACAGATGTTGGCGAGGATGCGGAAAAAAGGGAACGCTCACACACTATTGGTGGGAATGCAAATCAGTACAACCTCTATGACAAACAGCATGGAGATTTCACAAAGAACGAAAAATAGAACTATCATTCTACCCAGCAATCCCACCACTGGGTATCCACCCAAAGGAAAAGAAATCGTTGTATCCAAAAGATACCTGCACTTGTATGCCTATCACAGCACAGTTCACAATAACAAAGACCTGGAATCAATCCAATGTCCATCCATGGGTGACTGGATAAAGAAAAGATGGTACATGATGGGATACCAGTCAGACATAAAAAAAGAATAAAATCATGTTTGATTTTATTTATTTATTTATTTGATTTTATGTATCCACATGGGTGGAACTGGAGGCCATTATTTTAAGTGCAAATAACTCAGAAACAGAAAGTCAAACACCACCCATTCCCACTTACAAGTGGGAGTTAAACAGTGTGTACACAGGATCATGGAGTGTGGAATAAGAGACACTGAAGACTTGAAAAGGTGGGAGGGTGGGAGGGGCTGAGGAATGAGAAATTACCTTTTGGGTACAATGTACACTATTTGGGTGATGGGCACACTAAAAGCCCAGACTGCCACTATATAATATATCCACGTGACAAAACTACACTTGTACCCCCTAAATCTACAAAAATAAAAAATCAAATACTTTTCTAAAAGAACATTTAAGGACACCTGGTTTAAGCAAGCACAATTTAGTGAACTATGTAGTTTCAGCATACTCCTGTTACTACAATTCTTGCTAATAGCAAATATATACATGATACCTAGAGTGAACAGTGCCTCTCTCCCTCTAAATGTTAGGTCATGAGAGCATTATCAAGGCTTCAAAAGGAAAACTTTCTCATACACTGTATTCTTTTTTGAGACAGAGTCTTGCTTTGTTGCCCAGGCTGGAGTGCAGTGATGCCATCTCGGCTCACTGCAGCCTCCGCGTCCCGGGTTCAAGTGATTCTTGTGCCTCAGCCTCACAAGTAACTGGGATTACGGGCATGCACCATGGCCGGCTAATTTTTATATTTTTGGTAGAGACGGGGTTTCACCATGCTGCCCAGGCTGGTCTCAAACTCGACCTCAAGTGATCCGCCCACTTTGGCCTCCCAAAGTTTTGGGATTACAGGTGTGAGTCACTGCAACTGGCTGGAAAAATTTCTCATACACTGTATTCTAAATGTCCTATTTTTCTATCGGCTCTTTTGCCTTAGAAATAGAGACACTCGTTGCATCTTCCTTTGACAACCTTTTTTGGAGGGTCCATGCTGCGCATTTGGCCTTGCCCTTTAAAGTCCAGCATTCCCAGATACTCAATATTAATGTCTCCAATTATAGCTTGTTTGTAAAGTCCATCGAGTTTTTTCAGTTCTTTATTATCTGCTTTTTTTTTTTTTTTTTTTTTTTTTTTTTTTTTTTTTTTGAGATGGAGTCTCGCTCTGTCCCCCAGGCTGGAGTGCAGTGGCACGATCTCGGCTCACTGCAACTTCTGCCTGCCGGGTTCAAGCGATTCGGCTGCCTCAGCCTCCCGTGTAGCTGGGATTACAGGCGCCCGCCACCACCTGCGGCTAATTTTTGCATTTTCAGTAGAGACGGGGTTTCGCCATGTTGGCCAAGCTCGAACTCCTGACCTCAGATGATCCACCCACCTCAGCCTCCCAAAGTGTTGGGATTACAGGCGTAAGCCACTGCGCCCGACCCCTCATCTGGTCTTGTTGGCAGCTTCCTCACGTCTTCTGCAGCCTTGTCGATCAGCCTGCAGTGCCATGGTGGTGGCGGCCGCACTGCTGCTTCTGTCCCGGCACTCCCTTCTTTCTTTCTGAGGGCTCAGCTACACACTTAAAAGAATGTTGGTTATTTTATCCAGAATTTCTTTATGATTATTTTGTCTTTCATATTTGGTCCCCCATATTGTCAGAAATGGAATGTTTCCAGTTACTTCTTTTTTGTTTTTTGTTTGTTTGTTTGTTTTGGAGAGAGGGTCTCGCTATGCTGCCCAGGCTGATCTGGAACTCCCGGGTCCAAGTGCTCCTTCTGCCTCAGTCTCCTGGAGTAGCTGGGACTATGGGCTTGCACCACTGTGCATGATTAAGATTACTTCTTAACCTATTATCATCAGACTTGCACCTCCACAGCTTTACAGATGCTGTTCTTCAAAAACCATTGGTAACTGGAGCAACTGCCAAATTCCATGGGTGCTGTTTCAGTTAGGATGAGCTCCAATCACAAGTGATGAAATACAAAAAATCAACCATAAAGATGCTTGATTTTTCTAACATAGGTGGTCCCAGGGTCAGTTTGGCAACTCACTTCTATTGAGAACTTATGTTTTTCTGTCCTTCCACTCTGCCATCCCCAGAATGTCAGTGAAGATTTTTCACCTCATCGTCACATGATGGCTGCCTCCCATGACTACATCAGAGGAGCAAAAGGTGGGCCAGGCACAGTGGCTGAGAGAGGTCTGTAAGGAAGAAGTCCTTTTTGCTTGCCACCTTTTGCTACTTTTTGCTACTTTGCTACTTTTTTTTTTTTTTTTTCATCTCATCACTTTCAAATAAACTCAGACACCTGGGTGACTTTTCTCTGCTTCAGATTTACAATAAGTCAAGTTAAAGATTTTTTTTTCTTGTTGCCTTTCTTCTCCCTACCATTGATACTAAGATCTGATGCTCACTCGAATAATCAAAGAAGTAAACAAATTGTGCAGAGTTTGTTTGTTTGTTTTTAGACAGAGTCTTGCTCTGTTGCCCAGGTTGGAGTGCAGCTGCACGATCTCAGCTCACTGCAACCTCTGCCTCCCGAGTTCAAGAGATTCTCCTGCCTCAGCCTCCTGAGTAGCTGGGATTACAGTTAGCCAAGATTGTGCCACTGCACTCCAGCCTGGGCAACAGAGCGAGACTCCGTCAAAACAAAACAAAACAAAAACACCACAATTCTTCTTTGCTCAAAAAGGCCCCCACCTGCAGAGTGCCAGCAAATCATACTATCTATCTACAAAGGAAAGCAGTCTGCACAATTTGTTTACTTGTTTGATTATTCGAGTGAGCATCAGTGCTTAGTATCAATAGTAGGGAGAAGAAAGAAAGGCAACAAGAAAAAAAAATCTTTAACTTGACTTACTGTAAATCTGAAGCAGAGAAAAGTCACCCAGGTGTCTGAGTTTATTTGAAAGTGATGAGATGCAGTTTCCTATATTGGGCAGAATAGGGGAGTGGGGCGGGAGGTAGAAGTGAAGTTCAGGTTTAGACAAATAGAGGATTCACATCTTTGCACACTTGAGTTTGTGTGACTCTGGAATTTTGCATCTGCCAGATCTGTTTATGATTCTGTTGCCTTTAACAGACGACAGGCACCTCAAGAACAGAGATGTGGCTTTATGCATTTCTTTAACATGTCTTCCCTCCCTTCCATCTTTCTCAGTGCCTAGTACGAGACCTGCAGCATGTTAGGTGCTCTACAAAAATATTTGTTTAATAAAAGATCGAGTGAATGAAAACATGAGCAAAGGAGGTTACTACAATGGGAAGAAACAAACTTAACCGATTTTTTTTTTTTTTGAGACAGAATCTTGCTCTGCAACCTCCACCTCTGGGTTCAAGCAATTCTCCTGCCTCAGCCTCTCAAGTAGCTGCGATTACAGGTGTGTGCCACCATGCCCAGCTAATTTTTTATATTTTTAGTAGAGATGGGGTTTCACCATGTTGGCCAGGCTGGTCTTAGAACTCCTGACCTCAGGTGATCCACTCACCTTGGCCTCCCAAAATGCTGGGATTACAGGTGTAAGCCACTGCACCCCGCCAAACCCAGCTGATTTTTCAGTCGATTTAACTGTATCCTCATTAAGGGAAGAAATGGAGAGATGTACATATGTATGAGAGAGAGAGACAGAGAGAGAGAGAGAGAGAGACAGAGAGAGAGAGAGACAGAGAGAGAGAGAGAGAGAGAGACAGAAGGGAAATATCTGCAGAGAGAACAGAGCTATGATCACTAAGTAGAACAGAGGCAGCCTAATCGCCTAATCAGATACCCAGTCGGGGCCCCACCTGACTCCTACTGCAGCTGGGGGGTGGAGGGACTAGAAGGTTCAGCTGGAGTGGTCTCCCCTTCTGCAGCTCCAGTCTCCCCACCTCCAACCCCCACTGCCACTGCCCCGTGAGGAGGCTTGGAAGCTGTGGGGAGGGGAGGCAGCCGAGTTGGGCTTCTAGAACGAGGCGGGATGGTGTGAGCTCAAACGCCCTGCAATTGCTGGAGCAACAGCGGCGACACTTGAGTTATTCACAAAGGCTGGAATTCAAATGAGGCTGGCACCGCTCCAAGTCGCAATAGCTTAGGAGGAGAGAGAAAGGCATATTAACTATTCATCAAGGTCTTCGCGTTGCATGGGCTCTGAGGGTTCTCCATCTGCGTCCCTCCCTCTGTCACTGACTGGGGGTAGGGGGCGGGGGGTCCCCCAGAAGCACTTTATCTGTCAGTCTGTGAGCGGGGGCTGGGGGTGGGGGACTGAAGTTAGGCAGATTTGTCTCATCACATGATGGGGGACCTGTATCATGTGATGGCTCCGGTGATGTTGGAGGCGGCATGTGACTCCCAGGGCTACGTGGGTTCAAAAACAATTTAATACAAAAACACAAGCAGGTTCCCCTCCTCTCCTTTGCCTTTGGTCTGGCTCTCCCCATCGCTGGGTTCAGTGCCTGACTGAATGGAAAACCCGTCGTCTTGCAGCCACTAACCTGTGAGCGCCGGGTACCTGGAGACCAGGCCCCTCTGCTGGGGGCCCCCAGGAGCGGTGCCCCATCATTTTGCAGCCCACTGACTCCCAGCCTGGTAAGTTACTGCACACTTTCAGCAATTATCTGCGAAGCTTTCCTCAACTGCCTCATTAGCATGCGCAGGGCACCCTCGCTGGGCCCGTTGGAAGGGAAGTGCCTGCCGGCTCTGGGGAGCTGCGGCTCTCGGGCCCTGCCAAACAGACGCAGCCTTCCTAAGGAGCAGCGCTGCGCTGGCTCTGCTGGGGTGGAAGGAGCTTCTCCTTCGCTGTCCTCCCTCTCCCTTCCCAGCCCATCTTATTCCGAGCCTCTCCTCTCTCTATCTTACTCCTCCTAACCTCTCTCACCTCTCACCTTCCCCCTTTCCACCCCCTGCCCTCAGATTTATTTATTTATTTATTTATGACAGAATCTCGCTCCGTCGCCCAGGCTGGAGTGCAGTGGCGCAATCTCGGCTCGCTGCAACCTCTGCCTTCCGGGTTCAAGCGATTCTCCTGTCTCAGCCTCCCGAATAGCTGGGATTAGAGGCGCCCACCGCCACACCCGTCTAATTTTTTTGTATTTTTAGTAGAGATGGGGTTTCACCATGTTGGCCAGGCTGGTTTCGAACTCCTGACCTCCGGTGATCTCCCCGCCTTGGCCTCCGAAAGAGCTGGGATTACAGGCATCAACCCCTGAGTCCAGCTGGATTTTCTTTTTTATTCACATACCTTTCTGTCTCCCACTGATTTTTCTTAGGAGTTCCTCTCATCCTCTAACCTCGCTTTTTAAAATTATTTTTCTGGATACCTAGATTTTTGTCCTTTCTGGCCAGAGCCTGAAAGAACAGCTTCTAAGGACTTGGTGATTGGAAATGTACCTTCTAAAAAAAATTCTTTTTTCACTAAGACAGTGTAGAATGCCCAGTTCCCGCTGTGTGTACGTGCGTGCACATATGTGTTAAAGGAGATGGATACATTGCTTGGGGCCATCAGAACTGTTTCCTGGGAGGTGGTTTCTTGGCTCCACACCCCAGCTCAGCAAGGGAATGATCAAGTGATAGGAGGCACAGTTACAGCAGTCAGGAGACAAGGCACTCGGACCCCAAACGTCTGACTCTCTGTGGGAGAAACCAGGGCTCAAAGCAGGAGCAAAAAATCTAGTGCTGGATGCGCTCGGGCATCGAGAGGCATCTCGTAGAGCTGGCTCCGAGTTTGAGGCCACACCTTTGCAGAATGAGGCAGCATGTGAGCGATTTAGTTCAATGTAATTGCAGTGGAGATGGACAGGGAGAGGACAGATTAGAATGATGTTTAAGGGATAGAAATAACAAGTCTTGCAGATATATTACATATATTAGTTGAACCATGGGGAAGCCAAATGTGAATTGTGAAATTATGGCAGTGGCTGGACACAGTGGCTCACACCTGTAATCCCAGCACTTTGGGAGGCTGAGGCAGGCAGATCACCTGAGGTCAGGAGTTCGAGACCAGCCTGGCCAACATAGAGAAAACCCCATCTCTACTAAAAATACAAACAGTAGCCAAGCATCGTGGTGCACATCTGTAATCCCAGCTACTCGAGAGGCTGAGGCACGAGAATCGCTTGAGCCCAGGAGGCAGAAGTTGCAGTGAGCCGAGATCATGCCACTTAACTCCAGCCTGGACAACAGATCAAGACTCCATCTCAATAAAATAAAATGAAATAAAATAAAGTAAAGTAAAATTAAATTAAATCATGGCAGTATCTGTAGCCCCAGAGAAAGGAGATGGTGGCTGTGTCAAAAGCTTTTGGTTCACTGTCATCTGAGCTATACCAACGTCTGTTCGGCAAGAAACTTTTAACAACGACAGAGCAGAATCCGCCGAGTGACTCGATGACAGGGTGCTATTTCTATCTCCATTTCCAAGATGGAGAAACTGAGGCAAGGAGCAGCTCATTAGGTCACTTGCTTAAGGGCACTCAGCTAATAAGTGATAGAGCTAGGATTTAAGCCCAAGCAGTTTTCTCCAGCGTCCACACAGTTAACCACCAGACAGCTTCGAAAGAAAGCTATCCAGGCTGGGCGCAGTGGCTCATATCTGTAATCCCAGCACTTTGTGGGGCCTAGGCGGCTGGATTGCTTGAACCCAGGAGTTCCAGACCAGCCTGGGCAACATGGCAAAACCTCATCTCTACAAAAAATACAAAAAAAAAAAAAAATTAGCTAGGTGTGGTGGCATGCACTTGTAGTTCCAGCTACTCAGGAGGAGGATAGCTTGAGCCCAGGAGGTCGAGGCTGCAGTGAGCCATGATTGCGCCACTGCACTCAGCCTGGGTGACAGAGTGAGACCCTGTCTCAAAGAGAAAAAAAATAGCTGTCCAACAGTTGCCATGTGACAGTTTGTGCAAGTTTGGGGCTACATTTGTGAACGAAACAGAGACACTCTATTCTCATGGGGTTTATAGTCCAGTGGGGAAGGCAGCTATTAAGTCATCACACAAGATGATATATTGTTTCAAAGTGGGGCATTTGCTAAGAAGGAAGGTAATAAGATATGATAAGAATATATAACTGAAGGCCGGGAGTGGTAGTTTACACCTGTAGTCCCAGCTACTCCAGAGACTGAGGCAGGAGAATTGCTTGGACCCAGGAAGGAGGCAGAGTTTGCAGTGAGCCGAGATCGCACCATTGCGCTCTAACCTGGGTGACAGAGTGAGACTCTGTCTCAAAAAAAAAAAAAAAAAAAAAAAAAGGAATCTATAACTGAAGACATACTTCAGTTGCGGGGGCATAAAAGTGGGGACAGAGTTGGTCAAAAGAGGCCTCTCTGATGATGCAATTTTTAAGTTGGGGTGTGAGAGAGGGGTAAGGGTCAACCAGGTGGCGTGTGTGAAGGCCTTGAGGAGGGCAAGGGCTCAAGAATGCTGGTGGACCAAACACATTGCATGTTTCAGACTGTGTTAGATGAGGCCATCCAGATTATGTGGAGCTCCAAAGCCCTGGCTAATGACTTGGATTTCATCCTGGGATCAATGAGCAACTATTAAAGCATTTTATTTTATTTTATTTTATTTTATTTTATTTTATTTTATTTTATTTTATTTTATTTTATTTTATTTTATTTTATTTTATTTTATTTTATTTACTTATTTATTTAGAGATAGAGTCTTGCTCTGTCGCCCAGGCTGGAGTGCAGTTGTTCGATCTCGGGTCACTGCAACCTCCGCCTCCCAGGTTCAAGCAATTCTCCCACCTCAGCCTCCTGAGTAGCTGGGATTACAAGTGTCTGCCACCATGCCCAGCTAATTTTCTTTTTTTTGTATTTTTAGTAGAAACGTGGTTTCGCCATGTTGGCCAGGCTAGTCTCAAAATCCTGACCTCAGGTGATCCGCCTGCCTTGGCTTCCCAAAGTGCTGGGACTACAGGCATGAACTACTGTGCCCAGCCTATTAAAGCATTTTAAGTAGGGAAGGAGCATACTTGGATTTGCAATACGAAAAAATGAACACAAGAGGTATATCAGTTTTTCTTGCATTACAGACCACCTCAAAGCTTAGTGGCTTCAAACAACCATCACTTATAACTCCTAACTCTGTGAGTTGGAAGTGGCAGCTGGGATCATCTGGGCACTGCTGCTGTCCTGGCCTGGGTTCATGGCCAGTATAGATAGTCTGCTGGCAGGTTGGTTCAGAGTTGGTTGTTCGTGGATGATCTCACCCAGGTGTCTGCTGATTGGCAGGGGCAATTGAAATTGACCAGGCCACGTGTCTCCCTAGCTAGAGGGCTAGCCCAGTCTTTCATATGACAGCTGGGTTCCAAACGCAGCAAGAGAAGGGAAGCCCCAGTACACAAGCATTGTTCAAGCATTTGCTTGCATCGTGTTTGCGAGGCCCCGTGGGCCTAGACAAGTTACGTAGTCAAGCCCAGAGTTAGAGGATGGAAAAAGATACCACTTGTTGGGTGGAGGTACAAAATATTGTGTCTCTTTTTCTCAGACTACTACATGAATTCAAAAGGCTAATAAGCTGGACACTGTCTCCCTCTAATATTGGGAGAAACTGAAAGCCAAGAGGAAATTTGAGGCCAATTTTGTGATTAGAGATACCCTCAGAACTATCATCTATCAGACTTTGCTTTTTGCTTGGAACAAGCACGGGTCTGTTTTGGATATGGATTAGAAGGTGGGTGTGGTGAAATAAGATCTCTTCTCACGGGATTTTTTTGGGAATGACTTGGAGTCTTTTGAGATTGTTCCCCGTAATGAAATTTGGGCCATATGGAACTCAATGCCTTCAGTGTTCTAGGCAAGGCAAGAGCACATGCAAAGGCCCCCAGGCAGGAAGCCTGGGGCTTATTTGGGAAACAGAAGGAAGGCAATTTAATTTAAAGTAATTGCAGTGGACCAGCACGGTGGCTTACGCCTGTAATCCCAGCACTTTGGGAGAACGAGGCAGGTGGATCAACTGAGGTCAGGAGTTCGCGACCAGCCTGGCTAACACAGTGAAACCTCGTCTCTACTAAAAATACAAAAATTAGCCAGGCATGGTGACCGGCACCTGTCAGCTACTCAGGAGGCTGAGGCAAGAGAATTGCTTGAACCCAGGAGGCGGAGGTTGCAGTGAGCTGAGATCTCCCCACTGCACTCCAGCCTGGGTGACAGAGTGAGACTCTGTCTCAAAAAAATAAATAAGTAATTTTTAAAATAAATTAATTGCAGGGGAGATGGAAAGGGAGTGGACAGATGAGAATAATGTGTAAGAGGTAGAAATAACAAGTCTTGCTGCTGGATCACATAGAGTAATTGAAGGAAAGGCACATATTAGAGAAGGCTCACAGGTTGATAATTCCATGTACTAAGATGGAAAGAAAGACTAGGAGAGGAGAAGAGTATTTTGTTGGGGGAGAGGGCAGGAAGATGTCAACCATTCCGTGCTGAGCCCAGTAGACTTGAGATCCCGTGAGACATCCAGAAAGATATACCCTAGACAGTGGGATATGCTCAAAGAGGTTTAGACTTCATATGTAAATTTGGAGACCAGCTGAGATCACTTAGAGAGTGTAAAGAGAGAAATCAAAGAGAAGTGAGACTAGAACTCCAGGCTGCCCACCATTTAGAAATCAGATAATGGAGGCATCCATGCAGGAGGTGGAAAGAGGAGGGAAATCGGAGTGTGGGCTCATGAAGCCAAGAGGGCAGAATATTTCAGGAAGGAGAAAGTGACCAACTGGGTTGAATGTTGCTGAGACGCTGAATAAAATCATCATCTTGGAGAGGGGGAATGAACATTCTAAAGTGAGCAGAGGGTTGCTGGGCAGAGTGCTTACTGAGAACCCAGAGCATGTGTTTCAAGTTGTAGCTGGGTGTACTGGCTCATGCCTGTAATCCCAGCTACTCAGGAAGCTGAGGTAAGAGGATCCCTTGAGGCCAGGAGTATGAGACAAGCCTGGGCAACATAAAAAGTAACCCACCCACCCACCCCCCAACACACATACCCCTACATGCTCTAAATTTTTTAATTTAATTAGCCAGGTATGGTAACACAAATGTAATCCCAGCACTTCAGGAGGCCAAGACAGGAGGATTACTTAAGGCCAGAAATTAGAAACAAGCCTGGGCAACGGAGCAAGACCCTATCTCTAAATTTACTTTTTAATTAGCCAGGCATAGTGGCACATGCCTGTAGTCCCAGCTACTCAGTAGACTGAGATGGGAGGATTACCTGAGCCCAGGAGTTCTAGATGAGTCTGGCCAACATGGTGAAACCTGTCTCTACTAAAAATACAAAAATTTGCCAGGCGTGGTGGTGGACACCTGTAATCCCAGCTACTCAGGAGGCTGAGGCACAAGAATCACTTGAACCCGGGAGGCAGAGGTTGCAGTGAGCTGAGGTTGCGCCACTGCACTCCAGCCTGGGAGACACAGCGAGATGCTGTCTCAAAAAAAAAAAAAAAAAAAGAAGAAGAAGAAGAAGAAAAGAAGATTGTTTAAAAGGTATTGTTGCTTAACTCCTAAATACATAAGGGAAGGTAGTTCTCTTTTGCTTATTAATTTTTTAGGAGAAAAAGGCATACAAATTTATTAATGTTCATAAACACAGAAGCCACGCAAAATATGAGATTCTGTTATTTCTATCTTGACAACAGTCAGAAAATATACTCTATATGTTTTTATTCTTTGATATTTGTTAAGAGACTCTTTTTGACCCAGCATATGGTCAGTGTGGGCAAAGCTTCCATATGCACTTGAAAATAATGTGTATGGCCAGATGCGGTGGTTCATGCCTGTAATCCCAGCACTTTGGGAGGCTGAGAGGCGGGTGGATCACCTGAGGTCAGGAGTTCGAGACCAGCCTGGTCAACATGGCGAAACCCCGTCTCTACTAAAAATGCAAAAAATTAGCTGGACATGGTAGTGCATGCTACTCAGGAGCCTGAGGCAGGAGAACCGCTTGAACCCTGATGGCAGAGGTTGCAGTGAGCCGAGATCATGCCATTGCACTCCAGCCTGGGCCACAGAGTGAGACTCCACCTCAAAAAAACAAAATGTGTATTCTGCAATTGTTGGGTATAAAATTTTATATATGTTAGGCCAAACTTGTTAATCATATTGTGCAAGTCTTCTGTAACCTTCTTGATCTTTTGTGTGTGCGCTTGTTTTCTCAGTAAGAGAGAGAAATGTGCCAAAATCTTTAACTGTAATTATAGATTTATCTATTAGTTTTTTTGAGCATCTTTTTTTTTTTTGGCAGGTTGTGGGGATGGAGTCCCACTCTGTTGCCCAGGCTGGAGTGCAGTGGTGCAATCATAGCTCACTCCAGCCTCCCACTCCTGGGCTCAGGTGATCCTCCCACATCAGCCTCCTGAGTAGCTGAGACTACAGGTGTATGTCACCACACTTGGCTAATTTTTAAAATATTTTTTGTAAAGACTGGGTCTCACTACGTTGCCCAGGCTGGTCTTGAACTCCTGGGCAATCCTCCCACCTCAACCTCCCAAAGTGCTGGGGTTACAGGCATGAGCCACCACCCCTGGCCAAGATAATTTAATAATCCTAATGCCTAGTGTGATTGTGTGATTAAGAATTATGCTTCTTTTATTGCTTCTTGGCCTTTTGACTCAGATCAAATATGAAGAAATATGCTTCTTTTATTAATTGTATTATTTATACAACAAACTTATATAGCACTTACCCTGTGTCAAGTATGTTATTACTAAAAGCTCATGTAATCCTCATAACAACCCCAGGAGGTAGGTATTGATATTATACCCATTGCAGAGATGAGGAAACTGAGGCATGGAGAGACTAAATAACTCACCCAGAGTCATGTGCCTTGTAAGTGGTCAAGCCAGGCTGTGTTATCTCTCCTCTGTTCTTCAGCTACGCCTGCTGAGAATGAAACAGTTCATATCCACGGATGAGGAGGGCATCCTATCCCCTGCACAGTTCTGGAGATGTGTAGAAGACATTTGATTTTATCTATGCCTCTTAATTTGAATTAATTTTTTTATTTTATTTTATTTATTTATTTTGAGACAGAGTCTCACTCTATCGCCCAGGCTGGAATGCAGTGGCATGATCTCAGCTCGTAACCTCTGCCTCCCAGGTCCAAGCGATTCTCGTGCCTCAGCCATCTTAGTAGCTGGAATTACAGGCGTGCGGCACCACACCCGGCTAATTTTTGTGTTTTTTTATTTGTTTATTTGTTTGTTTTGTAGAGATGGGGTTTCGCCATGTTGCCCAGACTGGGTCTTGAACTCTCAGCCTCAAGTGATCTGCCCGCATCAGCTTCCTAAAGTGCTGGGGTTACTGGCGTGAGCCACTGCGCCCAGCCCATGCTTTTTTCAAGGCTGTGACTGAGCCACCTTCTGTTAGGAGTAATTACAGAAAACATCAATTGAACACTTTGCATGTGCCAGCCACTGAGCTAGGTATTTTACCTAGTGGTATATCCTATTTTCTAAACAGTACCCTACTCCTGGTAGGCTCTCAGCAACTATTTGTCAAATAAATGTGGAATGACTTTAATCCCCATAGCTTTATGGTGTAAATATAATTATGATTCCCATTTTACCGGTGAAACAACTGAGGCCCCAAGTAGTTGACTTGCCTAGTGAATGATCTGTAGACAACAGCAGTGTGATTATATCACCCAGCAAGTACACAAGATGATCTATTAGGGTGAAGAAGGAAAACAATGGGACCTCTATTTATATGTATTCCTTATATCATTCCTTTTACTTTCCATTTCATGAATTTTTTTTTTTTTTTTTTTTTTTTTTGAGACAAGGTCTCACTCTGGCATCCCGGCTGGAGTACACTGGCGCAACCATGGCTCACTGCAGCAAGCCTCCCACCTCAGCCTCCTTGAGTAGCTGGAACCACAGGCACATGCCACCACACCTGGCTATTTTTTTTTTTTAAGTAGAGATGGGGTTTCACCATGTTAGCCAGGCTAGTCTCAAACTCCGGGCCTCAAGTGATCCACCCACCTCGGCCTCCCGAAGTGCTAGGATTACAGGTGTGAGCTACGGTTCCTGGCCAATGTTTTTGTAATATACTGAATAGTACAGTAGTTCATATATAAAAGCTATAAATAATAAGTAAATACACACATTTGCAGAGATACAGGCTTAAAATGCATACCACTGAAGTGAATTTTCGAAAGAATTTTAAAACCATTGCTCTAAACCACTACTCTGTACTTTTTCTTCAAAGAGAATGTAACAGATTGATTTATAGCTTTCTTAATTGCCATGAGAACTAAAGATACATTCTTGCTGCCTTGATTGGGCTGTTTTCTGAGTATCCATAGACAATATCCCCAGCATCGCTTGGAGTTAGTGAATTTAGAAAATTCACCTATTATCATCGTGGGTCTCACTCTCAGAGATTAAATTGGAGAAGGGAAAATAGAGAATGTATTCTCTTTGTGTCATGAATTTAAGTAGCTGCTATTATAGATGCAATAAGAATTAATTCTGTTCCCCTACTGCCTGAGAATAACATTTGAAGGTAAGAAATTGCCTGTTCATTGAGGCATAAGTCAATAAGTAGAGTCAACTAATGATAGAGCAGGGAACAATCAGATACAATGTAGTAAATTATGTTCTGTCATAGTGTAATTCTTAATAACTGAGCTGTCACTCTAGACATGTTCACATTTTTGTCTGGAGAATGGAAAGAAATAAAATTTTAGCTACATTACAGACAAGGTAAAAATCCTGGGATGTAGGTGGAAGGAAAAACTTCACAGAAAATACTCTTGCACTGGAAGATGAAGGGTGAGTGAAAGTTCATCAGGATGACAAGGAGAGGAACGTCAGAGAATGTCCCTGACACGGGGAACAAGACAGCCACGGGTACAGGGAGGAAAGGTCAGTTGTACAGGGTGTGTGTGTGAGAGACCGCAGGAGCAGATGTCAGAGAAGCTGGGCAGGAATCATGGTATGGACATTCAGAACTAGACAATAGGCCAGGTGCCGTGGCTCACACCTGTAATCTCAGCACTTTGGGAGGCCAAGGTGGGCAGATCATTTGAGCCCAGGAGTTTGAGACCAGCCTGGGCAACAAAGCAAGACCCAGGCTGTATAAAAAATTAAAAACTTAGCCAGGTGTGATGGTGCATACCTGTAGTGCCAGCTTCTTGGGAGGTTGAGGTGGGAGGATCACTTGAGCCCGGGAATTTGAGGCTGCACTGAGCTATGATTGTACCACTGCATTCCAGCCTGGGAGACAGAGCAAGACCCAGTTTCAAAAAAAAAAAGAACTATATGAGCTTAGGATCATCAGATCCCTGCTTGTCCTTGAATTATCATACTAGCTTCGTGGCATTGAGCAAGTACTTCTGCAAGCCTCAATTTCCCTATCTATAAATTCATAATAACAATCATTGTACCCACCTGTTAGGGTTATTGTGAGTTTGAAATAAGAGTATCCGTTTGCAATGCTACCTGACCACATGGGAAGGTCTCAGTAGAGGGAGGTGGTATTGTTGGTAGTGTCGTTATAATGCTAGTCAAGGAAGTAGATTATGGAATGCCTTATATACCAAGTCAAAGAGTTTAGGCTTTCTTGGGTCACTGTTTCTAAAATGTGATGTTTGTTCATAAGTGGCTCAGGCTGGGTGTTCTGGCTCAGGCCAGGAGGGGTGGCTCATGCCTGTAATTCCAGCAATTTGGGAGGCCGACGCGGGCAGATTACCTGAAATCAGGAGTTCGAGACCAGCTTGACCAATATAATGAAACCCTGTCTCTACTAAAAATGCAAAAATTAGCCGGGCGTGTTGGCGTGCCCCTGTAATTCCAGCTACTCGGGAGGCTGAGACAGGATAATCACTTGAACCGGGGAGGCAGATGTTGCAGTGAGCCGAGATCGTGCCATTGCATTCCAGCCTGGGCAAAAAGAGTGAAACTCCGGTCAGGCGCAGTGGCTCACGCCTGTAATCCCAGCACTTTGGGAGGCCGAGGCGGGTGGATCACGATGTCAAGAGATCGAGACCATCCTGGCCAACATGGTGAAACCCCGTCTCTATTAAAAATATAAAAATTAGCTGGGCATGGTGGTGGGTGCCTGTAGTCCCAGCTACTTGGGAGGCTGAGGCAGGAGAATTGCTTGAACCCAGGAGGTGGAGGTTGCAGTGAGCCGAGATCACACCATTGCACTCCAGCCTGGGTGACAGAGCAAGACGCCGTCTCAAAAAAAAAAAAAAAAAAAAAAAGTGAAACTCCATCTCAAAGAAAGAAAGAAAGAAAAATAGTATTCAAGTTGTTTAGCAGTTTCTGTTTCTATAAAAATAATTTTAAAAAAAACATGTGCTTAAGCATTTCACAAATTTGAAATAGAAGAAAGATTACCAAATACTGTTATGGTCTCAATAATGGTTCAAGGGTGCAGATGGTTCAAATTGGTCACATTCTTAACAATGTATAGTCAAAATTCAGTTACTAGAATATGGTCTTTTTTTTTTTTTTTTTTTTTTTTAGACAGAGAGACAGAGTCTCTCTCTGTCGCCCAGGCTGGAGGGCAATGGTGCGATCTCGGCTCACTGCAAACTCCGCCTCCCAGGTTCAAGCGGTTCTTGTGCCTCGGCCTCCCGAGTGGCTGGAATTCAGGCGTGCGGCACCACACCCAACTAATTTTTGTATTTTTAGTAAAGGCGGGGTTTCATCGTGTTGTCCAGGCTGGTCTCGAACTCCTGACCTCAGATGATCCACCCACCTTGGCCTCCCAAAGTGCTGGGATTACAGATGTGAGCCACCGTGCCTGGCCAACCTTTCTTAGCTAGATCATTGGTATATTATTGTTTATATGTGTAACGTGTGCATTTTTTCCTGTTACTATTATGTTATGGCTCTGATTAACAAAAATAGCTTAATCACTAAAAAGTGTTTCATTAGAGTATAAAAGCAATAGTAAAAATAGTACTACAAACACTGCGACTCGGAAGCATAATTAGTGAACAGGACTTCAGGATCTGCCAAGACAGAGCATCTGTGAATATGATGATTTCACCCCAGCAGCTGAAAGAGAAAGTGTGGATGGAAAGCAAGGCTATGAGTATCTGAAAATTGGATTTTTATTGAACAAGGGATTTATCTTCCTAGTGTCTCCAATGTATATTGTATTAGAAAACTTTATCAGATAGCTTCCTGATGCTGTAGGACATTTCACATCACTTCCAAAATAGAATAACCTGTCTGGCCAACCAGTGTTTTTTCCCGAACCAAGTACAAAAGAATATTTTTTAGTGGCCAGCCATGGTGGCTCATGTCTATAATCCCAACACTTTGAGAGGCCAAGGTGGGAGGATCTCTAGAGCCTAGGAACTCAAGACCAACATAGCAAGACTCTATCCCTAAGAAAAAAATAAAAAAAAGATAGAACATTTTCTAGTATGCAATTGATTAATTTTATTTCTAATTGCAAAGAAGGCCAGGTGCTGTGGCTCACACCTGTAATCGTGGCACTTTGGGAGGCCAAGGCAGGTGGATCACCTGAGGTCAGGAGTTCGAGACCAGCCTGGCCAACATGGTGAAACCCTGTTTCTGGTAAAAGCACAAAAATAAGCAGGGTGTGGTGGTGCGTGCCTGTAATCCCTGGGAGGCTGAGGCAGAAGAATTGCTGGAACCCAGGAGGCAGAGGTTGCAGTGAGCCGAGATCGCACTACTGCACTCCAGCCTGGGTGACAGAGAGAGACTGCATCTCAAAGAAGAAAAAATCATCATAATAATTGCAAAGAGGACAAAACAGCAAAAGCAGATGCAAGCCATGCTGTTTTCAACATGCCTCCAAAACCAGCCCCAAATTTAGGACAAACAGAACGCTAGGAGAGAAAGCAAAACTAGCCAGAAGCAAACCTGGTGACAGGGTTGTATGTGACATAGCACAAATGGCAATAACAGTTCTATTATATGGTGGAACTACCATTATTATCATGATGCCGGCCAATATTATATTTTACAGTTGAGTGAAACTACTGGCGGAAAAGGTAAGAACCAGCTCTTTTTATCTGTGCGGTACATAGGTGAATGAGAAAGACACAGTTGATCATTTCGAGTTCCAATTATCACTGAAAACCAAAATACAAAAGCAATTTTGTGTTTCACCTAACGTTGTTGTGTAAGATGGTGCAGTTTGGAAGTGTATTTGACATCATGCTAACAGAGGAACCGCTGTGCGTACAGCAAAGAAAATTTGGTGCATCAGTATCTACTGCTACAATAATGCAAAGCAACCACCCAACCCAGTCAGTTAAGTGATAAGAATTTATTTATTTATTTATTTATTTATTTATTTATTTATTTACTTATTTTATTTATTTTTTTTTTGAGACGGAGTCTCCTTCTGTCGCCCAGGCTGGAGTGCCGTGGTGCGATCTCGGCTCACTGCAAGCTCCGCCTCCCGGGCTCACGCCATTCTCCTGCCTCAGCCTGCCGAGTAGCTGGGACTACAGGCGCCCGCTGCCACGCCCAGAGAATTTTTTGTATTTTTAGTGGAGACAGGATTTCACCGTGTTAGCCAGGATGGTCTCGATCTCCTGACCTTGTGATAAGAATTTATTTGTCTCATGAGTCTGCAGATCAGGCTGGGTCATTCTTCATGTATCAGCTGGGCTCACTCAGGTGTCAGTGCTCAGATGTCGGCAGGGCCCACTACAGAATTTGTGGAGCCCAGTACAAAATGAAAACACAGGGTCCCTTATTTAAAAATTATGAAGAATTTCAAGGCTGGACATGGTGGCGCACACCTGTAATCCTAGCACTTTGGGAGGCTGAGGTGGGTGCTTGAGTCCAGGAGTTCAAGATCAGCCCGGGCAATATAGTGAGACCTCGTCTCTAAAAAAATTAAAATAAAATAAAATAAAATCAGCAGAGCATGGTGGCGTGTACCTGTAGTCCCAGCTATCGGGAGGGTAAGGTGGGAGGATTGGTTGAGCCCAGGAGTTGGAGGCTGCAGTGAGCTATGATCGCACCACTGCACTCCAGCATGGGTAAAGGAGCAAGACCCTGTCTCAAAAAAAAAAAAAAAAAAAAAAAAAAAAAGAATTTCAAGAGGATGGCAACAGCATTAGCATTAAAGCAAATGGTTCTTTTCTTAGCACTGGGCTCTATGCAATTGCAAAGGTCATGCAGTGATGAAGCCAGCACTGGCTGTAGGTCACATACGCGGCTCTGCTGCTCTTGGCTGGGTTCTTTCACCTGTCTGGGCATCAGCTGGCTGTTGGCTAGCTGGGACAACTCGGGGTAAGTCCACTCCATTCCATGGGTCACATCCGTCAGCAGGCTCGCCCACACGTTTCTTACCACACAGACAGAGGAGCAAGAGCACGCAAACCCAAATGTGCACGTGGATTCCAAATCTCTGCTCTCGTCACATTTGCTGACATCCCATTGGGTCACAGCAGGACACGTGGCCATCTCAGAGCAAAAGTGGGAGGTGCTACAGCATTATACAGCAGAGGGCATGAATACAAGGAGGGCTGAAGAAGGAGGGCCATTTTTGTCATCTACCTTCCTTGACTACTCAAAAATAGTTGCATCTGAGTGCTGAATTGCCCACTGCTTTACTTGCTAAGGACCGTTTGTTTGTTTGTTTGTTTGTTTGTTTTGAGACAGGATCCCACTCTGTTGCCCAGGCTGGAATGCACTGGTGCAATCATGGCTCACTGCAGCCTTGAACTCCCAGACCCAAGTGATCCTCCCACCTCAGCCTTCCAAGTAGCTGGAACCACAGGCACACATCACCACATCTGGCTAATTTCTTATTATATTTTTTCTAGAGGTGGGAGCTTCCCTATGTTGCCCAGGCTGGCCTCAAACTTCCGGGCTCAAGTGATCCTCCTGCCTCGGCCTCCCAAAGTGCTGGGATTACAGGCATGAGCCACTGCACTCAGCAAAGGACAGTTGTTCAACAGCATACATCCTGACCTTAAGTGCTGACGAAGTAATACAAATTGTTATCACAATCAAACATCAGTCACCGAACAGAGGTCTTTTCTGAGTGTTTTGGGAAGAAATGGTTGATGTGTGCTAAAACTGTTTTTCCACCCCAGAGCATACTAGCTCTCCCAGGGGAAGGTGCTCATGTGAATAATTGAAGGAGGTGATGAGATTTCTTTATATAATACTAATAAGGCCATAAAAGACCAGAAATCATAGACCTGCTCCCTGTCATCCTTGTCATTATCTGTTTGGTGGAGAAATGTTATCTCTATGATTTCAAGTAGTGTGTCAACACATTATGGCCAGTAGCTTGAAAAACTTGAACCCCTCATTTTAGGCCCAACATAATAGAAGATTCAGAGCTAAGGATAAAGTATCAGGAAATTGAACTGTGATGCACGAGGCTTTGTTGGCAGGCATTGACTCTTCCCTAACAGTTGATTTTCTTCATTCCATGGAGAAAGAAATCAATTATTGAGCATATTTTAAAACCCCATGCCAGGCCGGGTGCGGCAGCTCACGCCTGTAATCCCAGCACTTTGGGAGGCCAAGGCGGGCGGATCACAAGGTCAGGAGTTCGAGACCAGCCTGACCAACATGGTGAAACCCCGTCTCTACTAAAAGTATAAAAATTAGCTCGATCCCAGCACTTTGGGAGGCCGAGGCGGGTGGATCATGAGGTCAGGAGATCGAGACCATCCTGGCTAACAAGGTGAAACCCCGTCTCTACTAAAAAATACAAAAAATTAGCCGGGCGCGGTGGCGGGCGCCTGTAGTCCCAGCTACTCGGGAGGCTGAGGCAGGAGAATGGCGTGAACCCGGGAGGCGGAGCTTGCAGTGAGCCGAGATTGCGCCACTGCAGTCCGCAGTCCGGCCTGGGCGACAGAGCGAGACTCCGTCTCAAAACAAAAAAAAAAAAAAAAAAAAAAAAATTAGCTCGGGGTGGTGGCGGGCGCTTGTAATCCCAGCTACTCAGGAGGCTGAGGCAGGAGAATTGCTTGAACCTAGGAGGCGGAAGTTGCAGTGAGCCGAGATCGCACCATTACACTCTAGCCTGAGCTAGAGTGTTAAGTTTGTTTATTTTTATTCTTCCAGTACAGTGGCTCTCAGATACATATCTCTGACCCCATCTAAGAGATTCTAATTTATATGGTCTGCACTGTACTCTGGACACCAATAGTTTCTTTTCAACTTTTATTATAGATTCAGGGGTTACATGTGCAGGTTTGTTACAAAGGTATATTGCATGATGCTGAGGTTTGGAGTAAGAATGCCCTGGTAGTGAGCATAGCACACATTCAGTTTTTTTTTCTCTTGCCCCAATTCCTCCCTCTCCCATCTTGTCCTCCCCAGGGGACACCAATATTTTTTAAACCCTCTTCAGATTGCTCCAATGTGCCACCAGGTTTCAGAATCGCAAATCTAGTGGTCACTCTTGGTTTTTATTTGTTTTTAAAATGTTTTATATGTACAGAAATATAACACACACAGGAAAAAAAGAACATAAAGCAAACAAAGCTAAACATTTTTACATTGAGAAATGAAATATTGCCAGCACCCCAGAAGCTGCCCGCATGACTCATTGCAATGTATCTGAAATTTCATAACAGATATCTTTCTATGAGAATCTAGACTTATTCTGCCTCTGTAGCCTTCCTTGGAGCAATTCAAGCCATAGCATACTTTCAAGCCTTTTCCTGCTTGAACAACACTGAAATCTGATGAAATCGTAGCTCCAGATTTAAAAAATTTTTTTACATATACACATTCACATTTATGTAAAGCATATGTTTTACCAAGTTTTTTTAGATACTATTTCTTTTTTTTTTTTTTTTTTGAGACGGAGTCTCACTGTGTCGCCCAGGCTGGAATGCAGTGGCACTATCTCCGCTCACTGCAAGCTCCGCCTCCCGGGTTCACGCCATTCTCTTGCCTCAGCCTCCTGAGTAGCTGGGATTACAGGCACCCACCACCACGCCCGGCTAATTTTTTTGTACTTTTTAGTAGAGAGGGGGGTTTCACCATGTTAGCCAGGAAGGTCTCGATCTCCTGACCTCGTGATCCACCCGCCTTGGCCTCCCAAAGTGCTGGGATTACAGGCGTGAGCCACCGCGCCCAGCCTGTTTTTTTTTTTTTTTTTTAATCTACAAATTCCTTTCTCTAGGATTTGCAGTGGTGTCAGAAGCTAAAGCATCAGTCCAGATGAGAATTCCATAAAGTTCAGGAGTAAATGTATGGCCCAACCAGGTAGTTTATATTCTAGAGATGGGACCCTGTATCCTTCTTGGTAGCTAAATATTATCTGGGGTACTGCTCACCTGCCGCAGCTTCTGTGGCTAACCCGAAGTGTCCTAGCTTGGAGGGCTACACATGTGGCTGTGACCTGGAGCAGTCACTGGTGACAGCCTCTCCTTCTCCTCCCCTACATCAGCCTCGATTGTTTCGGAGGCCCTATTAAGAAAGGCTGTGCTTCACAATCCGGGTCAGCTTTCAAGTTCAGTGCCTTCCCCAAGCAAATTATTTATTCCCGTGTTCAAAAAGTAGCTCTGGGGTCTTCATCCTCAGAGCTTGATCATCCTGGAGCTACCAGGCAGAAGGGCGGCTTCTGACCCAGCTGGGGCCCTGTAAAATTAATTAATTATCTTAATGACTGCCCCGGGAGACCTCTCTCGCTCTTAATATTTGTTTACTCTGATCTTGGATTTCCCGCAGGCTTCCTTGGGAAGAACTGCCTTCCCTCAGGAGTGTTTAGCATTGAATTTCTCTACCCTGGTTCTGCCATTGATTTGACCCCTGATGTGTTCTTATAGGATTTCCTCACAACTTCTGATCTGCTAACAGGTCTCTTTCATGTTTTCTTTTCTTGCTTTTTTTTTTTTTTTTTTTTTTGACAGTCTCGCTCTGTTGCCCAGGCTGGAGGGCAGTGGCGTGATCTTGGCTCACTGCAACCTCTGCCTCCTGGGTTCAAGTGATTCTCCTGCCTCAGCCTCCTGAGTAGCTGGGATTACAGGCGCCTGCCCCCATGCCCGGCTAATTATTTGCATTTTTAGTAGAGATGGGGTTTCATCGTGTTGGCCAGGCTGGTCTCGAACTCCTGACCTCGTGATCTGCCCGCCTCGGCCTCCCAAAGTGCTGGGATTACAGGCATGAGCCACGGCACTTGGCCATCTTTCTTGTTTTCTAGCAATTTTGGATTTATATGTAAAATTTGTATGTATGTATAAATATAAAATATAGTTGATGCTTAAACAACATGGGTTTGAACTGCACAGTTTACTTATACATGGATTGTTTTCAATAAAAGTCACACTAAGGGCCAGGCTCATGCCTGTAATCCCAGCACTTTGGGAGGCCAAGGCGGGTGGATCACCTGAGGTCAGGAGTTGGAGACTAGCCTGACCAACATGGTGAAACCCCGTCTCTACTAAAAATACAAAAAATTAGCTGGGTGTGGTGGTGGGCGCCTGTAATCCCAGCTACTTGGGGGACTGAGGCAGAAGAATCGCTTGAACCTAGGAGGCGGAGGTTGCAGTGAGCTGAGATCGCTCCATTGCACTCCAGCCTGGGTGAAGGAGTGAGACTCCATCTCAAAAAAAAGAAAAAAGAAAAAAAAAAGTTATACCAAGTGTGCCTGCCTCTTCTGTCTCCCTTTCTACCTTCTCCACCTCTGCCACATCTGAGACAGCAAGAGTAACCCCTCTTCTTCCTCCTCCCCATTAACCTACTCAAACTGAAGATGACGAAGATGAAGACCTTTATGATGAACCACTTCTACTTAATGAATAGTAAATCTATTTTTATTTCCTTGTGATTTTCTTAATATTGAAGACAGTATATAATACATATAATATACAAAATACGTGTTAACCGACTGTTTATGCTATCCATAAGGCTTGCAGTCAATAGTAGTCTATTAGTAGTTCAGTTTTTGGGGAGTCAAAAGTTACATGCAGATTTTCAATGTCGGTGCCCCTAACTCCCACATTGTTCAAAGGTCCACTGTATTTTTTTTTTCTGTCATTTTCATCGGATTTGGAGTTATCATGGGAGACAGACACCCAGGCTCAAAAAATAAAATGGTGAGACTGGCATATAATGGCATTTCACAGGGAACAGCTATAACTTTAGCACCTGAATTTGAGCTTTAGTGCATAGACAAGTATATTTACAGTTACTTGTATTTTAACTAACATGCAATTTATTAAAGTTGTAAATCTAAAAACCTAGTTTTCCCGAGGCCTTTAACGTAACTCATGAATCATATTATTATACTTATAAATCTAGTATATCTTATCTAAAGTTATGTATATTTTTTATTTGTTCTTGTATCATTGCTAAATTGTAAATGTGACATAATAAATTCCCCTAAATATTTAACATCACTTAAAAGCCTGCTTAATAAATTTTCCTTCAGCTTTGTCATTTTTAACCACAATTACAAATTTGAATCTCCTAAGTGCTTCAAACATCTGACAAGGCTGACTTATAAATCCAACAAACAGAATCGCTAAGTGCTTAAACACTATTTACAAACCTAGGAAGTCTGAAATTATTTATTAATCCAGAAATTTTTAAACATTCAGTTTCAGCCTAAATAAATCAAATTCTCTTAAATATTTTTAATTAAAGTTACAAATCTTATATCAATCAAACTGTTAACTCACCATTCCGCTTAGAGCAATAGTTGTGCTTGTTGGTTTTGCTTTAAATTTGTGTCCATAAATCTCCAGTTGACCGCCCAGTACTGCCCCCTAATATATTCACTTTTCTGTTTTCCCAGGTAACTATTATTTTGGGGGGAGGAGAAAGATAGTCATTTATTAGCCTTTTTTAAAAATTTATTTTAATTGTAGTAAAATACACATAGACCGGGCACAGTGGTTCACGCCTGTAATCTCACTGCTTTGGGAGGCCGAGGCAGGTGAATTGTTTGAGTCCAGGAGTTTGAGACCAGGCTGCAAAATCCTGACTCTATAAAAAAGTACAAAAAGTAAGCTAGGTGTGCTGGTGCGTGCCTGTTATTCCCAGCTACTCAGGAGGCAGAGCCAGGAGGATCACCTGAGCCCAGGGAGATCAAGGCTGCAGTGAGCTATGATCACACCACTGCACTCCAGCCTGGGTGACAGAGTGAGACCCTGTCTCAAAAAAAAAAATGCACATAACATAATATTTGCCATCTTAACCATTTTTAAGTGTCCTACATAACTTTTCATAACTTATTCCTCCCTAATTCTCACTTACTATTTAATTGTGAATATTAGAAGCAATTAGAAAAGAATGTTATATTTTTTCTTCCCACTACCAGATCTACCAACCTAATTATACCTGGGCCAATCTAATCTGCTTTCTCTCCTTTTATAGTAGAGGAATTCTCCATAGACCTCCTTAGGCCAATTCCTGCATTCAAGCCTTGGATGTGATCCTATCTCTCACCTGCTCAGGGACTCTGCTCCTAACACCACCCCCATTCACTTCTCATCATCAACATTTCCCTCTACTGGATCATTTCCATCAGCATCTGGAAGTGCTATCTTTAAAAACACAAAGCAAGGACCAGGCACAGTGGCTAACATGTGTAATCCCAGCACTTTGGGAGGCAGAGGCAGGAGGATCATTTGAAGCCAGGAGTTAGAGACCAGCCTGGGCAACGTAGTGAGAACTTGTTTCTACAAAAACAAACAACAACAACAAAAAACATAAAACAAAGCTTTCTCTGGCTCTCCTTCTCCCTCTAGCTACTACCTCTTTATAGGAAAAATATTTTCAAAGAGCTGTCTACCTTTGCTTCCCTCCCACCTCACGTCCTATTCTCCTATTCTCTCTTTAACCCACTCGAATACAGCCCTAAGGCCTCATGCTGTAGGGAGCCCCACACTGGTCATCCTACAGCTATGCTCTCCCCTTTAGGCAAGGGATTCACAGGGCCAAACAAACATGGCTAGTCAGAAGTTGTCCCTTCACGGACTCTACTCAGAGTACCTAAAACCCTGGGATTCCCTGTCTAAATGGCCCCAAGCCAGTTCCCAGTGCCTGGGAGAGGCTGCTGCCCAGATCCAAGGGATGTGGTATGTGCCTCTCTATACCTAAGAGATGGCTGTTTGCTGGGGTGGAGGTGGGAAGGAGTGTGTTGGTGGAGCTTAGACATTCAGCCTGGAGGGTCCATGCTTGTACATACAGATGAAGGGAAGAAAGAAAAAAAAAAAAGGGACCAGCCCTCCCTGCGCCAATTCATTCTGGAGAAGAACTCTTGGAATCAGAGAATTCTAAATTTGAAACTTGCCTTCCAAACACATATGGTGAATATGCATTTGTCAAGGTAGGAGGATAACATCTATTTTATTTAGCAGCTTGCTTGGCTGATAGCATTTAGTATTTAAACATATGGTGTGTAGATCTCCACTTGTACTTTTGGCCCATGCCCTACAACTGCTTGAGAAACCTGTATGGTGAAGGCCACAGATTCTCTTCAGTTTGCCTATCCAGTGGCCAAGTCTCAGATGTCATCTTTCTCAACCCCTCAGCAACATTCGACACAACATATTACTTTCTTCTCTCGAGTTCCAGGACACCCCACTCTTGGTTTGCCCCTATTCTTTCTCAGTCCTTTTGTTTGTTCCTAATTCTCTTCCCACTTATTGTAAATATTAGAACATCCTAGGGGCTGGGTGTGGTGACTCACACCTGTAATCCCAGCACTTTGGGAAGCTGAGGTGGGTGGATCACTTGAGGTTAAGAGTTCGAGACCAGCCTGGCCAACACGGCAAAACTGCATCTCCACTAAAAATGCAAAAATTAGCCTGGCGTGGTGGCGCACGCCTGTAGTCCTAGCTGCTTGGGAGGCTGAGGCATAAGAATCACTTGAACCCAGGAGGTGGAGGTTGCAGTGAGCCAAGATTGTGCCACTGCACTCCAGCTTGGGTGACAGAGCAAGATTCCACCTCAAAAAAAAAAAACAACAAAAAAAGAAAAACAGAACATCCTAGGGTTCAGTCTTCAGACTTGGACTCCACTTAAGTTCTTTTCTTGTTTGTTTGAGTTTTTTTTTTGGAACAGGGTCTCACTCTGTTGCCCAGGCTGTAGTGCAGTGACTAGATCATAGATCACTGCAGCCACAGCCTCCTGGGCTCAAGGGATCCTCCTATCTCAGCCTCCTGAGTAGCTGGAACCACAGGTGTGCACCACCACACCCAGCTACTTTTTTTAATAGACAGGGTCCTGCTATATTGCCCAGGCTGGTCTCGAACTCCTGGGCTTAAATGATTCTCCTGCCTCTGCCTCCCAAAGTGCTGGGATTACAGGTGTGAGCCACCACGCCCAGGCTCTTTCCTTGTTTGAAAGTCTCATATCTGTAAATATCATCTACAAGCTGACAACACACTTCTCGTCTCCCATAACCAGCTACCTGCTGATCATCCCCCTGTGGTTTATTGAACAGACATCTCAAAATTTACAGGTCCAAACCAGAATTCTTGATTTCCCCTCAAAACAAACCTGTCTCCCAACCTCCAATATCTTTCCCAACTGAAGAAATTCCACCACCGTCCACCTAGTTCTTTAATCCCAAACTCTAGAAGTCTTTGATTCCTTATTGTCGCCACACCCCACACACAATCCATAGTCAAGTTCCTCTGGCCCTGCCTTCCAAACATATTGCCTGGCTATTCATTTCTCTCTGTTTACACTTTCACCATCCTCTTCCAGGCCAATATCGTTTTCACCTGGACTGGGTAAGACTCCCAACTGGCCCCTCAGCTTTCATTCATTCATACCTTCCTCACTACAGACTTTTCATCTTACAGCCACCCCCAGAGTCTTCTAAAATCATAAATCTGATCCCACGATACCCCTACTCAAAATCTACCAATGAGTTGTCTTCACATTAAAAATAAAATCTGGGGCCAGACACAGTGGCTTTCGCTGGTAATCCCAGCACTTTGGGAGGCCGAGGCGGGCAGATCACCTGAGGTCAGGAGTTCAAGACCAGCTTGGCCAACATGGTGAAACCCTGTCTCTACTAAAAATACAAAAATTAGCTGGGTGCGGTGGTGCATGCATGTAATCCCAGCTACTTAGGAGGCTGAGGCAGGAGACTCACTTGAATCTGGGAGGCGGAGGTTGCAGTGAGTCGAGATTGCGCCATTGCACTCCAGCCTGGGTGACAAGAGCAAAACTCAGTCTCGAAAAAAAAAAAAAAAAATCCAGACTTCTCAACATAGTCTGCAAGGCCCTACATCACCAGGCACTTGCTTTATTCTAGAACTTCCTCTCACTTGCTCTGTTGCAGCCACAGTGGCTGCTTTGCAGGTACTTGAACCTACCAAGCTTGCTCTGGCCTCAGAGCCTTTATATGCTCTATTTACCATATATGCAGCTGCTTGACTTATTCATGGTTTACTCCTTTGTAGGTTTAAGATCTCAGCTCAGAGTATTATCTCTTCAGAGAGGCCTTCAATTTAAAGTACAGTGCTTTGATCTAAAGTGCAATCTATCACCTTAACCAGGCTTATTTCCTTACAGCATCACTTACTTTCAAAAATTATACTCATGGTGTATTTATTTTTTTTTCTTTTTCTTTTTTTCTTGAGACAGAGTCTCACTCTGTTGCCCAGGCTGGAGTGCAGTGGTGCAATCTCGGCTCACTGCAATCTCCACCTCCCGGGTTCAAGCGATGCTCCTGCCTCTGCCTCCCAAGTAGCTGGGATTACAGGCGTGTGCCACCACACCCAGCTAATTTTTGTATTGTTAGTAGAGTTGGGGTTTCACCATATTGGCCAGGCAGACCTCGAACTCCTGACCTCGTGACCCACCCACCTCGGCTTCCCAAAGTGCTGGGATTACAGGCGTGAGCCACTGTGCCCGGCTTTTATTTCTTTCCTTGTTTGTTTTCTGTGCCTCCACACACACACATTCCTCCCAATAGAATTTAAGCTCCATTAAGGTATAGAATTTATCTCTCTTTTTTTTTTTTTCGAGACGAAGTCTCGCTTTGATGCCCAGCCTGGAGTGCAGTGGCATGGTCTCAGCTCCCTGCAACCTCTGCCTCCCGGTTCCAGGGATTCTCATGTCAGCCTCCTGAGTAGCTGGGATTACAGTCATGCACCACCACACCTGGCTAATTTTTGTATCTTTATTAGAGACATGGTTTTGCCATGTTGACCAGGCTGGTCTCTTGAACTCCTGGCCTCAAGTGATCCTCCCGCTTCAGCCCCCCAAAGTGCTAGCATGACAGGCGTGAGCCACTGGGCCAGACCAAATTTATCTTTTTTATCACTGTATATGCCCAGTGCCTAAATAGTGTGATCATTTGATCAATAAATTTCAAAATTGGGCTGGGCGCAGTGGTTCAGGCCTGTAATCCCAGCACTTTGGGAGGTTTGCTTGAGCTCAGGAGTTGAAGGCCAGCCTAAACTACATGGCAAAACCCCATCTCTACAAAAAAATACAAAACAGATAGCCAGGCATGGTGGTGCATGCCCGTAGTCCCAGCTACTTGGGAGGCTGAGGCAGGTGGATCCTTTAAGCCCAGGAGGCAGAGGTTGCAGTGAGCCGAGATCATGCCACTACACTCCAGCCTGGGCGACAGAGAGAGACCCTGTCTCAGATAAATAAATAAATAAATGCACATTGAATATACCAGATTCTCTTAAGTGTTTCACACACCTTAAATATTGTAACATGCAAAATCTACACATTATCACTAGGACTATAAAAACGAATTGCTGAACCTAATACAAGAGTATTAATATACCACAGGTATGACTTATTCGGCCATCGTCTCTATATTTGTTTTTACACTTTTCTGTGTTTGTCACATCGCTTCCCTACTAAGAAAACAGAATTGTTATCCCAGGTCAGCTGAGGTTACAAGTCCAGGAACTTCATTCGGGGATTCCAGATTACAACAAGGGATCCAGAATGTGCTCTCCAGGGTGGGGCAGCATCAGCCCCCACCTTACCAATCTTAGCCCTTTCTCATGGTTCAGTGGCACCTGGCCTGTCCATGGAAGATATCAAGCCTGTGTCTTGCCCTAGAATTTAATGTAAATTTCACAATGTAAGAATCATTTACATTTCACATTTAGCAAGTTGGAAAAAAAATCTTATTCTCCATACACTTTTTTCTTTCTTCATTTGTTTTGTTGTTGTTGAGACAGGGTCTTGCTATGTTGCCCAGGCTGGTCTTGAACTCCTGCCTCAGCCTCCCAGAGCACTGGGATTACAGAAGTGAGTCACCTTTCTTTCTTTTTCTTTCTTTCTTTTCTTTCTTTCTTTCTTTCTTTATTTCTTTTCTTTCTTTTTCTTTCTTTTTCTTTTCTTTCCTTCTTTCCTTCCTTCCTTCCTTCCTTCTTTCCTTCCTTCCTTCTTTCTTTCTTTGTAATGCTGGAACTCTATACCCTTCATCTGGATTGTTTTACTTCTTATTCATAAGATTCTGCACGTTTATTTATTTATTTACTTATATATTTATTTGTTTATTTTTGGAGACCTGTCACCCAGGCTTGAGTGCAGTGGCTCGATCTTGGCTCACTGCAACCTCTGCCTCCCAGGTTCAAGCCATTCTTCCGCCTCAGCCTCCTGAGTAGCTGAGATTACAGGAGCCCACCACCACGCCCAGCTAATTTTTGTATTTTTAGTACAGACAGGGTTTCACCATGTTGGCCAGGCTGGTCTCAAACTCCTGACCTCAAGTAATTCGCCTGCCTTGGCCTCCCAAAGTGCTGGGATTGCAGGCACGAGCCACCACACCTGGCCAGATTCTGCACCTTTTTAAAAAATTTTACTTTCTCAATTGTCTCAGCACCCATCATAGACATCACATTTGTTGGTATTCAGGGAAAACAATTACCATTTGTGTATCTGTAAACTCCCAGAACTCTCTTATTATTTCTGAGAGTTTTTGCATAATTCTCTGAGGTTTTACACAAAGAAAGATGATTTTGTCACCTTGTTGCCAGTAGCTGTACCTTATATTTTGGTCTCCATGGTTTTTTGTTTTATTTTTGCCTGAGCTTCCAGAAACATCATCAAATGATAGCAGTAGCTCACATCCTGCATTTTATTTCTGACTTTAAAGAGACAATGCTGGTGTTTTATTGTTAAGGATGATGCCGTTGATCTGAGATTCTTTTATCATCCATTCCTTAATTCATTACATATTTATTGGTACCCATCCAAGTGCATTGGATTTGGCAATATGCAGGGCACTGATCGCCTTGGGGAAAGCAGTTCCAATGGCAGGGTGCCAGCAAAAGCCAGATTGCAGTGGTTTGCAGGGAGGCATGTGACGGAAACCGTCTTCTTTACTGCCTGCCAAGGATTTTCATCAGGAATGTGTGCTGGATTCTTTCTTAATGCCTTTTCAGCATTTATTAGTAACATTGTGGGTTGTTTTTTATACTTGACCTATTGGAATGATTTAACATATTAATATATTTTCATTCATTCATTCAAGAATTACCTAAGTGCCTATGATAAGCCAGACACTCTTCTATTATTGTAATGTTAGATTTGTGATTTTATAAAATATTGTAGGACTTTGTGATTTTTTTTTTTTTTTTGAGACAGGATCTTGCTCTGTTACTCAGGCTGGATTGCAGTGGGATGATCACAGCTCCCTGCAGCCTCAAACTCCTGGGCTCAAGAGATCCTCCCATCTTATGCTCTCGAGTATTTAGGACTACAGGCACATGCCACTGCGCCTGGTTTATTTTTTAACTTTTTTTTGACAGGGTCTCACTATGTTGTCCAGGGTGGTCTTGAATTCCTGGCCTCAAGTGATCTTCTCACCTCAGCTGAGATTACAGGTAGAGCCACTAAGCCTGGCTCTTTGTTTTATTTTTATATCAATTCATAAATATTGAACTGTTTTGACAGTAGTAAGATAAATTTGACTCAGTTATGGCATTTTGTTCCTTAATTTTTAATTACTAAATCAATGGATGCTTATTATTAAAAATTCAAGATGCAAAAGCATGTAAATCCAGAAAGTTCAGATATTCCCTATTAATAGATATTTCTGAACCTTTTTAACTTTTAATTGTCATAAGCTTGAAAAAGTTATTTGTAAGCATTTTATGTAGAATTTTCACATCTATATTCATGGCTGTGGTATAGATATTACAGTAAGAGAGCCATACCTGGGGCCCCATCAGATTGGCCTCTCCTGCTAAATGACACTTTGTTGCAGGGGTTTTTTTTGTTTGTTTTTCTTTTTGTTTTTGAGACAGGGTCTCACTCCCTGGCCCAGGCTAGAGTGTAGTGGTGGGATGATGGCTGACTGCAACCTCAACCTCCCAGGCTCAGGTGATCCTCCCGTCTCAGCCTCCCTAGTAGCTGGGACTTCAGGTGCATACCACCATACCTGGCTAGTTTTAAAATTTTTTGTAGAGATGGGGTTTCACCATGTTGCTCAGGCTGGTCTCGAACTCCTGGCCTCAAGCGATCTGCCCATCCCAGTCTCCCAAAGTGCTGGGATTACAAGCGTGAGCCATCGTGCCCAGCCTGTTGCAGTTCTTGACCCATCTGTGGTCTGGGCAGCCTGGCGTTCCCTCCACCCATGGGCATGCTGGATGCCATGCGGAGGTCACTGAGGTTTACTTGTTCAAAGAGTACGAGCATTGATCTGACTATGACTCCATAGTTCTAGGCAAGGGGAAAATAATACAATAAATAGATTAAATGTACAATATATTAGATGGTGATCAGACCTATGGAGGGAAAGTAAGGAAGGAGGAAGGGAAATGTTATTGGAAGTGAGGGAACCACAGTTACTGTGGGAAGGAAGGTCCCATGTGGGGAGGTGCAGAGCTTTCTTAAAAGAGGACTCAGGCAGCAGTGAGAATGAGGGCGCCACAACCACACAACACAATACCAAGGAATCTCACAAATATCACATCCAATGAAAGAAGCAAGGCACGTAGAGTACATTCCATATGATGCCATTTTTTAATTTATTTATTATTTATTTATTTTTGAGATGGAGTCTGGCTCTGTTGCCCAGGCTGGAGTGCAGTGGCCTGATCTTGGCTCACTGCACCCTCCACCTCCTGGTTCAAGCGATTCTCCTGTCTCAGCCTCTCAAGTATCTGGGACTACCAGCTCGCGCCACCACACCCAGCTAACTTTTGTATTTTTAGTAGAGACAGGGCTTTACCATGTTGGCCAGGCTGGTCTCAAACTCCTGACCTCAAGTGATCCACCCGCCTCAGTCTCCCAAAGTGCTGGCATTACAGGCGTGAGCCACCATGCCTGACTGTGATGCCATTTATACAAAGTACAAAAACAGGCAGCAAAAATCAGTATAGCGGCCAGGCGCAGTGGCTCGCCACTATAATCCCAGCATTTTGGGAGGCCGAGGCAGGAGGATCACTTAAGCCTAGGAGTCCAAGACCAGCCTGGGTGACATAGTGAGACCCCATCTCTACCAAAAATACAAAAATTAGCCCAGCGTGATGGCACATGCCTGTAGTCTCAGCCACTCATGAGGCTGAGGTGGGAGGATTGCTTGAACCTGGGAGGTTCTTTTGAAGTGAGCTGAGATCACACCACTGCACTCCAACCTGGGTGACAAAGCAAGACCCTGTCTCAAAAAACAGAAACAGGATGGGCACGGTGGCTCATGACTGTAATCCCAGGACTTTGGGAGGCCGAGGCAGGCGGATCGCTTGAGGCCAGGAGTTCAAGACCAGCCTGGCCAACATGGTGAAACCCTGTCTTTACTAAAAATACAAAAAGTAGCTGGGTGTGGTGGCATGTGCCGGTAGTCCCAGCTACTCGGGAGGCTGAGGCAGGAGAATCACTTGAACCCAGGAGGCGGAGGTTGCAGTGAGCTGAGACCGCACCATTGCACTCCAGCCTGGGCAACAGAGCAAGGTTGTCTCAAAAAAAAAAACAAAAAACAAAAAACAAAACCTCAGATGAATCCCTGTAATCTCTAAATGGTGTTGTATTTAGTCTCCCTTAAACTGACTGCCTTGGGAAAACTAAAGCAATAACTATTTCTACTGTCATTTTCCTGTTTTAAAAAATCATTTCTGTCTCCCCTCTGGTTATATAAGAATAATAAACTCAGCAGACATCAAAATACTGTTAGGACTTAGGAGGTCAAGTAAAACAAGGATAGAAATCTGTTGCCATTGGATTGGGCAACATGTAAGATCTTGATGATGTTGGTGCAAATACCTTCACTGGGGTGGAGGCAACTGATCCCAGAGTGCAGAGATTTTGGAGAAATAGGATATGAGGAACTGGAAACAGTCAATCCTCACAAATATTTCAAGTACTTTGACTCTTAAAGTTAAGAGAGGACGTACATAGGGTTGATAATTGTTTAAGTGTTTGTGTGAATGTTTGTCATAGAAGATGAGAAAGACGGCTGCGTGTGGTAGCTCATGCCTGTGATTCCAAAACTTTAGGAGGCCGAGGCAGGAGAATTATGTGAAGCCAGGAGTTCGAGGCCAGCCTGGATGACATATCAAAAAACTTGTCTCTATAAAAAATTTAAAAAAAGAAAATTAGCCAGGCATAGTGGCACACACCTGTAATCCCAGCCACTTAGGAAGCTGACGTAGGAGGATCTCTTGAACCCAGGAGTTGGAGGCTGCAGTGAGCTATGATCACACCACTGCACTCCAACCTGGGCAACAGAGCAAGACCCTCTCTCAAAAAACATGAGAAAGACTAAGATATGAGTATGTGCTAAAGGAGAAAATCAGTAGACAGAAATAGATTCATTCACTGATTTCTGCTTTCAATCTTTTCATCATTCACTTATTCACCAACTACTTACTAAATACCTGTTGTACCAGCCGCTTTTTTTGTTTTCTTTCTGAGACAGGGTCTCGCTCTATCGCCCAGGCTTGAGTACATGGTGTGATCATAGCTCACTGTAGCCTCCATCTCCTTGGACTCACTCAAGTGATCCTCCTGCCTTAGCCTCCTGAGTAGCTGGGACTTACAGACATGCACCACCACATTTGGTTAATTTTTGTTTGTTTGTCTGTTTTTTGTAGAAATGAGGCTTCACTATGTTGCCCAGACTGGTCTCAAACTCCTGAGCTCAAACAGTCCTCCCACTTCGGCTTCCCAAAGCTCTGGGATCACATGCATAAGCCATGGCACTTGGCCCAGTCACTGTTTTTTTGACAGTGATAATAGAGAAATGATAGGTGCAATCTCATGTAATTTATGGTCTAACTGAGAAGAGAGAAGTTGCAGACATAGATGAGAGCAAGAATGATAGTTGGGTGGGGGAGTCTTGAATAAAAGTACAAGATAATAGACCAGCCAGCCAGGCATAGTGGCTCACGCCTATAATCCCAGCACTTTGGGAGGCCAAGGCAGGTGGATCCCTAGAGCTCAGGACTTCAAGACCAGCCTGAGCAACATAGGGAGACTCTGCCTCTGCAAAAAATACAAAAATTAGCTGGGCATGGTGGTGTGCACTTCTAGTCCTAGCTACTCAGGAGGCTGAGACAGGAGGATCACTTGAGCCTGGGAGGCCAAGGCTGCAGTGGGCTGTGATTGCACAGCTGCACTCCAACCTGGGTGACAAAGTAAAATCCTGTCCAAAAAAAAAGAAAGAAAAAAAAAAAAGGAAGAAAAAGAAGGGCATGAGGCTGGTCACAGTGGCTCACACCTGTAATCCCAGCACTTTGGGAAGCTGAGGCGGGTGGATTGCTTGAGCTCAGGAGTTCGAGACCAGCCTGGGCAACATGGCAAAGCCCCATCTCTACCAAAAATACAAAAAATTATCTGGGCATGGTGGTGCACGCCTTTGGTCCCAGCTACTTGGGAGGCTGTGGCAGGAGGATCGCCTGAGCCCGGGAGGCGGAAGTTGCAGTGAACCAAGATCAAGCCACTGCACTCTGGCCTGGGCGACAAAAAAAAAAAAAAGAAAGAAAAAAAAGAAAGGGATGAAATTAAAGTTTGTGCCCAGGAGTTGCACATGGGTTTGTGTCTCATAGGCAAATAGGCATCACTGGTTGTGTCTGGGAGGGGAATGAAGTAAAAAGTGGAGAATCACTAATCTAATGCAACCTCTTCCTTTCTCAGGTGTGAAAACTGAGGCCCGGAGAGGTGATGTGATTTGCCTAAAGTCATGCAACTAGTGGCAGAGCCAGGCCTAGACGCCAGGTGTCCTGGCTCTCAAGACATTCCGCTGCCCGAGGAATGGAACAGGTAGTATCACTCACACTGGGGGCCATGGGTCAGTCCATTCAGCCCAGAGCTGCCTGAGGTTCCAACTAAGGAAACCAGAGGAAACATCCACTCAAAATTCTGACAAGTTGAACGGGGTTGAAATCAGAACTGGGCAAGAGAAAGGGGGCAAGGTTTGAAACTCAGACCTCACGATCCTGGGACAGAGGCCAATGTACCATCACCCCACGTCACCTTCTGAAGGTGGATTGAGCTCTGGCCCTATCATGTCCATCTCTAAACAGCTTGGTGGTGAGTCCTCTTCCAGCCATTCTGCGACCCATGCTCTTTCTGATATGATTCACAGTGTTAGGAAAATCAATGGCCACTTGCAGAGGATGTGTGGGAGGATGGAGAAGAAGGGACACGGGGAGACCAGTTAGGAGGCCTTTGGAGAGATCCAGGAGGAAAATGAAGAGGAAGAGCTGGTAGGAGGGGTCTGCTGGATCCGTATGGCATCACCTGGGTTAGTGGTTGGTAAAGTTGGTCAGCAGTGATGGTGGAAAAGCTAGAGTAGAAATGAAATCTGCATCAAAGTGGGAAGGAAAAGAGTTTCTGCTTTTATATATGTCTACTTGCTATTTCTACTGAAGGATGTTCTTAAGCCCAGTATTGATAAAACAAAATCTACCTTTGGTACTACAAGTAAGATATACCCTATGAATTATTTGTAAACATGAGTACTAGTCATTGGTAATGTGTATTAACCCCTCTGAATATTCTGGGTTATGGTTTCTTTTTCATTCATTCGATGATTTTTTATTGAGCATCTACCATGTACCATGCATTGGTCTGGGCATTTGGAATACATCAAGTGAATTAAACAAACAAATGCCATTGAACTCCTAAAACTCAATCAGTGGCAGGTGGCCAGAGAAGCTAGTCTTTGGGAAAAACAATGGGAGAAAAAGCTAAGGAGAAAATTCTCAATTGACACGGTATTAATCAAAGTAAAAGCTGGAAAGATGTATATTGATAGGTTGGGTTTGACTGGATCCCATGGGGAAGGATTTTTCCAGGCAGGGAGAGCTGAGATAGCAGACTGATCATTTCAGAGGATCTACCTGAATCAGTGGCTATGATCGTGTGTCTCCTGACAGGACCAGATTCCTGGGGGTAAACGGCAACAAAAGAGGCTCCATAGGGAGGGGCTCTCAGCAAAGGCGGTGTGAGGAGGCTCAGATCTGGAACAGTTAAGCAGGTCATCAGACTCCAAGAAACTGAGCAATGTTGTCCGAAGGTTATCCAAAGTGGTGGTGTGGGGAGAAAGCCATGGAAAATCTGAGAGCATCTGACGCCTGTCGAGTTGTCAGGCAGGGATTGAGTAGTGGTCAGTGGGCGGAAAGCAGGGCTGTGGTCACTAAGCTGAGGTTCAAGGGACATTTCCAGCCTCTGGGAGGAGTAGGTTATATCCCATGCAAGGCATCAAATAGGGACAAAGGCACAGGAGGGGAAAAGGAAAATGACCTCAGAAGTAGAGGATAAGGAATAGCTTAAGAACAGAATCAGGCCGAGCGCAGTGGCTCACACCTGTAATCCCAGCACTTTGGGAGGCCGAGGTGGGAGGATCACTTGAGCCCAGGAGTTCCAGACCAGCCTCGCCAACATGGCGAAACCCAGTCTCTACTAAAAATACAAAAAAATTAGCCAGGCATGGTGGCACGTGCCTGTAATTCCAGCTACCTGGGAGGCTGAGGCAGGAGAATCTCTTGAACCCGGAAGGTGGAGGTTGCGGTGAGCTGAGATAGTGCCACTGCACTACAGCCGGGCGACACAGTGAGACTCCATCTCACTGGCTTGAGGCCAGGTGTTCAAGACCAGCCTAGGCAATGTAGTGAGACCCTGTCTCTACAAAAAATTTTTAAACTTAGCTGGGCATGGTTGTGTGTGTCTGTAATCCCAGCTACTTGGGAGATTGAGGTGGAAGGATGGCTGGAGCCCAGGAGTTCAAGGCTGCAATGAGCTATGATTGCTCCACTGCACTCCAGCCTAGGCAACAGAGTGAGACCCTGTATCTTTAATATATATATAACATATATATTATATATATATTATATATATATATTTTATATATATATATAAAATATATATATATAAAATATATATATATAAAAAATCCATCCCATTCATGGGAACCCCATGGCCTGGGCTATAGAGGAAGTAGGATGCTGAGACAGGAAACAGGCAGGGCCCATCATTCCTGCCCCATGCAGAAGGAAGGAAGGAAGAAATCATGCCTATTGCTTCTTTCCTTTTGTCATCAGGAATCCCCAGGAGTGCCGTGACACTGAGGTTTCCAGAGGGTGCTTTTTCTTTAATTAACCCAGGTATTCATTCCAAAACTCAGAGAATGGTTTTCTTAGGGCGGCGGATTAGGGCAGGCATAGGGTCCTAACCTATGTCTTAATCTTTTGCTTTATGTGGTTTCTTTCAGCTGTGACCACCCCGATCCACCATTCATTCTTAATCCAGACACCTCTTTGTACAGCTCACTCTCCACTGCACGCTCTATTTTCTTCCATCTTCCTGGCTTCCAGCCGTACTGCTTATTCTTCTGTTCGGAGGCTAACCTAACCCATCAGACTTGAGGCTTGGCCCCGTCTTCCCTTGAGTCAACATCTTCCTCTAATAATACTTCTGTAGTGGACATTCTATCTGATTCTGTACTGTCCCTTCCACCACCCCTCCCCGCCGCCCCATTAGTAGCAACAATACAGTGGGGAAGAATTTACAAGTCTAGGCCACACACGGACACTGATCCTATGCCGAATTTGACTTCCAAATAATGTTTCTGTCTCTGCACCACTTACTCCAGAATCTAAGTCCTGGGAGGAAGGATCTAATTGCTCAGCTTCACAGCTAACTTCTTGAACTTGGCTCCTTCAGCTTCCATAGTGGATGATGAGATGAGAGGGGCGACAAGTGACTTAGACAGCCCTCTTGTCAGACCTAATCACAGTACATAATTCTCCCAGCAGGAACACTGGTGCAAATAAGAGGGCAGGCAATTCTAGATCATCGCTGGGTTTTGTTTGTTTTGTTTCTTATCTTTAATTTTTTTTTTTTTTTTTTTTTTTGAGACAGAGTCTCGCTCTGTCGCCCAGGCTGGAGTGCAGTGGCGCGATCTTGGCTCACTGCAAGCTCTGCCTTCCGGATTCACGCCATTCTCCTCCCTCAACCTCCCCAGTAGCTGGGACTACAGGCGCCCGCCACCACGCCCAGCTAATTTTTTTTTGTATTTTTAGTAGAGACAGGGTTTCACCGTGTTAGCTTGTTTTGTTTTTTGAGACAGGGTCTCACTCTGTCCACCAGGCTGGAGTGCAGTGGTGCAATCACAGCTCACTGCATCCTTAACCTCCTGGGCTCAAGTAATCCTCCCGCCCCGGCCAAGAAGAAGCTGGGACTACAGGTGCATACTGCCACACCCAGCTAATTTTTAAATATTTTGTAGAGATAGGGTTTCACTACGTTGCCCAGGCTGGTCTTAAACTCCTAGGCTCAAGCGATCCTCCCGCATCAGCCTCCAAAGTAGCTAGGACTACAGGTTCATGACACTACACCAGGCTAATTTGGTTTTTTTTTGTGGGTTTTTTTTGTTTGTTTTTTGTAGAGTCAAGGTCTCACTATGCTGCCCAGGCTGGTCTCAAACTCCTAGTCTCAAGCAATCTGCCTGCCTTGGCCTCCCAAACTGCTGGGATTACAGGCATGAGCCACCACACCCAGCCCATCACTATTGAATAGAATAATAACACAAACCACACACGTAATTGTAAATATTCTAGTTGCCACACTTTTAAAAGGTAAAAAGAAACAGATGAAATTAATTTTAACATTACAATTTATTGAACCTAACATTTCTAAAATATCTTCATGTCAACCTGAAATCAATATAAAAATTTGTAATGAGATATATTCCTTACTTCCTGTTGTTATTCTAAATCTTTGACATCCAGGGTGTATTTTACACTTACAGTACAGCTGTCATTGAAAACATTTGATCTGTATTTATAGTTACAGTTGAAAAAGTAGAACAGCATATGCAGGTTGTTCCAAAGATACTTAAATATTTTCCAAGTATCAAAAAATCACTTTCCTGTATTATTCACTTCCACATTGGTGAAGCTAGTTCATCTTTATTGGAATAGTGGTTTGACTTTGAAGCAAAAGCATATCAGTTTTAAAACTACTTCTGTCCAGGCTGGGCACAGTGGCTCATGCCTATAATCCCAGCACTTTAGGAGGCTGAGGCGGATGGATCATTTGAGGTCAGGAGTTCAAGACCAGCCTGGCCAACATGGTGAAACCCCATCTCTATTAAAAATACAAAAATTAGTCCGGTGGTAGTGGTGCATGCCTGTAATCCCAGCTACTCAGGAAGCTTGAGCCTGGGAGGCAGAGGTTGCAGTGAGCCAAGATCACGCCACTGCACTCCAGCCTGGGCAACAGAGTGAGACCCTGTCTCAAAAAAAAAACAAAAAACAAAAAACAAAAACCTACTTCTGTCCGAGTTATAGCAATTCACCAATCCTCATGTCAACTCAGTATTAACATGGAATGTAAAAGGATGCTGTATAAATTGAAAAGTAACTCTAAAGTTTGTCAATATCAACAATATTCTTCAAATTTTTCTTGTAAGTTTTGCAGATAATTTACATAATACTGGTGATTACCATTAAAAATATTTTGCAGCCAGGCGCGGTGGCTCATGCCTGTAATCCCAGCACTTTGGGAGGCCGAGGTGGGGAAGATCACTTGAGCTCAGGAGTTCGAGACCAACCTGGGAAACATGACAAGACCCTGTATCTACAAAAAAAAAAAAAAAAAAAAAAAAAAAAAAAAATTAGCAGGCCATGATGGTGCGTGCATCTGTAGTCCCAGCTACTTGAGGGGCTGAGGTGGGAGGATCACTTGAGTCTGGGAGGCAGAGGTTGCCGTGAGCCAAGATAATGCCACTGCACTTCAGCCTGGGCAACAGAGCAAAACCCTGTCTTAAAAAATATATATTTTGCATATTGATTCATGTTAAAAATATGCAGAATCATTACTATTGATTTGTATTATGAAATGTTTTCATTTCAATGTAAATTCTTATACTTTTCCAGCTAGGTCACAGGTTTTTCTTTCTTTAGAGCTTGGAATTTATCTCATTTCATATACACTATGATATTGCTGAGAAAACTTAAGTCACACTGCCATGTTTATCTTTGATTATTAAATATTTGGCAAGCATTCCCTTTGTTTCAAGAAAATCTTGAATTGGAATTGACAGTACAGTAAATCTTTGTAAAACTCTTCCATGACTCAACCAATGAACATTGGCGAAGACCCAAGATCACCCCATTCATTGCCTTCTATTTCTTTCAAAAATCCCATGCACTGGTGGTGATTCACAGCATTTGTATGTATACACTGAACAGTTTTAACAACTGTACCCATGACACTTTCCATGGAGCCTGCTTCCAAAAGCAGCACAAATATTTTCAGTATTTATCATACAGTGGGATGAAGCAATAAGGGAAACATCAGTCTCTTGTTTTGAAACTCCAATAAAACCAGATTTTTGACCAAACATAGCTGGAGGACCATCTGGCATGATAGAAACTAATTTTTTCATATCTAAGTGAAATTTTTTTGGTCAGATGTAAAAGATGTTTTTAAAATCTATGCTACACTTTGGTAAGCCATGAATTGACAAGGTTTTTTCATAAATTTGGAAGACCTTTTTGAATAAATATACCCAGGCTATTAGTTGGGTGGTATCTCATGGCATGACTCAGCTAAATTGTGCAATTTTCCAAAATTTGAATCCATTTAGCTTTAATACGTTCTTTCATTCTATGGGCAATTGTTTGGTGGCTTAATTGCAGATTATTCACTTTCTGTAAAATCTTTATTTTTATTTATTTATTCATTTATTTTGAGACAGAGTTTCCCTCTATTTCCCAGGCTGGAGTGTGGTGGTGCGGATTGACCCCACTCCAGTTTTGACCTCCTGGGCTCAGTGATCCTCCCACCTCAGCCTCCTCCCCAGTAGCTGGGACTACAGGGGTGCACCACCACACTCAGCCATTTTTTTCTATTTTTCGTAGAGACAGGGGTTCACCATGTTGCCCAGGATGATCTCACACTCCGGTGCTCAAGCAATCTGCCCACCTTGGCCTCCCAAAGTGCTGGGATTACAGGTGTGAGCCACCACGCCAGCCTAAAATATCTTTTTAGTCTTTTCCTCATAATTTTCTAACAAAATTTTTACAACTTAAATAATTTTTTTACCATCTTTCCATTAAAAATTGTGTACATGTGTATACGCGCATGCATGCAAGAATCCTAGTCATTTTTATAGCTGGCCAAAGTTATAATCTCTAATCCTGATAAAATAAAATCTATTTAAAAGGTTTTTGCTCAACATTTTATTCTGATTTCAACTAACTAATTTCATTGGGTTTTCTCATTGTGGTAAAATATACACAACATAAAATTTACTATTTTAATCATCTGTAGGTATACATCTCCATGGCATTAAGTACATTCACACTGCTGTGAACCATCACCACCGTCCATCTCTACAACTTTATCTTCCCACACTGAAATTCTGACCCCATTAAACACTAACTCCCCCTTTCGCCCAGGCTGGAGTGCAGTGGTGTGATCTTGGCTCACTGCAACCTCTGCCTCCTGGGTTCAAGGGATTCTTCTGCCTCAGCCTCCTGAGTAGCTGAGATTACAGGCACGCGCCACCATGCCTGGCTAATTTTTGTATTTTTAGTAGAGATGTGTTTTCACCATGTTGGCCAGGCTGGTCTCGAACTCCTGACCTCAAATGATCAGCTGTCTCAGCCTCCCAAAGTGCTGGGATTGCAGGCGTGAGCCACTGCACCCAGCCTATTTTCTATATCTATGAGTTTGACTACTCTAGGAAATTCATATGTGTAGAACCATACAGTATTTATCCTCTTTTGTTGGGCTTATTTCACTTAGCATAATGTCTTCACGGTTCATCCATATTGTAACAAGTGTCAGAATTTCCTTCTTTCTTAAGACCATATACTATCCATTCATCTGTTGATGACCATTGGGGTAATTTTCACCTTTTGGCTATTGGGAATAATGCTGCCATGAACTTGAGTGTACAAGCATCTATTTGAGTTCCTGCTTTCAGTTCTTCTTGATATATACTAAGAAGTGAAATTGCTGGATCCATGGTATTTCTTTAATTTTTGAGCAATTGTACCACTTTCCACAGCAACTTTTTTTTTTTTTTTGAGATGGAGTCTCGCTCTGTCGCCCAGGCTGGAGTGCAGTGGCACAATCTTGGCTCACTGCAACCTCCAACCCCCAGTTCAAGCGATTCTCCTGCCTCAGCCTCCCAAGTAGCTAGGACTACAGGTGCCCACCACCACGCCTGGCTAATTTTTTGTATTTTTAGTAGAGACGGGGTTTCACCGTGTTAGCCAGGATGGTCTCGATCTCCTGACCTCATGATTCACCCGCCTTGGCCTCCCAAAGTGCTGGGATTACAGGCGTGAGCCACCGCGCCCGGCCCACAGCAACCATTTTACAGTCCCACCAGCAAGGCACAAGGGTGGAAGTTTTCTAGTTTGTCTGCATCTTCACCAACACTTGTTTCCTGTGCCGTTTTGTTTTGTTGGTAATCGCCATCCTAATGGGTATGAAGTGGTATTCTGAGGTTTGGATTTGCAGTCTCCTAGTGTCAAGGGATGTTGAGCATCTTTTCATGTGCTTCGTTAGTTCTTTCTTGAATGTGGAGAAAAACTTATCAAACTCACTATGTATTTGCTGAAAATGTCTCAATAGTTTCCACCTTATTCTCATAAAATTTTTTTTCACAACCAACATGCAGCTTTTTTGTTTCACTCTACCACAGCAAGTTGCAACTGTCATCCATCATGAAATCGGTGGCACATCTTCCTACAGTTTCTTAAGCGTTTCCCTTTTTAAAATTGACAAGCAGGCCGGGTGCGGTGGCTCACGGCTGTAATCTCAACACTTTGGGGGACTGAGGCGGGAGGATCGCTTGAGCCCAGGAGTTTGAAATCAGCCTGGGCAACATAGTGAGACCCTGTCTCTACTGAAAAAAAAAATTAGCCTACTCTGCCTCAAAATAAATAAATAATTGACAAGTAAAAATTGTATATATTTATGATGCACAATTGGTGTTTTTATATATGTATAAATTGTGGAATGGCTAAATCAAACTATTTAACATATGCATGTTACCTCACATACTTCTTTTTGTTTTCTTTGTTTTTTGTTTTGTTTTGTTTTGTTTTGTTTTTTTGAGACAGGGTCTCACTCTGTGGCCCAGGCTGGAGTGCAGTGGCACAATCATAGCTCACTGAAACCTCGAACTCCTGGGCTCAAGCCATCTTCCCACCCCAGCCTTCTGAGTATCTGGGACCACAGATGTGCACCACCACACCCAGCTAATTTTTTTATTTTTTGTAGAGACAGGATCTCCCTATGTTGCCCAGGTTGGTTTCAAACTCCTGGGCTCAAGAAATCCTCCCACCTCTGCCTCTCAAAGTGCTGGGATTACAGGCATGAGCCACTTCATCCAGCCCTCACATACTTCTTTGTGTGTGTGTGGTAAGAACACTTAATATCTACTCTCTTAGCAATTTTCAAATATACAATATGTTATTAACCATACTCACCATGTTGTACAATACATCTCTTGAACTTATTCCTCCAGTCTAACTGAATTTTTGTATCCTTTCACCAACATCTCCCCAATTTCCCCATCCCCCAGCTTCCAGTCTCTCTCTCTCTTTTTTTTTTTTTTTTTTTTTTTTTTTGGAGATGGAACCTAGCTCTGTCACCCAGGCATGACAGTGGCACAATTTTGGTTCACTGCAAACTTCACCTCCTGGGTTCAAGTGATTCTCCCACCTCAGTCTCCTGAGTAGCTGGTATTACAGGCATGCGCAACCAAGCCCAGCTAATTTTTGTATTTTTAGTAGAGATGGAGTTTCACCATGTTGGCCAGGCTGGTCTCGAACTCCTGACCTCAAATGATCTGCCTGCCTTGGCCTTCCAAAGTGCTGGGATTACAGGTGTGAGCCACCACACCCAGCCTCCAGTCTCTTAATTTACTATTCTTGTCATAGCACTAACATTTGCATCTCCATTTAATTCTACATCAGTTGCCTGCCTTTATTTTAAATTGGAAATTTTGTTCATGTATAGAAAAATAATTGAATTATAATTAAAATATTATGTATTTTTCTTTAGTGAACAATGTGATGCAAAGGTAACATGCAATTCATACTGTCTGGATAAAACATTCAGGTAAACACATTACAATGTTGTATCAATGCACAGAAAAAAAGGGTTTGGCCAGGTGCAGTGGCTCACGCCTGTAATCCCAGCACTTTGGGAGGCGGAGGCGGGTGGATCACTTGAGGACAGGAGTTTGAGACCAGCCTGGCCAACATGGCAAAACCTTGTCTCTACTAAAAATACAAACATTAGCCTGGCACGGTGGCAGGTGCCTGTAAGCCTAGCTACTTGGGTGGCTGAGGCAGGAGAATCGCTTGAACCTGGGAGGCAGAGGTTGCAGTGAGCCAAGATTATGCCACTATACTTGAGCCTGGGCGATAGAGTGAGACTCTGACTCAAAAAAAAAAAAAGAAAGAAAGAAAAAAAGGATTCAAACCAAACGAATTGACACCTGTTAGATGAGTGATAGGTTCACATGTGATCTGAGAAAACACGCACACGCCTGCCATGTGCACTGGCAATATAAGAATATTTTATGTGATGCACTTAGGAGAGAGAAATATAATCCTACCAAAGCAAAATTAAACTTAATAGAAAAATATTTTATACTGGTTCAGTTTTAAAATTTTAAAAATTAAGGAAACCTAAAAAGTTGGGCTCCCCATTCACATTAGCTACATTGCTAGTGCTCATTTGCCACACGTGGCCAGTGGCCAGTGGCTACTGGATTGAACAGTGTAGCTCCGTGTAGATCTATCAAACAACGATAAATTGTCTACGCAATTCCACTGCTCAGTATCTTCTCTAAAGAAACTCTGTCCAGGTGCACAGAAGGTATGTAGGAAGATGTTTCCCGCAACATTGTTTATAACAGTCACTAAGGAGAACAACCCACATATCCACCAACTGGGTATGGCAAAAAAAAAAAAAAAAAATTGTGGTGTATCTATTCTAAGGAATCGTATGCCACAATTTAAAATAGACACATTCGCCAGGCGCCGTGCCTCACGCCTGTAATCCCAGCACTTTGGGAGGCTGAGTCAGGCAGATCACCTGAGGTTGGGAGTTCGAGACCAGCCTGACCAACATGGAGAAACCCTGTCTCTACTAAAAATACAAAATCAGCCACACATGGTGGCCTGTGCCTGTAATCCCAGCTACTCAGGAGGCTGAGGCAGGAGAATCGCCTGAACCTGGGAGGCGGAGGTTGCGGTGAGCTGAGATCGTGCCATTTCACTCCAACCTGGGCAACAAGAGGAAAACTCCATCTCAAAAAAAAAAAAAAAAAAAAAAAAAACATAAAATAGACACATTGGCACGGTGACTCACCCCTGTAATCCCAGCACTTTGGGAGGCCATAGTGGGAAGATCACTTGAGCCCAGGAGTTTGAGACCAGCCTGGGCAACATAGTGAGACACCCCCTCCCCCCGCCATCTTAACAAAAGAAAAAGAAATTTAAAAATAAAAAATAAAATAAAATAAAAATAGGCACATGGTTAGATTGCTAAGACATATTACTAGGTGGGGAGGAAAAAAGAAAGTTGTACAATGTGATGTCATTTTAAAAATTGATGATAGATGCCAGGTCTGATGGCTCCCAAGGGAGGATCGCTTGAGGTCAGGAGTTTGAGACCAGTCTGGGCAACATAGCAAGACCCCCTCTCTAAAAAAAAAAAAAAATTAATTAAAAAAACTTTTTGATGATGGATAGATAGAGACACAGAAAGATACCAGAGAATGGTTCTCTCTGTGCCTCTATGAAAGGAGAGAGGGAACTTAGATGAACTTGGATTTAATAAGAAGAATGCATGTATGTATTACTCATATAATTAAAATTAATTTAGAATAAAAGAACTTGGAGAGAGGAAACTTAGATGAACTTGGATTTAATAAGAAGAACGCATGTATGTATTACTCATATAATTAAAATTAATTTAGAATAAAAGAACTTAAGAAAGGAAACTCTTGATCAAAATGAAAAGATGAACAAAAAACCAATTAAGTAGAATTCACTGCAATCCCGATTATATGGTGGCTAGATAAGTGTTATCCCATGGCGTAATATTTAATGCAAATGTCAAAAGTAATTCTCCAAAAAGAAGATACAGAAATTATATGGTGGCCTTTCTGTAAACTGAAACTGGGAAATGCTAGTAATCAAAACTAATTTATGAGGCTTTTCTCCACCAGTGTTTTGGCTAATATCCAGGTTACCCATCCCAAGCTGCTATTACATTAAAACCTCCAGACCTCAGCACCGATTGGCATCCAACCCACTGACTGCAACATTTTCCAGCATACCAATTGTTCTTATAGCCCTTGTTTTCATAATCACTGTCCTTTTTCTTTGGTGTTCTTCATCTATCCCATAAATACATATGTTGATTAAGTGGTAATTATTAGGCAACTGGACCCAAACAGCATATGAAAGACGGAATAAGAGGGGGAAAGATCTAAGAGTGTTTTGGGATCCTCAACGTGCCTGTCTTTACATTAGAGAAACCCAGTTTTAAATTAATAGTGCTAGTTCTCTACCTCCCTGTAGATTAAGTTTACCCCAGGGAAAACAGGACATGGATTGATCGTTTAATCCTTATCCCAAACTCAAAATTACCCTTGCACTATCTGACATTGATTGAGTAAATAGATTAGCCAAGAAAGACAATTCAATCAGCAGAGAGGCCTGAGAATTCTCTTGAACTTTGTTTAAAAGCACCCTGAAATTTGAGCTTCTTGGGAGCATTTGCTTCCAACCATTTTCTAAATTGAAATTGCATTCCACTTCCCTAAGACCACAGCCTTTTTCTAAGACAGGATTATGGGAACTCTGAACTATCTAAGCAGAAGTTGTGTGTCTGAGAATAAAACTGGAATGAACAAATCTATAAAGCAATAGAACAATAACCCCAACAAAGACAGCATGATTCACATTGCAAATGACAGGAAGAAAAAATAAACAAGGGAGCGTTCACCTCAGAAAAGACAACCACGATGACAATGATGAGACCTGAGATGACAAAAATAAAAGGACAGCAAGCCCTGTGGAAAACAAAGCCCTTCGGAATCGATTTTTAAAATCTAGCTACATCCTGTTTCCAAGAGACAAGCCTAATGCAAAGTGAATCAAAAGCATTAAGTGGAAAAAAGTGGGGGTGATCTAAAATACATCAGAAATACAAAGGAAATAGAAGAGTAATACTAATTTTAAAAAATACTTCTATTAACTGCCAGGCGCGGTGGCTCATGCCTGTAATCCCAGCACTTTGGGAGGCTGAGGCGGGCAGATCACCTGATGTCAGGAGTTCGAGACCAGCCTGGCCAACATGGTGAAACCCTGTCTCTACTAAAAATACAAAAATTAGGCAGGCAGGCATGGTGGCGCACACCTGTAATCCCAGCTACTTGGGAGGCTGAAGCACGAGAATCACTGGATCCCAGGATGTGCAGGTTGCAGTGAACAGAGATGGCACCACTGTATTCCAGCCTAGAGTGAGAGAGCGAGACTCTATCAAAAAAAAAAAAAAGAAGCCTAGTTAACGTGATAGGCATTACTTTAGACTAAAGGACTGTACTTTAGATTGAAGACCTCTCTGAAGAGATAATACTTTGAGCTGAGATCTTAGAAAGAAAATTATTAACTTTTTTTGGCAGGGGCAGACCAAGACTTTCTCTGTGGCCCAGGCCGGGGTGCAGTGGCGCAATCATAGCCCACTGCAGCATCCACCTCCCAGGATCAAGTGATCCTTTCACCTCAGCCTCCCAAGTAGCTGGAACCACAGGCATAGCCACCACACCCAGCTAATTTTTTAATGTTTTGCAGAGATGGGGTCTCAATATGTTACCCAGGCTGCCATGTGCACTCAAATTTGGTGCACTCAAATTCCTGGCCTCAAGCAATCCTCCTGCCTTGAACTCCTAAAATGCTGGGATTACAGGTGTGACCCACTGCACTTGGCTTATTAGCCAATGTTAACATATTAAATGAATCTATATATTGCTAGGCAGAGCAGCTTACAAAATGCCAGAATGCATAATCAAACTGGACAGGCTCAATGAATGATTACACTGTGCTTAATGGCTAAGCTCAACACCTTGATATAGCTTTATGATTTGCAGAAAATTTTTAGTAATAGTCCCTATAAGAATCACCTGTAGACCAGGTACGGTGACTCACGCCTGTAATCCCAGCACTTTGGGAAGCCAAGGCGGGCGGATCACCTGACATCAGGAATTCGAGACCAGTCTGACCAACATGGTGAAACCCCGTCTATACTTTAAAAATACAAAAATTCGCCAAGCATGGTGCTAATGTCTGTGGCATGCACCTGTAGTACCAGCTACTCCAGAGGCTGAGGCAGGAGAATCACTTAAACCCAGGAGGCGGAGGTTGCAATGAGATGAGATCGCACCACTGCACTCCAGCCTGGGTGACAGAGTGAGACTTCTTCTCAAAAAAAAATTAATAAAAAATAAAAAATAAAAAAACACACAACAACAGAAAAGAATCACCTGTAATTTAAAGTAAATTTCAGTAATTTTACTAAATTACTAATTTTAACCTAAAACTCACCAATTTTGGACAAAATCAGACACATAACCAAAAACATTCTGGACAGAATATTATTTCACGGTAGATGGTATAATTTCTCCCAAAGATAAAAACATTTATGATCATCTATGAGGTAAAGAAAAGGCTGGGCACAGTGTCTCACGCTTGTAATCCCAGCACTTTGGGAGCCCAAGGTGGGTGGATCACTTGAGCCCAGGAGTTCAAGACTAGCCCGGGCAACATGACAGAACCCCATCGCTACAAAAAATACAAAAATTTAGCTGGGCATGGTGGCAGACGCCTGTGTTCCCAGCTACTCAGGAGGCTGAGATGGGAGGAACACCTGAGCCCAGGAGGTAGAGGCTATAGTGAGAAGTGATCGTGCCACTGCACTCTAGTCTAGGTGACACAACAAGATCCTGTCTCAAAAAAAAAATTTGAAAGGCGGGGGGGAACACTGATAGAAAAAAAGATTTTGTCAAAAAACATGAAATTCTGCTTTGTGGTTTTAAAGTATTTTCACTATAATCGCCATTTATTTTTATTATAGGCCTTAGATAAGGGGAACAGTCTTTTAAGAGTTATTCCTGGCCAAGCATGGTGGCTCATGCCTGTAATCCCAGCACTTTGGGAGGCCAAGGCGTGTGGATCACCTGAGGTCAGGAGTTCGAGACCATCCTGGCCAACATGGTGAAACCCCGTCTCTACTAAAAATACAAAAGTTAGCCAGGCGTGGTGGCACATGTCTGTAATCCCAGCTACTCGGGAGGCTGAAGTAGAAGAATTGCTTGAACCTGGGAGGCGGAGGTTGCGGTGAGCCAAGATCGTGCCACTGCACTCCAGCCTGGGCGACAAGAGTGAAATTCTGTCTCAAAAAAAAAAGAGTATTTCGGTAGAAATATAAGAATTGTTGACAAAACTAAAATTGAGCTAAAGATTAACAAACTATTCTCAGTCTGAACGAACAAAATACAAAAGAAACAGGATTTAAATAACAGAATTAATAAATGTTAGATAATAGATACATAGCAAGAAATATAGGCCTGGTGCCCTGGCTCACACCTGTAATCCCAACAGTTTGAGAGGCCAAGGCAGGAGGATCACTTGAGGCCAGGAGTTTGAGACCAGCCTGGGCAACCTACGGAGACCCTTGTCTTTACAAAAAATTTTTAAAAATTAGCCAGGCATGGTGGTGAGTGCCTGTGGTCCCAGCTACTCAGGAGGCTGAGGCAGGAGGATCACCTGAGCCTGGGAAATGGAGGCTGCAGTGAGCCATGCACTACCACTGCACTCTAGCCAGGGTGACAGAACAAGACCTTGTCTCAAAAAAAAAAAAAAAGAAAAGAAAAGAAAAGAAAAATGAGGCCGGGCGTGGTGGCTCAGGCCTGTAATCCCAGCACTTTGGGAGGCCAAGGCAGGTGGATCACCTGAGGTCAGGAGTTCGAAACCAGCCTGGCCAACATGGCAAAACCCCGTCTCTACTAAAAATACAAAAAAAAATTAGCTGGGCATGGTGGCGCATGCCTGTAATCCCAGCTACACAGGAGGCTGAGGAAGGAGAATCGCTTGAACCCGGGAGGCGGAGGTTGCAGTGAGCCAAGATCGTGCCACTGCACTCCAGCCTGGGCAACAGAGCGAGACTCCATCTCAAAAAAAAAAAAAAAGAGAGAGAGAGAGAAAAAGAAGTACATATGCTTTTCAAAAATACATAGAACATATATTTAAAATGATAATATATCAGGCCAAATAAAAACTTAAAAAAATTCCAAAGGCAGAAATTGCACAAGTCAAATTATCTGTTAAAAACAAACTATAAATAAATAACACCAGGTTAACAAAAAGGGCAAAATATTTAGAACTTTTAAAAATCATTTATAGAAATTATTTTGGGGGAAAGAGGAAATTAAAATGGCAGCTTCTGTTTATGTACAAAACAACAAAAGGAACCCTACCTTTCAAAACTGATAAGATGTAAACAACCCTGTAATCAGAGGCAAAATTGTTATGTTAAGTGTTTCTATTAAGAAAGAATTTTAAAAATAAAATGTTTCACATAAAAGAAGTATGAAAAAGAACAAAATGACCCAAAGTAGCAGGTAGACAGAATCAAACCTAATAAAAGCAGACATTACTGAAACAAATAATAGAAATAAATGTTAAATAAAACCATGACCTGGGTCTTTGATAAGATCAATAAAATAAAACTCTAGAGAGGCGGGGCATGGTGGCTTACACCTGTAATCCCAGCACTTTGGGAGGCCAAGGCAAAAGAATCACTTGACCCCAGAAGTTGGAGAACGGCCTGGGAGACATAGCAAGACGCTATCTTCTACAAAAAATACAAAAATTAGCCAGGCATGGTGGTGCATGACTGTGTTCCCAGCTACTTACTTGGGAGACTGAGGCAGAAGGATTGATTGAGCCTGGGAGGTCAAGGCTACAGTGAGCAATGGTCACACCACTGCACTACAGCCTGGGTAACAGAGTGAGACCCTATCTCAAAAAAAAAAAAAAAAAAAAAAAAACAAACAAACAAAGAAACAAACAAACAAAACCTCTAGAGAGACTTATCAAGGAAAATAGAGCACATATTTCAAAGTTTGGAAATAAAGGCCGGGCAGGCGGCTCATGCCTGTAATCCCAGCACTTTGGGAGGCCGAGGCGGGTGGATCACTTCAGGTCAGGAGTTCAAGACCAGCCTGGCCAACATGGTGAAACCCCGTTTCCATTAAAATACAAAAAGTAACCAGCCATGATGGCACGCACCTGTAATCCCAGCTATTTGGAAGGCTGAGGCAGGAGAATCGTTTGAACCCAGGAGGCAGAGGTTGCAGTGAGCTGAGATCGTGCCACTGCACTCCAGCTTGGGCGACAGAGCAAAGCTCCATCTCAAAAAAAAAAAAAAAATGGAAATAAAAAATGGAGTTTAGCCAAAAATGCAGTGGAGACTTAGAAAGCTGTAAGAGAATATTTTGTCAATTCTATGCTAATAACATTGCATTTTTGAGATAATTTTATGCCACTTTTTTTTTTAAGCCAAGTTATATGGTGAATGTTGCTTACTAGTAGATTTCCTAAAACAGCATTTCCTACATTCCTAAAATATGCTGGGTTTTCTTTGGTACTATCTTATTTAAGATAAGATATTCATAAGTGAGTTTTGTTATATAGTTGTTCTTTGTGACATGATTTTCAGGTTTTGATGTGGCTTTGACAAAAAGTATGAACATCTTTTATTTCTCCGTGCCTGGATACAATTTATATAGAAGCAGAATTGCTTATTTCTTGGCTATTTGGAAGACTTTATCTAAAACTCCTGTGGGTCTGGTGAATTTGGGGTGGGAAGCTGGTTAACATTTACAGTTTTGTTTCTGCTTGCTGTTTTATTTCAGAGTTCTAAAACTGTGGACAATTAGTTACATTTTTCTAGAAAATAATCTACTTCATTCAGATTTTCAAATTTCATTGCACAGTTTTGCAAGGTACAAAGCCATTTCATTTCCTCTTTGTTATGATATTTCCTCCACTCTGTTTCTTTGTGTTTGTTTGTTTGTTTTTGAGGCAGAGTCTCACTCACTCTGTCCCCTAGACTGGGGTGCAGTGGCACGGTCTTGGCTCACTGCAACCTCTGCCTTCCCAATTCGAGCAATTCTCCTGCCTCTACCTCCCAAGTAGCTGGGATTACAGGCATGTGCCACCATAACCAGCTAATTTTTGTATTTTTAGTAGAGACAGGGTTTCACCATGTTGGCCAGGCTGGTCTTGAACTCCTGACCTCAAGTGATCTACCTCGGCCTCCCAAAGTGCTGGGATTACAGGTATGAGCCACAGAGCCCCACCCACCCTGTTTCTAATGTTGTGTTTTTGAGCTTTCTTCCTCTTTTTTTCCTGATTAGTTGACTTTTCAATTATTTATTTTACTCTAACCAACTCACCCCAAAGAGTTTGCTCTTACATTAATTAATTCTATTTTTTTGTGTATTTTCTTTTCTTTTTCTTTTTTTTTGTTTTGAGTCAGGGTCTCACTCTGTCACTCAGGCTGGAGTGCAGTGCAGATCATTGCTCACTGCAACCTCTGCCTCCCTTACTCAAGCGATCCTCCCACCTCAGCCTCCCAAGTAGCTGGGACTATAGGCGTGCGCTACCACACCCGGCTAATTTTTGTATTTTTTGTAGAGTTGGAGTTTTGCCATGTTGCCCAGGCTGGTCTTGAACTCCTGAGCTCAAGCAATCCACCCGCCTCAGTCTCCCAAAGTGCTGGGATTACAGGCACTTTGCAGTAGGACCCATTGCACCCCACCATTATTTTATTTTCTAATTCGCCCATTTATTATTTTATTCCTTCTTATTTCTTAGAATAATTTGTTGTTTTTCTAACTTCTTTGAGTGAATACTAAACTCACTTACTTTCTTTGTCCTTCTCTACTTATGCCTTTGTTTAGGGCTCTGTTCTACTTAACAATCCAGTTTTAGTCATAGGACAGAGGTTTTGCTATGTATTAATTTCATTTTGTTATTCAAGATGTTGAGAAATTTGGGTTTAAATTTTTTCTTTGATCTGTCTGTCTCTGTGTCTCTCTCCTCGTGCCCTCAAAAAACGCTCCCTTTTACCAAGTGGTGGGTGGTAGAATTTTCCCCTTCCAATTTTGTTGGTCTTGCTCTGTTACCCAGACTGGCTGCAGTGGTACAAACATGGCTCACGGCAGCCTCTGTCCCCTGGGCTCAAGCAATCCTCCTCCTTCAGCCTCCCAAGTAGCTGGAACTACAGGTGTGCACCACTATGCCAGGATAATGTTTGTATTATTTGTAGAGACAGGGTCTTGCTATGTTGTCCAGGCTGGTCTCAAACTCCTGGGCTCAAGCAATCCTCCTGTCTTGGCCTCCCAAAATGCTGGGATTACAGGCATGAGCTATCACACCCAGCCCTATCTTTCTTGTACTGTGACTAGAAAGTGGTCTCTACTCTTTCTCCATTTTGAATTTTGTTAAGATTTTCTTCATGGCCTGATACATCATCTATTACCATGAAAATTCCATAGGCACATAAAAGATGTATCCTCTATTATTAGTGCATAGTATTCGACATAAACTACAAAGTCGGCCTTATTAAATATACATTGAGATCCTCTAAATTTTTATTTTTAATTTTTTTATCTACTGCAAGCTGGGAGAGGTGAGCTATAGTCATATGTTAGTCTTGGTGTCTGTTGGAAGCTGATGCTGTAATTATTTTGATGCCATTTTATTTTATTTTATTTTTTTAACTTTTTATTTCTGTAGGTTTTGGGGGGAACAGGTAGTGTTTGGTTACATGAGTAAGTTCTTTAGTGGTGATGCGTGAGATTTTGGTGCAGCCATCACCCAAGCAGTATACACTGAACCCAGTTTGTAGACCTTTATCCCTCACCCCCTTCCTACCCTGTCCCCCTGAGTCCCCAAAGTCCCTTGTGTCATTCTTATGCCTTTGCATCCTCATAGCTTAGCTCCCACTTATGAGTGAGAACATACGATGTTTGGTTTTCCATTCCTGAGTTACTTCACTTCGACTAATAGTCTCCAATCCCATTCAGGTTGCTGCGAATGCCATTAGTTCATTCCTTTTTATGGCTGAGTAGTATTCCATCATTCATATATATATATATCAGATTTTTAATCCACTCGTTGATTGATGGGCATTTGGGTTGATTCCACATTTTTGCAGTTGTGAATAGTGTGAATTGTGCTGCTATAAACATGCGTGTGCAAGTTTGATGCCATTTTCTGTTGTGTTCTCACATTGAAGCTTTAGCCTAACTCTTAGTGCCCTTTGTCATTATAAAATGCCCCCATTTGTCTAGGTTGCCTCCCTTAACCTTAGATTCAACATTGTCTGATATTAATATCATGAATTCAGCTTTCTTTTTCTTTTTTCTTTTTTTTTTCTTTTTTTTTTTTTTTTTTTTGAGACGGAGTCTCGCTCTGTCGCCCAGGCTGGAGTGTAGTGGAGCGATCTCGGCTCACTGCAAGCTCCGCCTCCCGGGTTCACGCCATTCTCCTGCCTCAGCCTCCCGAGTAGCTGGGACTACAGGTGCCCGCCACCACGCCAGGCTAATTTTTTGTATTTTTAGTAGAGACGGGGTTTCACCGTGTAAGCCAGGATGGTCTCGATCTCCTGACCTCGTGATCCACCCATCTCGGCCTCCCAAAGTGCTGGGATTACAGGCGTGAGCCACCACGCCCTGCCCAGCTTTCTTCTTCTTAACCTTTATCTGGTATGTCTTTAAGAAAAATTTTTTTTCAATAGCTTTAGGGGTACAGGTGGCTTTTTGTTATGTGGATGAATTATGTAGCGATGAATTCTGAGATTTTAGTGCGCCTGTCAAAGGAGGAGTGTACATTGTACCTAATGTTCAGTTTTTTACCCTTAGCCTCCCTCCCACCCTTCCCCTTCTGAGTCTCTCAAGTCCATAATATCACTGGGTAAGGTATGTCTTTGCTTATACTTTTAATTTCAGTTTTCCTAAGAAACTGTATGGCATATTTTTTTTGTTTTCAACCAAAGTCAGGTTTTGCCTTTTTGACCTCACCTAAAAGTCTTTCTCTTTAAATTGCTTTGTTTTGTTTTGTTTTGTTTTGGAGACAGAGTCTCACTCTGTCCCCGGTCTGGAGTGCAGTAGCGCCATTTTGGCTCACTGCAACCTCCGCCTCCCAGGTTCAAGCGATTCTTCTGCCTCAGCCTCCCGAGTAGCTGGAATTACAGGCACCTGCCACCACACCCAGCTAATTTTTGTACTGTTAGTAGAGACGGGGTTTCAACATGTTGGCCAGGATGGTCTCGATCTCTTCACATCGTCATCCGCCCGCCTCGGCCTCCCAAAGTGCTGGGATTACAGGCATGAGCCACCTCACCTGGCCTACATCCTTATTCTTTACAGCATAATATTCTGTAGTGTAAATGTGTCACACTTTACCATACTCTTATTGAGGGTGCAATTAACTCATTAATGGATCAAGTAATTAATGCCCAGTGTGGCAAGGAAACAGAGACACGATCATGTTTCTACAGTACTGGTAGAGTTTTTAACTGATACAGTCCCCAAAAGGTATAAGATATCAAAGATCTTAAAAACATATGTACTCTGTAGTCCTAGTTGCTTAGGAGGCTGAGGAAGGAGGACTCCTAGAGCCCAGGAATTCAGTGGTGCGGTGAGCTATGATTGCACCACTGCACTCCAACCTGGGCAATGGAGTGAGATACTGCCTCTAAAAACCAAGCAACCAACATACAAAAATCTGTGCTCTTTAATTCATGTATAGAAATTCCACGTATAAAAATTCCATGTATAGAAATTTATCTTAAGATAATTATATGGCTGGGCACGGTGGCTCATGCCTATAGTCTCAGCACCTTGGGAGGCTGAGGCAGGAGGATTACTGGAGTCCAGAAGTTCCAGAACAGCCTAAGCAACATGGTGAGACATCGTCTCTATTTAAAAAAATACAAAAAAACTCCCCGTCTCTATAAAAAGTACAAAAAGTTAGCCAGGCGTGGTGGCGCACACCTGTGATCCCAGCTACACAGGAGGCTGAGACTGTGGAATCACTTGAGCGTGGGAGGCTGAGGCTGCAGTGAGCCATGATCGTGCCGCTGTACTCCAGCCTGGGTGTCAGAGCAAGACCCTGCCTCAGAAAAAAACAAAAAAAAAAGGATAATTAGATAATTATAGAAGAGCCTAATGATTACTCTGCAAGAATCATTATGGGTGCCTTATTTGGAAGCGTAAAAATGTTGGAAATAACCCAAATATCCAGCATTAGGGGAAATGGTTGAGAAAATTACAAATCCATCCAGTGGAATCTACAGGGCCATTAGCAGTGCAAGCAGGTGGTGAAGGGACCTTCATCTTATTTGCAGAGAGGCCATGCATAGGCATGCTAGCAGGTGTATTTTTCATTGTACTTTCACTGACCTTACAATATGTGGAAATGGTTCTTCAATTCTGGCAATAGAATAACTCCTCGTCCTGGTTCTGGTGAAGGCATGACAGCTGTGGGCATGCATGTGTGTGCTGGTGTATATGCACACACACATACATGCTCAAACTCTTAAACAGGAGCTTCTGCAAACGTGTAATAAGCTGGAGAAAGTCATTTTCATCAGCATCACCTCCATGAAGAGCACTGGGTTTATTTGAAAGAAATTTCTTGATGAATTGCTTAGAAGAGGATATGAGATCACAAATGATCTCAGTGTGTTCAGAACTGCCTTGCAAGAGGCAAGCAGGGGCCTCTTTCAGTTTACTCCAGAGGAAGTGAGAAAACAGAAGAGGGAGTGGGAAGATGTGTCGGGGAGTCCCCAAGACACGCTCAGGTATGACGATTTGCTGCAAAGAATCGCAGAACTCAAAAAAGCTGTTGTATTCACAGTTACAGCTTAACACAGTGGAAGGATGCGGATTAAAAATCAGCAAAGGGGCCAGGCGCGGTGGCTCATGCCTGTAATCCCAGCACTTTGGGAGGTCGAGGCCGGCGGCCTTGTCACTTGAGCTCAGGAGTTCGAGACCAGCCTGGCCAACATGGCAAAACCCCGTCTCTACTAACATATAAGAATTAGCCAGGCATGGTGGTTGGCACCTGTAATCCCAGCTCCTTGGGAGGCTGAAGCAGAAGAATCACGTGAACCTGGGAGGTGGAGGTTGCAATGAGCCGAGATCCAGCCACCGCACTCCAACCTTGGTGACAGAGTGAGACTCCATCTCAAAAATAAATAAATAGATAAACAAAATCAGCAAAGGAAAAAGGTGCTCAGGGCAGAATCCAGGCAGGAGCTTGCAGCTGTACCCTCCTAGATAGTCATATGTGCAGTGCTTAAGTCTCCCAGCAATGATGTGTGACAACACACGCAAAACACTGCCAACCAGGGGAACTCACCTGAGCCTTAGTGTCCATGGCTTTTCTTGGGGATCAGTTACCCAGTGTCCAGCCCCTCCAGAGGTCAGGCTGATACAGCATGACCGCAGGCACCCACCATAAATCATGTTGTTAGCATCAACTACCCGGCATGGCCCAAGGCCCCAGATATACAGAAGCCCTCTTATCAGGCAGAATATTTTAAGCCGTTAGCAGTTATCCTGCAGGAACAGGTGAAGAGCCAGTCCTTCCTCTGAGATGTGCAGGGTTTAACCATCCCAAGCCTCTTGAGATAACCCTGTAGTGAACAGAAGAGAAGGGGAAATGAAGGTAAGGAGGCTGGGAGTGGTGGCTCATACCTGTAATCCCAGCACTTTGGGAGGTGGAAGCAGAGGCGGGTGGATCACCTGAGATCAGGAGTTTGAGACCAGCCTGGCCAACACGGCGAAACCCCATCTCTACTAAAAATACAAAAATTAGCTGAGCATGGTGGCGCTCACCTGTGATCCCAGCTATTCGGGAGGCTGAGGCAGGAGAATCGTTGCACCTTGGAGACGGAGATTGCAGTGAGCTGAGATCATGCCACTGCACTCCAGTGTGGGGGACAGAGTGTGACCCAAATAATAATAAAATTCCAAATAATAAATAAATAACAATATTTATTATGTATTATTAATTTAATAAATTCATATTATAAATTTATTAAATTTATAAATTTAATAAATATGAATATAATAAAAATAATATATTTTATTTTTAAATATAATAAATATAAATATAAATATAATAAAAATAAATATAATAATATATAATAAATATAATATATATATTTTTAAAATATAATATATTTTTAATAATATATTTTAATTTATTTAAATATTTTAAATATATTTATTTTAAAATATAATAAATATAAATATATATTATTAATAAATATATTTATTAATAATAAATTTATTATTTATTATTTATTATTTATGTCTCCAAATAATAAAATAAAAAATAAAGTAGGGAGAGATCAGAAGACTCTTGTGTATAGGGTGCCTTGCAGTAATCCCCAAATCACACACACACACACACACACACACACACACACACACACACACAAAACCTATAAGAAATCCCAGAAACCTTTCTGTAAATGAAGGTCGAGTTTTGCATCAGAGAAAACGTGTTTGATTGAGGCCAGGGTGGTGGAGAACGGAAGTGACGACAGACAGAAGCCAGCAGAAGTAAGGCACGAGGCTCCACAGAATCACGGGATGGTTGCAGCCAGATTCTAACATCAGAGGGGCAGGATTTGAAGTGGAGAGGCTGATCTGATGAGGAGGAAGGACAAACTAACTTATTTATTTATTTGTTTGTTTATTTATGTTAGAGACAAGGTCTCACTCTGTTGCCTAGCCTGGAGTGCAGTGGTTCGTGCAATCATAGCTCACTGCAGCCTTGAACTCCTGGGCTCAAGCCATCCTCCCACCTCAGCCTCTCGAGTAGCTGGGACTACAAGCTCATGTTTTTAAAACTGGCTAATTTTTTTTTAATTTTTCTTATAGACACGGGATCTTGCTATGTTGCCCAGGCTGGTCTTAAACTCCTGACCTCAAGCAGTCTTCCTGCCTTTGTCTCCTAAAGCGCTGGGATTACAGGCATGAGCCACCACATTCAGCCTGGAAAGAATTGGTAAATGGCCCCATCCCAGTTGAGTCAAAGACTCAGAGAATCAGGGCAGAGCATTAGGTTTTCATTGCCTTTTAACTCATTGGGTGAATCTAATGTGTAGCCAGGGTCAAGACCCACTGCTCCAAGGTGTTTTCTTCACAGTCATAACAATAGTCTTGTTCCATATTACCTTAAAATAGTTTCTCAACCTCAGCACTATTCACATTTTGGGTAGGATAATTCTTTGTTCTGAGAGGCTGTTTGGTAGATTGTAGGATGTTTCTTTGGCAGTATCCCTGGCCTTTACCCCACTATAGTCTAGTAGCACTCCCTTCCCAGTTATGACAATAAAAAATGTCTCCAGACATTGTCAATTGACCAGTCCTAGCTGGTCAAAATCTCCTCTGGTTGAGAACTACTGCCTTGCAAGAATTATTGAAGTTGTCACTTGTGGAAAATTTGCTTGCAGGGACAAATCTTTCCCTGCAACTCGTCTGTCTATGCTCTGCTAGCATATCAATCAAATCTTTGTGAGGTGTTGGTGGTGGTGCGGGGCAGCTGATTGAGGTTCCTTTTCAGTGGAAAGTTGTGAGTGGTTGTACTGAAGAAATGGTACATGCCAGCATAAATGGGAAACCTTCTGAGTGTTTGTGAGAAATGATGTTCAAGAGAATAAGTGTGCCAGGAGCGGTGGATCACGCCTGTAATCTCAGCACTTTGGGAGGCTGAGGTGGAAGGATGGCTTAAAGTCAGAAGTTTGAGACCAGCTGGGGCAGCATAGCAAGACCCCATCTCTACAAAATTTTAAAAATTAGATGGGCAGCCAGGAGCAGTGGCTCATGCCTGTAATCCCAGTACTTTGGGAGGCCAAGGCGGGTGGATCACGAGGTCAGGAGATTGAAACCATCCTGGCTAACACAGTGAAACCCCATCTCTACTAAAAATACAAAAGAAAAAATTAGCCAGGCGTGGTGGCAGGTGCCTGTAGTCCCAGCTACTTGGGAGGCTGAAGCAGGAGAATGGCATGAACCCGGGAGGCAGAGCTTGCAGTGAGTCGAGATCGCGCCACTGCACTCCAGCCTGGGAACAGAGCAAGACTCCGTCTCAAAAAAAAAAAAAAAAAAATTAGATGGGCATTGTGACACATGCCTGTGGTCCCAGCTACTCAGGAGGTTGAGGTGGAAAGATCACTTGAGCCCCAGAGGTCAAGGCTGCCAATGAGCTATTGGCACTGCACTCCAGCCCAGATGACAGAGCAAGACCCTGTCTTAGAGAAAAAAAAAAAAAAAAAAAAAAAAAAAAAATATATATATATATATATATACATATGGCAGGGGCAGGGGCAGTGGTGACAGCTGGAAAAAATCTCAACTCCAACATTTACTCACTGGCTTATCTTGGTTGTCTAGTTAGTTTTTACTAACCGAAGGCACTCCAAAACTTAATTGCTTAAAAAAACACCACTCTTGGCTGGGCATGGTGGCTCACACCTGTAATCCCAGCATTTTGGGAGGCTGAGGCGGGTGGATCATTTGGGATCAGGAGTTCGAGAGCAGCCTGGCCGATATGACGAAACACCATCTCTACTAAAAATACAAAAATTAGCAGGGCGCAGTGGCACGTGCCTGTAGCCCCAGCTACTCAGGAGGCTGAAACAGGAGAATTGCTTGAACCCAGGAGGTGGAAGTTACAGTGAGCCAAGATCATGCCACTGCACTCCAGCCTGGGTGACAGAGCAAGACTCCATCTCAAATAAATAAGTAAAAATAAAAAGAACACCACTCTTTACTGCTTATGAGTCCATTGGTCAGTGAGGGTGGTTTTTCTGGTCTCATCTGGACTTTTTGATGTATCTGTGATCAGCTGCTGGCTGGAGTGGTGGCTCTGCTGACCTTGGCTGGGCTCTGTCCCGTGCCTGGGCCTCAGCTAGGACAAATGGACTCCTCTCATCCTGCAGAAGACAGGCCTGGCCCCCTGCACATGGCAACAACAGGGATCCCAAAGTATTCCCAGGAAACTGACAAGGCCTCTTGAGGCCCAGACTCAGAACTGACCCATCATGCCATCTGCTGCACTATTGTGGTCCAAGTAGATCATAAGGCCAGTAGGCAGGAAAACGGATTTCTCTCTTAATAAGAGGAGCTGCAAAGTCACTTAGTAAAGTGACCACAATGTGACAGACAGGGAGGGGAGGAGAACTGTGGTCAATCTACCACATCTGGGAAAAGTACTGAACCTCATTAAGCCTCAGTTTTCTCATCTGTAGAATAGAAATAGTATTACCTACCCCCCAGTTGTTATGAAGATTCAATGACTAGCGCATAGTTAGTGCACTACTAATGATAGCTATTATTGTTGTCATATCGTTCCACTGTTTAATATATTTCAGTATGTTGGGCATGGTAGCTCACACCTGTAATCCCAGCACTTTGGGAGGCTGAGGCAGGAGGATGACTTGAGGCCAGGAGTTCAAGACCAGCCTGGGCAACATACCAAGAAAATTTTTTGAGTTAGCTGGGCGTGATGGCACATGCCCATAGTCCCAGGTACTCAGAAGGCTGAGGCAGCAGAATCTCTTGGGCCCAGAATTTTGAGGCTGCAGGGAGCTAGGATTGCACCACTGCACTCCAGTCATGGCAACAGAGCAAGACCCTGTGTCTTAAAACATTACATATATATAGGCTGGGTATGGTGGCTCACGCCTGTAATCCCAGCATTTTGGGAGGCTGAGGCTGGAGTATCACCTGAGGTCGGGAGTTCAAGACCAGCCTGACCAACATGGTGAAACCCCCTCTCTACTAAAAGTACAAAAATTAGCCAGGCGTGGTGGCGCATGCCTGTAATCCCAGCTACTTGAGAGGCTGAGGCAGGAGAATTGATTGAACCCAGGAGGTGGAGGTTGCGGTGAGCCAAGATTGTGCCAAGCCAAGATCATGCCATTGCACTCCAGTCTGGGCAACAAAAGCAAAACTCCATCTCAAAAAAAAAAGAAAAAGAAAAAAAGAAAAGAAAAGAAAAATAAATTACATATATATATGTATATGTATATTTCAGCGCTTGCACTTTACTCAGTGAATAAGTGCAATTTACAAAGCCTTCATGATCTGGGCCAGTCCCTCGGCTCTACCCGACTTCCCCCACTGGGCTTCAGTGCCTCTGAACTACTTAAGCAGTCTGAAACTGGCATCACGCTTGCCTCCATTTTTATCACCAAGGCCATGCTTTCCACCTGGCATTGGCCACCGGAACAATTAGACTCAGCAGAGATGCAGTCTGCTCTAGGGCCTACTTCTTACCCTGCCTTTCCCGCCCCCTCTGAGAAGAGGTAATTATTCACCCTTAATTAAGGCCAGCCATGACCTTAGATGGGAAAGAACATGGAACATTTGATGTCATTGAATTACTCAGTGAGAAAGTCATTCTTCCTTTGGTTGCTTTGCAGCACTTCTGATTAAAAAGGAAAAAGTTTCATTTTGTGCTAGTGTGCCTTTAACACCTCTCTGAGCCTTGCCAACCTCCCTTTGAACAGAGTGAGCCTGAGTCTCTGAAAGTTCAACAGGAAAAGGGTATTAGCTGGAATGCGACGACACAATTAGTCTCGTTGTTTTTATTTTTATGGGTTTTTTTTTTCATGGCAAGTGATGCTAATTTCACATTTTCCACAGTGCGATCCAGATTTCTTCAAACCACATTTATTTGACCAATGAAAGGGGGATCAATTTAAAGAGAAATAAAGCCTTAAATAAATAACAATGTGAGTGGTACTCAGGACTAAAATAGAGAGGGGAAACTTGAGGGATGAGTTTGGGAAAATCCTGAAATAGATCATCTGTACAATCTCTTCTAATAAAAATCCTGGCGGGGCATTCACACTTATAATCCCAGCAGTTTGGGAGACTGAGTTGGGTGGACTGCTTCAGCCCAGGAATTCGAGACCAGCCTGAGCAACATAGTCTCTACAAAAAATTTAAATATTAGCTGAGTGTGGCAGCGTGCCCCTGTAGTCCCAGCTACTCAGGAGGCTGAGGTGGGAGGATCACTTGAGCCCAGGAGGCAGAGGCTGCAGTGAGCTCAGATTGCAACACTGCACTCCAGCCTGGGCAACAAGCAAGACTCTGTCTCAAAAAAAAAAAAATCCTATAGCTCCCATAGGATTCCCTGGTTGTTTGTTGAGTCATGCCTTTGTTGGACACTAGATTCACAGTCTATGAGGGCAGTGACTGTGTCTGGGCAGTGACTGTGTCTTCTCAGCCTTTGCTCCCAGCTCCTTACAAAAGTGCTGGCAAATTCAAGCACTCCAGTACCATTCGTGGGAGAGGACTGAGTCGCCAGTGATTCATCATCCTGTCCTCAGCTGAATTGTGTAATCCCCATGGTGCTGGCAGGAGGAGGAATAACAGTACTTGTTTTAGTAGTAAGAGTAGTAATAGTAATAGTAGCACCAACAGTAATAGAAGTAGTTGTTATAGTAATAATAGCAACCATTTACTGGGTTCATTATATGAGCCAAGTATTAGGCTTAATGCTATATGCATCCACTCATTTTGTTCTCGTTATGACCCTATGAGGCAGCTACTTTTTTTTTTTTTTTTTTTTTTTTTTTAGACAGAGTCTCACTCTGTCACCCAGGCTGGAGTGCAATGGCGTGATCTTGGCTCACTGCAACCTCTACCTCCCAGGCTCAAGCAATTCCCATGCCTTAGCCTCCCTAGTAGCTGAGACTACAGGTGCATGCCACCATGCCCAGCTAATTTTTGTATTTTAAGAAGGGACGGGGTTTCACCGTGTTGCCCAGGCTGGTCTTGAACTCCTGAGCTCAAGCAATCCACCCACCTCGGCCTCCCAAAGTGCTGGGATTACAGGCGTGAGCCACCACACCCAGCCAGCTGTTCTTATTATCTCCATTTTACAGATGAGGACATTGAGGCTTAATGTGGGAAAATAGTTTGCCCAAAGCCACTTAGCTGGGAAGTGGCAGAGCTGGGAGTCTAAGGTCAGTCTCACTCCCAGGTTGGTGCCCTTCAGGACTGCAGAAACAACCCTTCCCGCAAGGGTCTCCCAGATGCAATGCGTTGCACCTTTCTGGAGGCTACGGGGCTGCTGTTTCAGCAATTCATGTATAATTTAAGGGAATTTGGAAGCAGTCTGGATATTTAAATGATGTCTTAGTAATGTAAAAATCTGCTTCTCTTCAATCTGTATTCTTTTCAAATTCAGTAGACTATCTGAGAACTCTCCTGTCTGTACTCCCTCTCCAAATACCTGCTTGGCCCCACCTGTGCCCTGCCCAGCCTCCGATCTCTCTCATTTCACTGAAGAAATGAGATTCGGATGGAAAAATACTGGTACAAGCTTGACCGAGCTTCTCTAACAGACACTGTGCATCACGCATCAGCTGCTGCTGTTGCTATGGTGACAGCCACAATTTCTCCCAGACAGCTTGGGTCTGAAGGGAGGGTGGACCCTTGGGGAACAAGTGGATCTCTCCAACCTGTCAGTCCCTCTCACCTTGCCCGTTTCTCTCACCTCCCCCACTCCCGCCAGCCCCCACACTTCCTTACATGATGCTGACAGGGGGTACCAGCACCCCCAGGCCATCGTAATTAGCATCTGGCCGTGATCCCAGTCTCCTGGCAGCACATTCCTCATCTTCCTCGCCAGCCAATCTCCTTTCCCCAGCAACCCTCCGACAGCACTGCAGCAGCTGCCGCACCGACAGCCTCCGCGCCAAGGTCACCCACCACCAGCACCAGCAATGACGAAGCACCCGCCTGCTCCCTGGGTGGACATGACACCGTTAATGCCTCACTGTGTCTAAACCATTTGGGGTCAGAAAATTGTGATTCTAAAAAAAAGAGAGGTTGTCCTTAGGAAGATGGGTGAGGCTAAACTCCAGTTGCTGGAGGGGCTAAGAGATTCATACGGCTTAAGTTTCATCGCTTAAGGTCTCCAGGAGAGAGGGAACTGAGCAGGAGGGGCATAAGACATTCCAGAAGGGTGAGGAAAGAATGAGACAAGTTTGCGCATTGACGCGGCTTGGACTCTGGGGTGCTGAAGATGCTGGTGGTGATGAGGTGGAGGATGCTGGTTGGAATGATGGTGATGGCAATGGCTCATTTATTCAGCATCCGTGATGTGCCAGACACTGCACTAGGCGCTGTGCAGGCACTATGCCCTGCAGTTCTCGCACTGCCTGGGGAGTAGAATGTGGTACCCATGTGGTGGCTACTGTCACTGCGCCCATTTCACAGATGGGGAAATCGAGCCTAGAAAACACCCCGAGGAAACAATCACACGAATCCAAAATGTGAGATGTTTCCATGACAACTAGCCTGGATGAGCTCTTAAAAATATCAATGTCAGGCCAGGTGCAGTGGCTCACGCCTGTAATCCCAGCGCTTTGGGAGGCCGAGGTGGGAGGATTGCTTGAGCCAAGGACTTCAAGACCAGCCTGGGCAACATAGTGAGACCCTGTCTTAATAAAATTAAAAAATAAAAATCAGTGTCACTTACAAAAGGGTAGAAATCTTTTCTAGAAAAAAAGAGTAAAGAGACAAAAACCAAATGCAATTTCTGATCCTACATTGGATCCTGACCAGAAAAATTAAAACAGTCATAAAAAGACATTTGAGGGACAGTTGGTGAAATTTTAATATGGACAGCATGTGAGATTGTGTTAGGAAATCATTTTTAATTCTCTTCAAGAGTGATTCGGGAGTTGTGTTTGTGTAGGAAAGTGTTCTTTGTTTATTTTATTTTATTTATTTATTTTTTGAGACGGAGTCTTGCTATGTCACCCAGGCTAGAGTGCAGTGGCGTGATCTCGGCTCACTGCAAGCTCCGCCTCCCGGGTTCACGCCATTCTGCTGCCTCAGCCTCCCCAGCAGCTGGGACTACAGGCGCACGCCGCCACGCCTGGCTAATTTTTTTTTCTTTGTATTTTTAGTAGAGATGGGGTTTCACCGTGTTAGCCAGGATGGTCTCAATTTCCTGACCTCGTGATCCGCCCTCCTCGGCCTCCCAAAGTGCTGGGATTACAGGCGTGAGCCACCGCGCCTGGCCCTTTGTTTATTTTTTACTTGTTTATTTTTTTTGAGACAGGGTCTCACGAAGTCACCCAGGCTGGAGTGCAGTGGTGTGATCACGGCTCACTGCAACCTCAACCTCCTGGGCTCAGGCGATTTTCCCATCTCAGCCTCCTGAGTAGCTGGGACTACAAGCATGCACCACCATGCCTGGCTAATTTTTGCTATTTTTTGTAGAGACAGGAGACTTGCCATATAGCTGAAGCTGGTCTCCAACTCCTGGGCTCAAGTGATCCTTCCACTTCAACCTCCCAAAGTGCTAGGATTACAGGCATCATGAGCCGCTGTGCCTGGCCTGTTCTTCTTAGATGATACAGGCTGAAGTATTTAGAGAAGTGTCATGATGCCTGTAACTTACTTGTAGATATACTTACATACATATGCATGTATTTACATATAAATACAGCAAAATATTAACAATTTTTGAACCTAGATAGTTCATCATTGTGTCATCAATAGTACTATTCTGGCTGGGCACAGTGGCTCATACCTGTAATCCCAGCACTTTGGGAGGCCAAGGCAGGAGGATTGCTTGAGCCCAGGAGTTCAAGATCAGCCTGGACAACATAGTGAGACCCTCATCTCTACAAAAAATATTTTAAAACTTAGCCAGGTGTGATGGCACACACCTGTAGTCCCAGCTACTCAGGAGGCAGATGTGGAAGAATTGCTCGAGGCCAGGAGTTTGAGACCAGCCTGGGCAACAAAGCAAGACTCCCTCTCTACAAAAATTTTTTAAAAATTAAAAATAAAAATAAAAAAAGATAGTACTATTCTTTCAACTTTTCTGTGTGTGTACAAACTTTGATAATGAGAGTCCTGAGGGTAAGTAGAAAAGTAAGTAACTTGACCAAGATTGAAGGTCACACAGCTATCAAATTTCAAAGTGAACTCAAATCTGGTCCACTGGGCTTCAAAGCTATGTTCTGGAACTGTGTTCCACAGCCTTCCCAGAGACAGGGCTTCGCTCACCGAGGGATGCCTGTAGGTCCACTTTGCAAGGGGCCATGTCCCAGGCAAAGATAAGGAAGTAGATTCTGGCAGGGTGTGAGAATCCCACCAGCTCGAGCAGTGAAACAATCTTCCAACAACTCATTCAGGAAATTTATTTTATTTATTTATGTTTTTGAGACAGGGTCTCACTCTGTCACCCAGGCTGGAGTGCAGTGGTGCAATCACGGCTCACTGCAGCCTCAACCTCCCTGGTTTAGGTAACCCTCCCACCTCAGCCTCCCAAGAAGGTGGGACTACAGGCCTACGCCACTGTGCCCAGCTAATTTTTCTAATTTTTGTAGAGACAGACTTTTGCCAGCCCAGGGCTGGTCTTGAACTCCTGGGCTCAAGCGAACTACCCACTTCGGCCTCCCAGAATGCTGGGATTACAGGCATAAGCCACCATGTCCGGCCTCAAGAAATATTTTCGTGAGAACCGTGTAATGGGCACTAGCTGAAGTGATACAGTTGTCAATGACAAAAGTCCTCACCCTCGTGCAGCTTGGTGCATCCACGTCAGGTAACATTCTCAGAAGAGCTTGGCATCAGATACCATCCAAAACATTTCCATCATAGTTGCAGCAGAGGAAAGGGAGCTGGGAACCATTGTCTCTAATCTATGATCTTTTTTATTTTTCTTTTTTTGAGACAGGGTTTGGCTGTGTCGCCCAGGCTGGAATACGGTGGTGTGATCATAGCTCACTGTAGCCTTGACCTCCTCAGCTCAAGTGATCCTCCACCTCAGCCTCCTGAGTAGCTGGAACTACAGGCTTGTGCCACCACGCCAGCTATTTTTTTATTTTTAGTAGCAACAAGGTCTCGATGTGTTGCCCAGGCTGGTCTCAGTTAAATTAAGTTTAAATTCAATAGAGGATCACTTGAGCCCAGGAATTCAAAGCTACGGTGAGCTATGATCATGCCACTGCACTCCAGCCTGGGTGACAGAGCGAGATTCTGTCTCAAACTATATATAGATATATAAATAAAATAAAATAGTATGAAATGATTCAGCGTGCCCTAAACAGTGAGTTATCAGTTTGCCAGGATGGCATTAATAATCTGGAACTAATTGGAAAGAGACTTTGCAAGTTATAGAATCTGGATTTTAGGTGAAAGTGGGCCATCCTTTCCTCTCCGTTGCAACGGAGTTCCACATAAAAGCAGGCAAATTCAATGTATTGTGACAGAAGCTGAGACTCTGTAAAGTAATTCTTTTAAATATTATTTATTCTCTTACAACACTGCCCCCACCACACACACACACACACACACACACACACACACACACACACACATCTTTGTCTAAGTCTGAACAATCATGTGACGTAAACTTTTCTTAAAGGGATCACAAGAGAGATTATGGAAAGACTGCCAAAGTAACCATCTCTGTCAAGCCATCCAAATTCTCCACCCACCAGGCAGTGGTAGCTCACACCTGTAATCCCAGCACTTTGGGAGGCCAAGGCAGGAGGATCACTTGAACCCAGGAGTTCAAGACTAGCTTGGGCAACGTATTGAGACCACTGTCTCTACAAAAACAAAAATTTTTTTAATTAGCCAGTTGTGGTGGCATGCGTCTGTAGTCCCAGCTACTCAGGAGGCTGAGGTGGGAGGATTGCTTGAGCCCAGGAGTTCAAGGTCGCAGTCAGCTATGATGACACCGCTGCACTCCAGCCTGAGTGACAGATCGAGACCCTGTTCAAAAAACCAAAAACATTCTCCAACCAACACCAATTTTATGTAATTTTATAATCCCAACATGGGGGGAAATAATCAAAGAAACACAAGCTGTGTTGTGGACAGACAGAACACATTGGAATGAATTGCAAGAGAAGTACAAAAAGATATTTTGCATGAGAAATGCTGTGATTCTTAGATAGTACGTGCCTGAATTTCCTAAGATTTCAGGCTGCCGAAGGATACAGATGCATTTTAGCTTTAAAAGAGGCTCTCCAAGCCAGGCACTGTGGTTCATATGTGTAATCCCAGCACTTTGGGAGGCCGAGGCAGGTGGATCACCTGAAGTCAGGAGTTCAAGACCAGCCTGACCAACATGGTGAAACCCATCTCTACTATAAATACAAAAAATTAGCTGGGCATGGTGGTGCACAACTGTAATCCCAGCTACTCGGGAGGCTGAGACAGGAGAATTGCTTGGACCCAGGAGGCAGAGGTTGCAGTGAGGTGAGATCACACCACTGCACTCCAGCCAGAGACTCTCTCTCTCTCTCTCTCTCTCTCTCTCTCTCTCTCTCTCTCTATATATATATATATATATATATATATATATATATATATGCACACAACACACACAGAGGCTATTCAGTATCTAAATGGGGACTCATTTTTGATATGGGAGTACCCACATAGGGTCTAGGAATTCATACCACCTCTTCCTTTGCATTCCTGGAGACCTTTGCTGCTCTGTCTGCTGGAGGTTACACAAGTTCATCATCACAGAGTCCAGGATGTCCCACCCTTGGTTTTTCTTCCTACTCTTTTCCCACTTGTCCCAAGCAATCCTGCTTATCTTGCCTATTAGAACTATTCCCCACCAATGCATTAGGGCTAAATGGAAAAGGAAGGGCTGGCAGCCTCCCAGAGACTGAAATAACCTCAAGAATGGACATTTAATTCTGATAATGCCTCAGAATTCATATATGTGCCAATAAGATAAAAAGAATCAAAAATGATTTACACCCACTTATCTCCATTTGCTCACCTCTCAATCACTCCTCAACCTTCTCCCCTGCCCACTCCCTGCTTCTAAAATTCTTCTCATCAAGGTCACTGATGGCCTCCTTTTTGCACCAATGGAGACTTCTCAATTTCTTTCATTTTTTATTTTATTGTATGTATTTATTTATTTAAGATGGAGTCTCTTGCTCTGTTGCCCAGGCTGGAGTGCAGTGGCATGCTCTTGGCTCACTGCAACCTCCACCACCCACATTCAAGCAATTCTTCTGCCTCAGCCTCTCAAGTAGCTGGGATTACAGGCATGCACCGCCATGCCCAGCTGATTTTATTTTTAAGACAAGTTCTCACTCTTTCACCCAGGCTGGAGTGCAATGGCATGATCATGGCACATTGCAACCTCAACTTCCCAGGCTTAAGTGATCTTCCCACCTCAGCCTCCTGAGTAGCTGGGACTCAGGCACACGCCACCACGCTTGGCTAATTTTTTATTTTTTGTAGAGACAAGGTCTTGCCATGTTGCTCAGGCTAGTTTTGAACTCCTGGGCTCAAGCAATCCACCCCCGTCAGCCTCCCAAAGTGCTAGGATTATAGGCGTGAGCTACTGCACCCGGCCAAGACTTCTTGATTTCTTGACTGCATTTGATCACTCTCCTTCCTTCCAATTCTCTTCTCTGAAGACTCTATGACATCCCACTCCTATCTCTCTGAGTGCTCTTTCACCTTTTATTTTTGCTTGTTCCTTTTACTTTCTGTTTTCTTTTCCCCATGCGTTAGAAATTCCTATTCTTCAAGGTTCCTCTAGCCTTCTTTTCTCTCTGCTTTCACTGGTATGGCTTTAAATATCATTGCGTGCCACTAACTTTTTATTGTCTGTCGCCAATTCAGGCATCACTTCTGGGCTGATGTCCAGTTACCACCTGAACATCATCTGGTTGTCCTACAGACTCCTTAAATTCAACATGTCCAACTCTGGCCTTCTCATCCTTCCTTAAATCTATTTCCTGTCCCGTTTCCTTTTTTTTTCTTTTTTTTTTTTTTCCCTGACAGAGTCTCGCTCTGTTGCCCAGGCTGGAATGCAGTGGTGCAATCCCGGCTCACTGCAACCTCCACCTCCCGCGTTCAAGTGATTCTCATGCCTCAGCCTCCTGAGTAGCTGGGATTACAGGCACCCACCACCACACCCAGCTAATTTTTGTATTTTTAGTAGAGACGGGGTTTTGCCAGGTTGGCCAGGCTGGTCTAAAACTCCTGACCTCAAGTGATCCGCCCACCTTGGCCTCCCAAAGTCCTGGGATTACAGACGTAAGCCACAGTGCCCGGCCCCATGTTCATTTTTCTTTTGCTCATGGAAAGGCATCAGAATCTACCAGTTGCCCAAACTTGAAACATGGGAGTTCATCCCGAGCTCCTCCCATCCGCTCACTCACCGCCTGCAATCAGTCACAGACCATGTGAGTCTCCCTGTGAAACAGTGCGTGAATTACATAGCAACTGTCTTGTTTCTTATGCTCATGATCTCTCTAGTGGCCTTGTCTTGTCTCTGCTCTTCAGTAAACTCCATGAGGGTTTGAGCTTTGTCTGTCTTGTTCCCCCTTTTATCCTCAGTACCTAAAATAGTGCCTGGTGCAAAGTAGGTAGTCAGTACATATCTGTTGGACGAATGAATAATCGTCTATCACCTCTTCCCTTGAACTGTTTGTTTCCTCTGTTCCCTCCTTTCATATCCATTGCCCGCGTGGTTGCTGGATGATCTTTGTTTTGGTAGGTGTCCTGCAAGATGGTGCCAGGGATTCTTGCCTTTTGATATTCATACGCTTGTACAATCCCCTCCCCATGACGTGAGTGTGGGCTGGATGTAGTGTAACACTTCTAATAAATAGAATATGGGGCTGAGCGCAGTGACTCATGCCTGTAATCCTAACACTTTGGGAGGCCGAGGTGGGTGAATTGCCTGAGCTCAGGAGTTCAAGACCAGCCTGGGCAACATGGCAAAACCCCATCTCTACTAAAAATACAAAAGATTAGCCAGAGGTAGTGGTGCACACCTGTAATCCCAGCTACTCCGGAGGCTGAGGCATGAGAATCACTTAAGCCCTGGAGGCAGAGGTTGCAGTGAGTTGAGATCGTGCCACTACACTCCAGCCTAGGCAATAGAGTGAGACCCTGTCTCAAAAAAAAAAAAAAAAAATAGGCTATGGCAAAAGTGATGGAATGCCGCTTCCAGTATTAGGTGATAAAAAGCTTCTGTCATGCATGTCTTTGCTTCCTTGTCCCTCTCTGAGAGAAGACAGCTATTATGCTGTGAGCTGTCCCATGGAAAGGCCCACCTGGCAAGGATCTGAAGAGAAATCTCCAGCCAACAGCCATCAGGGAGATCTGCTGATGACCAGTGCATGAGCTTAGAAGCGGATTCTCCCAGCCAGGCATGGTGGCGCATGCCTGTAGCCCCAGCTACTTGAGAGGCTGAGCTGGGAGGATCACTTGAGCCTGGGAGGTCAAAGCTGCAGTGAGCCAAGATTATACCACTGCACTTCAGCCTGGGTGACAGAGTGAGACCCTGCCTCAAAAAAGATTCTCCCAACTTGAGCTATCACATGAGACCATAGTCCTGGCCAACACCTGATTGCAACCTGCGAGAGACTGTGAGATAATATTTGTCGTTTCAAGGTGCTGAGTTCTGGGGAAAATTGTTATGCAAATATAGATAACTAATACATGACCCAGGCTCCATTTCAAACTGTGAACTCTAAACCCTCTAATGACCCGAATTAACTTGTATATACACACTAGTGGTTCAGAGAGAGACTAAGTCAATCTAAAAGTACTAATATGAAAAGACCTTTAAAACATTGAATTTTTTTTTTTTTTTTTTTTGGATATAGAGTTTCGCTCTTGTTGCCCAGGCTGGAGTGCAATGGCACAATCTCCGCTCACCGCAACCTCCGCCTCCCAGATTGAAGCAATTCTCCTGCCTCAGCCTCCCGAGTAGCTGGGATTACAGGCAAGCGCCACCACGCCTAGCTAATTTTGTATTTTTAATAGAGACGGGGTTTCTCCATGTTAGTCAGGCTGGTCTCAAACTCCCAACCTCAGGTGATCCACCCACCTTGGCCTCCCAAAGTGCTGGGATTACAGGCTGAGCCACTGCGCCCGGCCAAGACATTGAATTTTTTTTTCTCTTGAGACAGGGTCTCTCTCTGTTGCCCAGGCTGGAATGTAGTGGCACAATCTTGGCTCAAGGCAGCCTCGACGTCCAGGGCTCAAGCGATCTTCCCACCTGAGCCTACTAAATAGCTGAGACTACAGGCACATACCACCATACCTGACTAATTTTGTTTTTTTTGTTTTTTTTCAAAGACGGAGTCTTGCTCTGTCGCCCAGGCTGGAGTGCAGTGGTGTGATCTCAGCTCACTGCAACCTCTGCCTCCTGAGTTCTAGCAATTCTCCAGCCTCAGCCTCCCAAGTAGCTGGGACTACAGGCACACGCTGCCACATCTGGCTAATTTTTTGTATTTTAATAGAGACAAGGTTTTACCACGTTGCCCAGGCTGGTCTCGAACTCCTGAGCTCAGGCAATCCACCCGCCTCGGCCTCCCAAAGTGCTAGGATTACAGGCGTGAGCCACCCCACCTGGCAATTTTATTTTTTTTTAGAGACAAGGTCTCACTATGTTGCCCAGGCTGGTCTTAAACTCCTGTACTCAAGCAATCCTCCCGCTTCAGCCTCCCAAAGTGCTGAGATTACAGGTGTGAGCCACTGTACCTGGCCCACTGGATCTTTAAACAAGATTCAGAACAATATTCACTCCAGGATATCATCCATGTAAAATAAAATACAACTTAACACATTACATGTCTTCTGTAGCTACACATAAATGTATATAAATGCATTTAAATAAATCTGGAGGTAAACATATCACCTGATAGCTAGTGATTTCCTGGGGGTGCTTAAGAAGGAATTAGCTTTTGTCCACAGTTTTTAAAAATTTTATATGAAGAATATATTTGGCCAGGTACAGTGGTTCTTTCCTGTTACCCTAGCACTTTGGGAGGCTGAAGGCGGGAGGATGACTTATCCAAGACCAGCCTGGGCAACATAGCAAGACCCTGTCTTTATGCAGAAAAAAAAAAAGTATCTGGGCATGGTAGCATGTGCCTGTAGTCCTAGCTACTCTGGAGGCTGAGGAGGGAGGATTGCTTGACTCTGAGAGGTCCAGGCTATGGTGAGCCATGATCACACCACTGTACTCTAGCCTGGGTGACAGAGTCAGACACTGTCTCTTAAAAAAAAAAAAGGAGGCCCGGTGCGGTGGCTCACACCTGTAATCCCAACAGTTTGGGAGGTCGAGGCAGGCAGATCATGAGGTCAGAGTTCAAGACCAGCCTCACCAACATAGTGAAACCTCATCTCTACTAAAAATACAAAAATTAGCTGGGTGTGGTGGCACGCACCTGTAGTCCCAGATACTTGGGAGGCTGAGGCGGAAGAATCACTTGAACCTGGAGGCAGAGGTTGTGGTGAGCCAGTATCCTGCCACTGCACTCCAGCCTGGGCAACAGAGCAAGACTCCATCAAAAAAAAAAAAAAAAGGAACTATTATTTATTAGGAAGCGTTTTTTTGTTTGTTTGTTTGTTTTTTGACAGGGTCTTGCTCTGTCACCCATGCTGGACTGCAATGGCACGATTTCAGCTCACTGCAACCAACCTCTGCCTTCCATGCTCAAGCAATCCTCCTCAGCCTCCCGAGTAGCTGAGACTACAGGCGTGCACAACCACACTCGGCTAATTAAAAAAAAAAAATTTTTTTTTTGAGAGACTAGGTCTCACTGTATTGCCCAGGCTGATCTCAAACTTCTGGGCTCAAACAATCTTCCTGCCTCAGCCTCCCAAAGTGCTTAGACAGTAAAGCTTTTTATAATAAAACCAAAATAACTCAGAACCATATCAAACAGAAAGTAAAAGTCCATGTTAGCCCCATCTCTCCAATTAATAATTATTAACAATTTGTTTTATATTCTTCCATACCTTTTTTCTAAATCTAATAGATAAAAAGGATCCTATTTTATTTACCATTTTTTAACTTGGTGTTTTTTGTTTGTTTGTTTGAGACCGAGTCTTGCTTTGTTGCCCAGGCTGGAGAGCAGTGGCGTGATCTCGGCTCACTGCAGCCTACACCTCCTGGATTCAAGTGATTCTCCTGCCTCAGCCTCCCGGGTAGCTGGGATTACAGGCATGCGCCACCATGCCCAGCTAATTTTTGTATTTTTAGTAGAGACAGGGTTTTCCCATGTTGGCCAGGCTAGTCTCAAACTCCTGACCTCAAGTGATCCGCCTGCCTCAGCCTCCCAGAATGCTAGGATTGCAGGCGTGAGCCATCGCACCTGACCTAACCTGTTTTTTTTCTATTAGTAATATATTGTGGACATATTTTCATAATCATTCATAGTGAGCTACTAATTTTTTCTGCCTAGTTGCATGTCATTCCATTGTATACATGTGTTGTAATTAGTCCAACTGTTAAAATATAAGCTCCATGAAAACAGGGCTTTTTCAGATTTATTTGCTGCTCTATCCTTAGGGGCTAGAACAGTGCTTGATGCTTAATAGGCACCCAACAAATGGGAATTAATTAATTAGTCAACTACTGATAGACAACTGGTTTGATTGTACCCCAGTACATTACTATTTTCACACTACCATAATTATTTCCTTGAGATAAATTCCTAAAGATGAAACTGCTGAGTCAAAAGGGATGCATATTTTAAAATGTTGCAACGTGTTGCCAAACTCCTCTGTATTTAGCTTGTACTATATTATATTCCCGCCCATCTGTCGATGAAAGCACCTCTGTTCCCCACGGCCTCGCCAGTATAAGTATCATTCATCTCTGATGTAAGTTGTGATAGGATAGTCAACTGTCTGTAAATGTTGTACGGGGGAATTGGAGAGTGGCTATTTTGTGAAACTGGGCAGAATGCACACAGTCTACCAGATCTACTTGAGTAATTAATGTAAACAAAGAATGCATCAGTCAAGGGAAGGAAAGAGAAGACATGTTCAAATTAGGTCATGAAAGGAGGACTTGTTTGATTTTTTTTTTTTTAAAGGCAGGGTCTTGCTCTGTTGCTCAGGCTGGAGTGCAGTGGTGTGATCTCAGCTCACCGCAGCCTCAACCTCTCAAGGTCAAGCGATACTCTCACCTCGCCTCCCAAGTAGCTGGGACTACAGGCGTGCACCACCACGCCCAGCTTTTTTTTTTTTTTTTTCAGTAGAGATGGGGTTTTGCCATATGGTCCAGGCTGGTCTCAAACTCCTGGACTCAAGCGGTCTGCCTGCCTCGGCCTCCCTAAGTGCTGGGATGACAGGCATGAGCTACCACACGCAGCTGAAGGAAGATTGAATAGAGGAACTCTACAAACGGAGGGCAGAAAACCGCAAGGATCCACAGGACTAATTAGGCTGGCTTCTGTTACCACCCCTATGCCTGAAAGGCCAAGGGGAAGAATGACCACTGTACCCTAGAGACTGAGAAGCCTATAGAGAGAGGGCCACCGAGGTGGGAAATGTGACTTTAAGGCAGCCAGCACGCAGAATGACCGCAGAGAAGCAGCCAGAGAATAAATGCCCCAAGCCCCGTCTCCTCCCTTCCTCAATCATCTTCTGGGGCTCCCTATTGGTCAAAACCAATGGGAAGCCAGAAGACAAGGGAGCCCATCGAACAGTGTATACACTTAGCCTCCCAAGACACAAGGCGTACACCAAGTGTTCGATAAATGCATCATTGAATTTAACCCTCACAATAATCCTTCAAGATAGTTGTTTACATTCTAATGGAAAACTGAGGCTCAGAGAGATTCATTAACTTGTCCAAGGTCACCAGCTAGTTTTGGAGGCTCCAATGCCCTGGGCTCATATGTGCTATGAAGCTTGGAACTGAGAGCAAGGAGACCCCATGACGAGCACAAACTCTTATCAGATACTGGAAGCCCCCAAAACAGCTCTAGTGGCAGGAAAAGGCTCTCCTGCAGTTTTTTGGGTTTTGGTGTTTTTTTGTTGTTGTTACTATTGTTGTTTTTGAGACAAGTTCTCACTCTATCACTCACTGGAGTGCAGTGGCACAATCATAGTTTACTTCAGCCTCAACCTCCTGGGCTCAAGCAATCCTCCCACCTCAGCCTCCCAAGTAGGTGGGACTACAGGCATACACCACCATGCCCAGCAATTTTTTAAATTATTTTGTAGAGACGGAGTCTTGCTATGTTGCCCAGGCTGGTTTTAAACACCTGTGCTCAAGCGATCCTCCCACTTGGCCTCCCAAAGTGCTTGGATTACAGGCATGAGCCACCGTGCCCAGCCCCTATCCTGCAGTTTTTATGACATGTGAGATGGTAGCTCAGGCAAGGCTCAGCAGACAAGCCACAGCTGTGTTCATCACCAACATCAGCCACCCTCTTCCCCATGGGAGGTGGTAGAGTGCCGTGCTAACAGCCCAGATTCTGGAGGTAAACTGCCCGAGTTCAAGTCCTGTTTCTGCCACCGACTAGCTGTGCAACCTTGGGCAATTTCCTTAGCTCTTCTCGCTGTCCTCAGTTTCCTCATCTGTAAAGTAAGGACAACCACAGGCCTCAGGACTTAATGAGGTAAAATAAGGAGAGTGCCCTGCACCTAGTGAGCCCTAGCAGGTATAAAGGTATTATAGGCATCGACACTAACTCACAGTGAACTGTTGCTTCCCAGTCTCTCTTCCCCTTCAAAGGTACTGATGTGTGAGCTCTCCCTAATTAGACTCTGCACCCTAAAGCCAGGAGTGTCTTGTCCAAGCCTCAGTGAGCTTCTTAACAGAGTAGTAGTAAATAGTTTAGTCTTTGTGAATCAAACATCTTTGTCACCACTATTCAACTCTGCCATTGTAGTGCAAAAGCACCCATGACAATCCTTAATGAATGGGTGTGACTGTATGTCAATAAAACTTTATTTATATGGCTGGGCACAATGGCTTATGCCTGTAATCCATTTGGGAGACTGAGGTGGGAGGATTGCTTGAGCCCAGGAGTTTGAGACCAGCCTGGGCAACACAATGAGACCTCAACTCTACAAAAAAATAAAATAAACAAGATTAGCTAGGTGTGGTGGTGGCACGTGGGGTCCCAGCTACTTGGGGGGCTGAGGTGGGAGGATCACTTGGCCCCCAGGAGGTAGACGCTGCAGTGAGCTGAGATCGAGCCACCGCATTCCAGCCTGGGCAACAGAGCGAGGCCCTGTCTTAAAACAAAAACATAACACAATTTTATTTATAGATGCTGAAATTTGAATTTTACCTAATTTTTACATGTCACAAAATAGTATTCTTCTTTGGATTCTTTTTCAGTGTTTTAAAATGTAGGGCTGGGCACAGCAGCTCACACCTGTAATCCCAGTGCTTTGGGAAACCAAGATGGGAGGATCACTTGAGGCCAGGAGTGCAAGACCAACCTGGGCAATAGAGTGAGACCCCATCTCTACAAAAAATTTAAAAATCGGCTGAGTGAAGTGACAGTTGTCTTTAGTCCCACTTACTCAGGAGGCTGAGGTGGGAGGATAACCAGAGCCCAAGAGTTCGAGGTTACCGTGAGCTGTGATCACATTACTGCACTCCAGCCTGGGCAACAGAGCGAGACTGTGTCTCTAATAAAAATAAAAACTAAAACCATTTTTAGTTCAAGGCCCACACAAAAGCAGCCGGTGTCAGGCAGGACAGACCCTCTAACAATGCACATGAAACTTCACTTTCTTCTAAACTCACTCTGAGTCAGGCCTGGGAAGCCCTTTTAGAGATAAAAGCTACCCTGGTCCCTACGGAATCCAGCTTCTGACACTTGCCTCCATGCTCTTGGGAACTTCAGCCCCTCTGGCCTTCTTGCAGTTCTTCCAAGAGGCCAAATCCTTCCAAACTCAGGGCTTCCAGAGGGGTCTCTCTCTCTCTCTGAACTGGAAGCACCTGCCCATCCACAGGCTGTGTGATCCTAGAATTGCGTTTGTCTTCTTTTCTATGATACTTCCGGGGCCCGACATAGTGCTTAGCTTAGAGTAAGTGCTCAAAAAATGTACAGGAAATTTAACCTCACAACAATCTTTCAAGGTAGTGGCGTATACACCGGTAGGGAAACTGAGGCTCAGAAAGACTAATTAACTTACCCAAGGTCATATTGTATTCTTTTTTGGCAGAAAGGGGAGAGACAAGACCTTACTCTCTGTGGCCCAGGTTGGAGTACAGTGGCACCATCTTGGCTCACTGCAACCTCCGCCTCCCAGGCTCAAGTGATCCTACCACCTCAGCCTCCCAAGTAGCTGGGATTACAGGCACGCACCACAATGCCCGGTGAATTTTGTTTATTTTTTAGTAGAGATGAAGTCTCACTTTATTGCCCAAGCTGGTCTCAAACTCCTGGACTCAAGCGATCTGCCTGCCTTGGCCTCCCAAAGTGCTGGGATTCTGGGTGTGAACCACCGTGCGCAGCCACATTGTATTATTCAGCACAATGATCTATTGCCCAAGCACTCTGAAAATGTCTTAAATTCTGGTGCCACTACCAACTATCTGGTGCCCTTGGGCGAGTCACTCCATCTCTCTGTGCCTCGGTTTGCTCATCAGTAAAATGGGTATGATAGTAATAACTAGGTTTTCTCTGTTGAGTTGTCATGAGGATTAAATGAGTTCTAGATCCAAAATGTGTAGAAATGTGCCTGACACAACAGTTGTCTATCCAGTTCCCAGTTCTGAAGGAGACAGAGGTCTTAGGTCTGGGCACAAAATGGATTCATCCTTCAGCCCTGGGTTGGCATGACCCCTAGAACTCTTTGTGGGCTAGCATTGCCATTCAGCCCTTAGTGCTGAGGATGTTGAGGGGCCTTGGAGGAGAGCCCACTGGACATTTCTAGTGAAAACCAGGACCTCTTGGACCTGGCTTCGTGGGGGTTAAGTCCAACCAGAACGTGTTTATTTTCCCCTGTGTCTGGAAGGGCCTCTCCGGTCTCCATGGCAACGCGATTTCCTGTCCTGGTTTTCTCTTGGATGAGATACCTGCTGAATGCAGAGGCGTCTGGGCAAAAGCCTGGGGTGGAGACGGGCTCTGGGGCAGTTCACTTTAACCACTTCCCTCACGCGAGCCGAGAGGCCAGCCTGGCCAGGACCCATGTCACCAGAGCCTTTGTTCACCAAGTCCAGACATCCAATTTAGGATGACATCATGGAATCCAGCCTGGAATCCTTGTTATGCCCCATTTTCTTTCTTTCTTCCTTTCCAAGGGTTTTGTTTCTTCTTGAGGCTGCAGAAACAGAGGCTCACACACATCCCCAATTTGCTAAGAATATTTCTAAACCCTTCTCATCACAGGCCATCCCCTGCGTCTGGGCACTTCATAAATAATTATTTACTCATTCTTTCTTTCATTTGTCAGTCATTTGATTCATTCAACAAACATTTGCATAGTAGATTAAGCGCCAAAATGATGTTGGAGCTGAAGAAGCAGAGAATAGATCTGGTCTTTTCTCTCAAAGAGCCTCTACTTGGTAAATGGAGACAGGCATGTAAATAAGCACTACACAATAGGATCGGTGCCGCGACAGAGGCCTCTGCAGGGGTGGTATGGCGTCACCGTGGGAAGCCCGAGCTCTGCTTTCTGCCTGCGTTTGGATTCCCCTCCTAAACCCCCTGGCCTTAGATAAATCTCACCCTGAGCCTCAGTATTCTCATCTGTAAAATGGGAATAACGATGGCACCTACTTGGATGGTTCGGAGTCTGCATTTGGAGTGGGACAGACATTCAGATTTCAGCTCTACCACTTACTAGCTCTGTGTCCTTGGGCAAGTTACTTATCCTGTCTGTTAAATGGGGACTGTCCTAGTGCCCACTTCACAGAGCTTTTTGAGGTTTAAATAAGTGAATGCATGCACTTAGAACAATGCTTTTAGTCTTGCCTGTCTTAAATACCGCTAACTCACGGAACCCTGTGAGTCCATAGGAGGGAGATACTAGGTCTCCCTAGGGAATTAGGGGATGGGCCCTACCAGAGGAGGCAGCATCTAGATAATTAGCTACTTATATAATATCCATTCAATGTCTACATCTCCCCTACTTGAGTGATGTTAGAGATCATGTGTGCCTCCTTTCTCCATCTTATCTCCACCTCCTACTAAAGCCCAAGGAGGTGGAACTCAGTGGATGTGTGGATGATGAATGACTAAAGGATGAATTCTAGCCTCTTTATCATGGCACGTAAGGTCTTTTACAATTTGGGTAAGATCCTCTTAGTCTAATTTCTGGAAATTCTTCTTGGCCCTATCACCTTGGGCTCTAATGGCAACAAACCTTAATAAGCCATGCATGGCCAGGTGCAATGGCTCATGCCTGTAATCCCAACACTTTGGGAGGCCAAAGCAGGAGGATGTCTTGAGTCCAGAGGTTCAACATTAGCCTGAGCAACATAGTGAGATGCCCTTTCCCATCTCTACAAAAATATTTTAAAAATTAGCTGGGTGAGGTGATGTGCACCTGTAGTCCCAGCTAGTCTAGGGGCTGAGGCAGGAAGATCACTTGAGCCCTGAGGAATCCAGGCTACAATGAGCTATGATCATGTTACTACACTCCCGTCTGGGTGACAGAGCAAGAGAAGGAGAAGGAGAAGGAGAGGAAGAGGAAGAGGAAGAAGAGGAAGAGGAAGAGGAAGAAGAAGAAGAAGAAGAAGAAGAAGAAGAAGAAGAAGCAGCTTATTCCAACTTTCTTGGACATGCTTCTTTTCTTTTCTTTTCTTTTCTTTTCTTTTCTTTTCTTTTCTTTTTTTTTTTTTTGTCGCCCAGGCTAGAGTGCAATGGCGCGATCTCTGCTCACTGCAAGCTCCGCCTCCTGGGTTCACGCCATTCTCCTGCCTCAGCCTCCCGAGTAGCTGGGACTACAGGTGTCCACCACCATGCCCTGCTAATTTTTTTTTTTTTGTATTTTTAGTAGAGACGGGGTTTTACCATGTTAGCCGGGATGGTCTCGATCTCCTGACCTCGTGATCTGCTGATCTTGGCCTCCCAAAGTGCTGGGATTACAGGTGTGAGCCACCATGCCCAGCCTGGACATGCTTCTTTTCTTAGCTAGTAGGTGAAACCCTACTCATTCTTGTATTCATACACTCACATTGTTTCAAAGTAACAAGTGTGATAATTGAAGGGATGGTGTACAGGCTTCTACAAGCTACACTGTGAATGAGATGGTGTCCTCTCACCACGGCCCTTTCCACCTCCTCTCCACCCTTCTGGAGCCACTTGAGGCATTGACCCTCACCTCCAGGGAAGCAGGAAAAGTGTGGAGTCTGATAGATAAAAACCAATTCTATTTCATCCTCTGTGTCAGTGATTGATTCAGAAATCCAGGCCTAAGTCAATCAGGACATGGCATTTGCCTAGAGATAAAGAATGATTTTAAGACTGGGCAATGACCCAACTAAGTCCAGTGAGGTCCAGAGGGAAGTCAGACAAGGGGCTCATGATCCTTAAGAGCGAGCCTCAGGATGCACACATCTCTCCCCTTCTGGAGATTCCTGAGTGTAGAAGCTAGGCCAGCACTGTAGCTGCTTTCTCTCTATGAGCCTAGGAATGAAACCTATATAGGAATGAACCAAGGGAAATGCACCCAGAGTCACTGGGTCAAATCAGACTTGAACTCTATTCAGAATCAGGACTTTATGGATACAATGAATTTCCACATTGGTTAAACCAGTTAGAGGTACGTTTTGGTTTAAAACAAATTGCCATGGCCAGGCACAGTGGCTCATGCCTGTAACCCAGCATTTTGGGAGGCCGACGCGGGAGGATCTCTTGAGCCCAGGAGTTCGGGGCTGTCATGGTCTATAATCATGCAACTGCACTCTAGCCTGTGCAACAGAGCCAAGGCCCTATTTCCAAAAGACAAAATAAACAAACAAAAAACACAAACAAAAAGCCAGGAACATCCTAACTATGCTAACTGGTGTAAACGTAACGAACTATTGTAACTGATATAAACGTGGGAATCTGACCTGGACAGAGGGTTGGCATCCAACCACTTGGAGATACTAACCATCAAGCTGCAACATAGACACAAACAAACAAGCAACACATGTTCTTCCAGAGAAGAGTGACATGATCACAGCCAACGCTTTAGGAAGAGCCCTCTGGTGGCAGCGAGGAAGGTGGGCAGGATTTGAGACCGGAGGCTTGGCCATGCAGCAAGAGGATGTCTGATATGGACATGGATCAAGAACAGATTGAAGAAGACATTTAGGAGTGAAGGCTGAAATCCGCACATTGATGAGAATTCTTCCTCAGACTCCAAATGTTCATAGTCCATGAGACCACATGATGGGCCTGGAGAAAATTTAGGAATATTCATTCATTTGCTCATTCATTCATTTATTCATTCATTTATCCATTCAGTACATTTTTCGGAGCTCCTATGTACCAGCACTGGGCTAGCCACTAGGGATAGAGCAATGAACAAGGCAGATACAAATTGCTGCCCTTATAGAGTGCACGTTTTAGTGGAGGAACAGACAATAAACAAAATGAATAAGTACACATATAAAGTCAGTTATATGGTGACACATGCTATGAGAAAAAAAAATTTGAGACAGGGTCTCACTTGTTGCCTAGGCTAAAATGCAGTGGTGCAATCATAGCTCACTGAAGCCTCGAACCCCTGGGCTCAAGCGATCACCTGCCTCAACTTCCCAGTTAGCTAGGACTATAGGTACCTACCACCAAGGCTGGCTAATTTTAAAAAATTTTTGTAGAGACTGGGTCTCATTATGTTGCCTAGGCTGGTCTCAAACTCCTAGGCTTAAAGTAAAAAAAAAAAAAAAAAAAAAAAAAAAAAAAAAAAAAATTTTTTTTTTTTGAGATAGGGTCTCATTCTGTCACCCAGGCTGGAACACATGGCTCACTCAAGTCTCAAACTCCTGGGCTCAAACAATCTTCTTGTCTCAGCCTCTTGAGTAGCTGAAACTACAGGCACATGCCACCATGCCCAGCTAATTTTTGTATTCTTTGTAGAGATGGGATCTCACCATGTTGCCCAAGCTGGTCTCAAACTCCTGACCTTAAGTGATCCTCCCATCTCAGTGTCCCAAAGTGCTGAGATTACAGGCATAAGCCACCGTGCCTGGACAAGAAAAAAAAATTTTAATGGAAAATGAATAGGAAATAACAAGGAAGGGAAATTATTTGGCCAGGAGTTCCCAATATATGGTCTTCAAAAGTGGAGGTTTTTTTCCTCAACAAAAAGCTTCAAGGGATGGTATCTTTCTGTATTCTATGGCAAACCAGGTGCACAGAAATAATTTCTATTATAATAAAATAGCCTTAATATTCATTGGGTGCCTACTACATGAAAACATCTGTTCACAAGTATTATTTTACTTCATCTCCATTTCATAGATAAGGGAAACAAAAGTCAGTGATGTGAAGAAAGTCACCCAAAATGGCACAGTGGCAGTAGTTCTGAACCCAAATCTATTCAACAACAAAGCAAAATACTTTGCTTTGCTTTTTAACTGTATGCCAAACCAGTAGGGTAATGCCTCTTAAATCCAAATTCAAGCAACTATAATCACTAGTACTTAATATGACAACTAAAGAGAAAATAAGTGAAAATAAGTTCTTTTCTTTCTTTTTTTTTTTTTTTGAGACGGAGTCTTGCTCTGTCGCCCAGGCTGGAGTGTAGTGGCGAGATCTCAGCTCACTGCAAGCTCCGCCTCCTGGGTTCACGCCATTCTCCTGCCTCAGCCTCCCAAGTAGCTGGGACTACTGGCGCCCGCCACCACGCCCGGCTAATTTTTTTTGTATTTTTGGTAGAGACGGGGTTTCACCGTGTTAGCCAGGATTCGTCTCGATCTCCTGACCTCGTGATCCACCCGCCTCGGCCTCCCAAAGTGCTGGGATTACAGGCCTGAGCCACCGCACCTGGCCCCTGATGAAATATTTCAAATGTGTTCCATGGGAAGAAATATAAGGTCTTTGGAGGGTAAAGATAGTTAAGCCTGCTCTCAAGCCCTGACTAGTCTTTTCTCTAATTAGTATTCTTTTCCTTTTTTAGAAACAGAGTCTTCCTCTATCACCCAGGCTGGGGTGCAGTGGTGCAGTCATAGCTCACTGCAACCTCGAACTCCTGGCCTCAAGTGATCCTCCCACTTTGGCTTTTCAGAGTGCTGGGATAACAGGCATGAGCCACTGCGCCCAACCCATTTTACATTTTTAAATAAAGCATCAAGCTCATAGACAACAATACAATGTAGATTCTGGAGAAAAAGGAAACATTTAGAAAAACATCTGAAAGGGGCTGAAAGGGCCAGACGCGGTGGCTCACACCTGTAATCCCAGCACTTTGGGAAGCCAAAGTGGGCAGATCAGTTGAGGCCAGGAGTTCGAGAACAGCCTGGCCAACATGACGAAACTCATCTCTACTAAAAATACAAAAATCAGCCAGGCGTGGTGGTGCATGCCTGTAGTCCCAGCTGCTCAGGAGGCTGAGGTGGGAGGATCACTTGAACCCGGGAGGCAGAAGTTGCAGTGAGCTGAGATTGTGCCACAGTACTCCTGCCTGGGCAACAGAGTGAGACTCTGTCTCAAGAAAGAAAAAGAAATAAAAGAAGGAAGGGAGGGAGGGAGGGAAGGAAAGAAGGACAGACATCTGGAAGGATACACTATAAACTCAGTGAACTGAGCAGAAAAGAGAAGCCCAGGACTGACAGCGGCAATTAAAGGACCCATCACCCTTAACTGCTAGGTTTTACCTTTTTTCAAAGGAGGATATATTCATATATTATGTGTGCAACTAAAATAATTTTCTAGCAAGTTAACTTACAATTTAAAAAAAAGAATGAGTGAATAGGAGAGGAGCGAGGCAACACAAGTCAGGGTGTCCACAAAGTATACTTTGCTTTCCTTTTTGACCATTGGGTCTCTAACATGGGGTTTCCATGCTACAGGGTTTCTTTTGTACAAGAAATAGACAGGGAGTCCGTTCTCTGAAATCTAGTTGAGTCGTGGCTCTAAGCAGCAAAGATCTTCATCCTTCTTGGTCTATTTCTGGCCTCCAACAAACCTTAGGGAACCTCTGGAGATTGTAATTTTAAAATACAAAAGGGAGGCCGGGAGTGGTGGCTCACACCTGTAATCCCAACATTTTGGGAGGCTGAGGCAGGCGGATCACTTGAGGCCAGGAGTTCGAAACCAGCCTGGTCAACATGGTGAAACCCGTCTCTACTAAAACTACAAAAATTAGCTGGGCATGGTGGTGGGCGCCTGTAGTCCCAGCTACTCAGGAGGCTGAGGCAGGAGAATCACTTGAACCCGGGAGATGGAGGTTGCAGTGAGCTGAGATCGCACCACTGCACTCCAGCCTGGGCGACAGCGTGAACCTCCATCTCAAAAAGTAAAATAAAAGAAAATAAAATAGAGGGGATAAATAAAATAAAACAAAGTAAAGTAAAATAAAATAGAAAAGAGGCTGCAGTGAGCCGTGATTGTGCCACTGCATTCCCACCTAGGCAACAGAGCAAGACCCTGTCTTAAAAAAAAATTATATATATATGTGTATATATTATACATATATATATGGTGTCATATTATACATGTAACTCTGAAATTTACACAAGAGGCAGTCAATTCTAGACATCTAACACCTCACCAGGAGCTGTTCTTAGTGAAAACTCAGGGAGGAAAAACAGGGGCACTAATATTTATCACAGTTCCTGTAGGCACTAGACACTGCACTAAACTACTTATCACAAATCTCAGAGGTCTCCGATTTGAGCCAAAGTCATATTTACATTCGGGTAAACCGGTAATATATTCCTCACTGTAGTCTACTTAAAATAATAATTTAATAAGCCGAATAATCCTATGAAAAATAATAATAAACACACTCACACTATTAAGATGATGTAGTGAGATACTGACTCATTTTATTTCCAGCGGATTTCCCTCCCTTGTTCTAAGAAGGACACCAAACTTTGTGTTCTCTCACGAGAAGAGGGTTGCAGTGGCTCACATCTGTAATTCCAGCACTTTGGGAGGCCGAGGTGGGAGGATCACTTGAGTCCAGGAGTTCAAGACCAGCGTAAGCAAAGTGAGATCCAGTCTCTACAAAAAAAAAAAAATTAGGCCAGACGCAGTAGCTCACGCCTGGAATCCCAGCTCTTTTGGAGGCCGAGGCAGGCAGATCACTTGAGGTCAGGAGTTCGAGACCAGCCTGGCCAAGGTGGTGAAACCCCGTCTCTACTAAAAATACAAAAATTAGCCCAGCATGGTGGTTGCACACCTGTAATCCCAGCTACTCGGGAGGCTGAGGCAGGAGAATCGCTTGAATCCGGGAGGCAGAGGTTGCAGTGAGCCGAGATCGCGCCACTGCACTCCAGCCTGGGTGACAGAGCGAGACTCCATCTCAAAATACATAAACAAATAAAATAAAAAATTATCCAGGCATGGTGTCATGCACCTGTCATCCTAGCTACTCAGGAGACTGAGATGGAAGGATTGATGGAGCCCAGGAGGTCAAGACAAGCCTGGGCAACATGGCAAAACCCCATCTCTACAAAAAATACAAAAATTATCTGGATATGGTAGCATGTGCCTATAGTCCTAGCTACTCAGGGGGCTGAGATGGGAAGATCAGTTGAGCCCAGGATGTCACGGCTGCAGTGAGCCAAGACCGCCACTGCACTCCAGCATGGGTGACAGAGTGGGACCCTATCTCAAAAAAAAATGTTTAAAAAGAGGGTTGATTAACATGGAAGAAAGCAGAAGTAACTCCGAAAACAACCCTCATTTCTGGCTTTGTTTTTCAACATATTATTATTCTGGGACATGTATGGGGTCATCCCCAAGGACAAGAGGAGAAACACAAGTATCTCAAAGGGAGGAAGGGCAGAGCAGTGACAGCCAAGGGGAGCAGAAGAGTCCCCAGGACTAGAAATGAGCCAGAGACTGGCAGACCCCACAAGAATAGAAGACTCACGCCTCCCCTCTTACAACACCCAGGGAAAGTGACAGTGCTTAAGAGGGAAAGGACCTCATGGTGGACACTCGGTCTCTTGCCTGAGGCTCCCAGCATAGCCAGGCCCCCGTCTCCGACCTCAGCACAATAGCAGCCAAGCCCCCTGTTTCCAAAACCCCAACACATGGACACAATGACCCTAACTGCAGTGATCCAAGTATAAGACTAGTGAGCCTTGCTGGGCGCGGTGGCTCACGCTTGTAATCCCAGCACTTTGGGAGGCCGAGGCCGGTGGATCACGAGGCCAGGAGATCGACACCATCCTGGCTAACATGGTGAAACCCTGTCTCTACTAAAAGTACAAAAAATTAGCTGGGTGTGGCAGCTTGTGCCTGTAGTCCCAGCTACTCAGGAGGCTGAGGCAGGAGAATCGCTTGAACCCTGGAGGCAGGGTTGCAGTGAGCCGAGATCGCGCCACTGCACTCCAGCCTGGGTGACAGAGCAAGACTCTGTCTCAAAAAAAAAAAAAAAAAAAAAAAAGACTAGTGAGCCAAGGGAAGCCCAGTCAGGAGGATCACTTGAGGCCAGGAGCTCAAGACCAGCCTGGGCAACGTAGCAAGACCCCATCTCTACAAAAATGTAAAAATTAGCTGGGTGTGGTGCTGTACACCTGTAATCCTAGCTACATGGGAGGCTGAGGCAGGAGGATCATTTGAGCCCAGGCGGTCAAGGCTGCAGTGAGCTATGATCACACGACTGCACTCCAGCCTGAGTGACAGAGCGAGACCCTCTTAAAACAAATTTGGAATCACTGTGAGCCATCTCTGGACCACTGCCCTCTGATGGCTGAGCTGAAACTTTCTCCAGACCTGTTGGGCTGTTGGGGCCCTGCAGCTTTAATTTGATTCAGAAAACCCACATCGGATAATGTGACATTGCTTGCTGGCACGGGAGTGTACTGGGCCCTGTGCTAAGTTCTTCACGAGCACCATCTCATTTAACCCCATAATAAAGGCATTTCTGTTTTCCTCCTCTTCTAGCTGAAGAAAACGAAACTCTGGGGAGTGAGGTCAGGCAGCGAGCCAGTGGTGGGAAGGAAACTGTACTCCAAGGGTATCTGATACTGATTGAAGGCTGTGCATAAAATAATCCCAAGTTATGATGTCTACCTGTGTCAACTATGTTTTCCAGCTGCAAGTCACAGAAGCCCAGTGCATAAAAGCCCAGAAGCTCTTATGTTTTTACTTTTTATACATATATATATTTTTTGTTTTGTTTTTTTGAGACAGTCTCGCTCTGTCACCCAGGCTGGAGTACAGTGGCGCAATCTTGGCTCACTGCAACCTCCGCCTCCTGGGTTCAAGTGATTCTCCTGCCTCAGCATCCTCAGTAGCTGGGATTACAGGCGCGCACCACCACGCCCGGCTAATTTTTGTGTTTTTAGTAGAGACGGGGTTTCGCCATTTTGATCAGGCTGGTCTCGAACTCCTGACCTCGTGATCTGCCTGCCTCGGCCTCCCAAAGTGCTGGGATTACAGGCGTGAGCCACCCCGCCTGGCCTTCCAAAAGTTTTTACAGCTGTGGCCGTGTTTGTGGACATTCAGCATGGAAAAGCAAGTCTGTTTCACGGGTGTTTCAAGCAAAACACGGGATTGAGTCTTTTCAGCCCTGGTGGTTAATTTGGCCACGTCACCGTCACCATCCCTGAACCAATCACTGGTTGCCTAGGGAGAAGGAGTGCACTGATTGGCTCAACCTCAGTTCTAGACTCAACCCCCTTGAGCTTGGAATTAATGGGATTCCCACCAGCATTTGGCTGAGATTCTGTCCCTCAAGATAGGATTACGATGTTATTGACTCAAGAAGGGAACAGCTAATGGTGGAGAGGAAAAAACTCCACTGCGCTTTTTATGTGGTTGAAAGTATGAGGGCCGAGAGCGGTGGCTCGCCCCTGTAATCCCAGCACTTTGGGAGGCCGAGGCGGGTGGATCACGAGGTCAGGAGATCAAGACCATCCTGGCTAACACGGTGAAACCCCGTCTCTACTAAAACTACAAAAAATTAGCTGGGCGTGGTGGCGGGCGCCTGTAGTCCCAGCTACTCGGGAGGCTGAGGCAGGAGAATGGCATGGACCCAGGAGGCGGAGCTTGCAGTGAGCCCAGATCGCGCCACTGCACTCCAGCCTGAGCGACAGAGTCAGACTCCATCTCAAAAAAAAAAAAAAAAAAAAGAAAGTATGAGAACTCCCTGGAAAGAATTCATGCTAAAGGTGCTTGTTCAGCTCAAATACAATGGATCAGAAATGAGGGGTGGCCAGGCAAAGCAGCTTACGCCTGTAATCCTAGTACACTGGGAGGCTAAGGTGGGAGGATTGCTTAAGGCCAGGAGTTTGAGACCAGACTGGGCAAAATAGTGAGACTCTGTGTCTACAAAAATTTTAAAAATTAGCCACGCGTGGTGGCTCGCCTGTGGTTCCAGCTACTCAGAAGGCTGAGGTGGGAGGATTGCTTGAGACTAGGAGGTCAAGGCTGCAGTGAGCTACGATTGCACCACTGCAGTACAGCCTGGGCAACAGAGCGAGACCCTGTCTCAAAAAAAAAAAAAAAAAGAAAGGAAAGGAAAGGAAGGGAAGGGAAAGGGGAGGGGGAGGGAGGGAGGGAGGAAGGAAGGAAAGAAGGGCTTTCATATTAGAAGGGCACACTCAGAACTAGCTCTTCCCTTTAGCCATTCCCCTTCTTTTTGCCTTGGTCATGGATGTGATGACCGGAGCTGAAGCAGTCATTTTGTGGCCAAGAATATCACAGAGACACGAGAACTGATAGCATTAAAATGCTTACACCAGCTAGATAGGAAAGATGAGTTCTGTTGTTCCGCAGCACTAGTTAGTGAGTGACTATGGTTCACCGTAGCTTATTGCATATTTTCAGAAAGCTAGGAGGATTTTGAATGTTCACAACACTGAGGCCTGAAAGTTTGAGGTGATGAATATGCTAATTACGCTAATTTGATCATTGCACATTGTATACACATATTGAAATATCACTGTCTTCTATAAATATGTACAATTATTACATGTCAACTAAAAATAAAAGGAAAAACTGCTGAAGCAATGACAGAAACTACCTACGTCTGGGTATCTTTTGATATCTTTCTGTCTAATCCTCTTCTGAATCGTTGTGTCTCTTGTGTCTCTCTTCACTTCAGTACAAAGACTGGTGAGAAAAACAAATTTTTACTGTTTAGGTATTTGTTAAGTACAAATGTGGGCCAGGCACAGTGGCTCACACCTGTAATCCCAGCACTTTGGGAGGTCAAGGTGGGCAGACCATTTGAGGCCAGGAGTTCGAGACCAGCCTGGCCAACATGGTGAAACTCTGTCTCTACTAAAAATACAAAACTTTGCTAGGCATGGTGGCACGCACCTGTAGTCCCAGCTACTTAGGAAGCTGAGGTGGAATGATCACTTGAGCCCAGGAGGTGAAGTTTGCAGTGAGCCAAGATTGCACCACTGTACTCCAGCCTGGGCAACAGAGGGAGACCCTGTCTCAAAAACAAGTAAAAATATGGTCCGTAAACCTTCAACATCAGCATTACCTGGGAGCTTATTAGAAATGCAGACTGGGGCCGGGCATGGTGGCTCACGCCTGTAATCCCAGCACTTTGGGAGGCCAAGGCGGGTGGATCACAAGGTCAAGAGATCGAGACCATCCTGACCAACATGGTGAAACCCTGTCTCTATTAAAAATACAAAAATTAGCTGCATGTGGTGGCAGGCACCTGTAATCCCAGCTATCGGAAGACTGAAGCAGGAGAATCACTTGAACCTGGGAGGCAGAGATTGCACCACTGCACTCCAGCCTGGTGACACAGTGAGGCTCTGTCTCAAAAAAAAAAAAAAAAAAAATGCAGGCCAGGCACTGTAGCTCATGCCTATAATCCCAGCACTTTGAGGGGCCGAGGCAGGAGGACCGCTTGAGCCCAGAAGTTTGAGACCAGCCTGGGCAACATAGCGAGACCCCGACTCTACAAAAAAAATTAAAAAGAAAACAAAAAATGCAGAATCTCAGGCCTGCCCCAGATTCCAAATCAGAATCTACAGGGTCCTCAATGGATTCACAAGCACATTCATGTGGAAGAAGCGGTGGTTTGGGTATTATAAGAGTGTGGTTGAATGCAATCCAAGCAATATACATAGGCTGCCTGAACCCCCCAAGATTGGATTAAATGCCATTTGAGGCACCAGCAGTAGTGGGAAATGATCATAGGCAGTTGGAGTGAGAGACAAGGAACACGGCACAGTAGCCAGGAAGACCGGTGTGTGGTGCGCTTGGAGATATATTAAACACCCGTACATTCTTTACTGTGTTCCAGGGACCATTACAAGCACTGTGCAAATATTAGCATGTTTAGTCTCCTTGGCAGAGTTAGGAATCATTTCACAAGTGCATAAACTGAGGCATGGATAGAGTAAGTCACAGAGCTGGTAAATGCCAGAGCCAAGATGGAAACCCACTCGATTTATTTCCAGAGCCTGTGCTCCCTTCCTTGAGGTTTCCCTAGGGTCTTTGGGGAGGTTTTTTTTGTTTGTTTTTTTGGCAGAGTCTTGCTCTGTCGCCAGGCTGGAGTGCAGTGGCATGATCTCAGCTCACTGCAACCTCTGCCTCCTGGGTTCAAGCGATTCTCCTGCCTCAGCCTCCCAAGTAGCTGGGATTATGGGCATGTGCCATCACACCTGGCTACTTTTGTATTTTTAGTAGAGACGGGGTTTCACTATGTTGGCCAGGCTGGTCTCGAACTCCCAACCTCAGAGATCTGCCCACCTTGGCCTCCTAAAGTGCTGGGATTACAGGGGTGTGCCAACACTCCTGGCCCTTTGGGGAGAATTTTAAGGGAGCTGAAGAACCTACAGAGCGGGTATTGAATGGATAAGTGTTTCATGTTTCTGTTTTTTACCCACCTAGTCAGTGTGATTTGGGAAGCATGGGTTAAACATTGATTATCTCATTTAATCTTCAAAACTTCATTCCATCAAATCATATCTGTTGAGCACCAGTGTGTATGTGCCATGAACTGGGGATACACTGATGAACTAAGTCCTATTCGTGCCTCCACAGACTTAGTGAGGAGAGAGACAGGCAAAGAATTCTCACATGGTGTGAAAGTGGGCAGCACTACAGAGCACAGAAGAGAGACAATCAACCCAGGAGGACTTCCAGGAGGAAGAAAAGAGCCAGATGAGACCAAAAGGATGACTAGGAGATATTCAGGCAAAGCTGGGTTGAGTAAAATGTGCTCTTAGACCAGGCACGATGTCTCACACCTGTAATGCCAGCAGTTTGAGAGGCCAAGGCGGGAGAATTGCTTGAGGCCAGGAGTGCCAGACAAGCCTGGGCAACATAGCAAGATCCCATTTCTACAAAAAATTTTTAAAATGAGCTGGGCATGGTGGCGTGCACCTGTCATCTCAGATACTTGGGAGGCTGAGGTGGGAGAATCGCCTAAGGTTAGGATTCCAAGGCTGCAGTGAGCTATGATTGCGCCACTGCACTCCGGCCCAGGCAACAGAATGGAACCCTGTCTCTACCAAAAAAAAAAAAAAAAGCTTCTGAGAAAATAACAAATACAAAAGCCCAGAGATGGACAAGAGAGCACTGAGCTGAAGGGCCACAGATACCATTTCTTTAACAGTCAACCCTGAGGACTTGAGGGGTAAGAATTATTAATTTCCATTTTACAGATATGGACACCGAAGTTCTAAGAAGCTCAGCAATGTGCCAAGTGCTAGTGTTACACAGGAAATAAGTAGCAGAGACAGGCTTTAAATCTAGCTCTGATGCCAAAGGCTATGTTCCTTCCACCATGCTTGATTCTGCCCCTTCCAGAATCAGGGACCCTTTAGGTTCTGGGTGCCCAAAGTTTTTGACCCACAGTAACTCTAGTATCTGGTAATAGCTGGGATCAAAAGGTGCCCCAGAGGCTGGTCAAGGTGGCTCACACCTGTAATTTTAGCACTTTGGGAAACTGAGACGGGAGGATCACTCAAAGGCCAGGAGGAGTTCAAGACCAGCCTGGGCAACATAGTGAGACCCTGTGTCTGAATTTTTCTTTTTTTTTTTGAGACAGAGTCTCACTCTGTTGCCCAGGCTGGAGTGCAGTGGTGCGATCTTGGCTCACTGCAATCTCTGCTTCCCAAGTTTAAGCAATTCTCCTGCCTCAGCTTCCCAAGTAGCTGGGACTACAGACGCATGCCACCATGCCCGGCTAATTTTTGTATTTTTAGTAGAGACAGGTTTCACCATGTTGGCCAGGCTGGTCTTACGAACTCCTAACCTCAGATGAGCCTCCCCCCTTGACCTCTCAAAGTTTTGGGATTATAGGCATGAGCCACCGTGCCCAGCCTATGTCTGAATATTAAATAAATAAGTAAGTGGTGCTCCAGGGGGTTCCCTCACACTCTTCTCTTTCTCTTGCTGCACCCCTGAACCCTAATGACCTATGGATCTTCGTGGTAGAGGTGCCATATTGGCTGTGCTCAGTAACTAGGCTCAAAGTGCTGACCGCTGTGCCTGTCTGGCTGTCTTAGCCAGTGAGATGCTGTCCTTAGGCAATAGCCTACCTATATGTTTCAGCCGATCCCTGACCCCACACCTCTAGACATTCTCCACTAGCCAGCATGTTGAACATCTTTTCTCTTGCTTCTTTATAGCAAACCACTTGTTCCCTGCCACCCCATGTTCCGCCATGGCTACCACGTGGGCTGACGCCTTCACAGACATGTTTCTCTCGCTCTTTGGAATTGTCTGTCACTGACCCAATGCAATAAGGCTGCCCAATGTGCTCTGGTCATCCCAGGCTGAATTAATCAAAGTATAAGGCCCAGAACCAGGGAGGTGGACTTGGGTCAGCCCTAGCCCGGGAAGAACATTCAGTTCTGGGAGGAAGGGTGCCAAAAGGCAGTTAAGTTCAGAGGCAATTATCCAGAGAGCACGAGGCTCAAAGCCAAAATGTATGAGTAACATTGAAAGAATTGAGGTTGTGTGGACTGAAGCAGAGATGACTCAGGCGGAGACTATTCCCAAATGAGGCTGCAGGGGACTGCAGGGGGAGCTTCAGGAGCTGGGGCTCACTGCCACTAAGAATTCACTCCTCTGCTGGCATCTGGCTCTTCAATGCTCCCAAGCCTCTCTGAGTCTGAGTTCCCTCTCCCACCCACCTTACTAACTTTTTTTTCTTTTTTTTTTTTTTTGAGACGGAGTCTCGCTCTGTCGCCCAGGCTGGAGTGCAATGGCCATGATCTCAGCTCACTGCAACCTCCATCTTCTGGGTTCAAGCAATTCTCCTGCCTCAGCCTCCCGAGTAGCTGGGACTACAGGCGCATGCCACCATGCCTGGCTAATTTTTGTATTTTTAATAGAGATGGGGTTTCACCATGTTGGTCAGGCTAGTCTGAACTCCTGACCTCAGGCGATCTGCCCGTCTCAGCCTCCCAAAGTGCTCGGATTACAGGCGTGAGCCACAGTGCCCAGCCACTTACTAACTTGTCTAACCTCCTGGCTTCCGAAACCCATGGCCCTGCTATCCCTTCTGTCATTTTCACAAATGATTCTGCCTCTTTCCTCAGGAAATTGAGGCCAATAAGAAAAACATTCTCTGCACCATCAACTAATTGGTATCTGAACCCATCCTTTCCTCCTTCCTTCTGGTCTTATGGAAGAGAGACTGGACTCCTTCCAAGGTTAATTCTTCCACATGGACTTTGGAGTCCATCCATCAACTTTGTTCCTATTTCTTCCACATCTCACACTCCTATAAAGAAGCCTAAGTCTTTCCTGTACTGAAAAAAAACAAAAACAAAAAAAACACGCCTCTCAATAACCCCACTGATTGCCTCCTCTTCTATATGCAGGGACCATGTGTCTTCTCTTTCACATTTCACATGTAAACTCTATTTTCTTTTCTTTTCTTTTTTCTTTTTTTTTTTTTTTTTTGAGGCAGTGTCCACATTTCGCGTGTAAACTCTTTTTTCTTTTCTTTTTTCTTTTTTCTTTTTTTTTTTTTGAGGCAGGGTTTCGCTCTGTCACCCAGGCTGGAGTGCAATGGCACAATCTTTCCTCACTGCAGCCTCTGCCTCTGGAGCTCAAGTGATCTTCCCAGCTCAGCCTCCCGAGTAGCTGGGACTTCAGGCACATGCCACCATGCCCAGCTAATTTTTGTATTTTTTGTAGAGATGAGATCTTGCCATGTTGCCTAAGCTTGTCTTGAACTCCTGGGCTAAAACAAGCCACCCACCTCAGCCTCCCAAAGTGCTAGGATTATAGGCATGAGCCACCATGCCTGGCTCTATCAAATCTTCAAACCTTATCATAGTATACCACTGCTATTTAAGCTATTGCAGATTAGATTGGACCATATGAAATTGTCATTTTTTCAGTAACAGCTTTTTTGAGAAATAATTCACATACCCTACAATTCACACACTTAAAATATACAATTTGGCTGGGCACGGTGACACCTCTTGAAACCAGGGGTTCGAGGCTGCAGTGAGCTGTGATCATCCCACCGCACTTTAGCCCGGGTGACACAGTGAGATGCTAACTCTAAAAAAATAAAGCATACAGCCAGGCGCAGTGGCTCACGCCTGTAATCCCAGCACTTTGGGAGGCTGAGGCAGGCAGATCATGAGGTCAGGAGATCGAGACCATCCTGGTTAACATGGTGAAACACCGTCCCTACTAAAAATACAAAAAATTAGCTGAGCGTGGTGGCGGGCACCTGTAGTCCCAGCTACTCAGGAGGCTGAGGCAGGAGAATGATGTGAACCCAGGAGGCAGAGCTTGCAGTGAGCCGAGATCGCGCCACTGCACTCCAGCCTGGGTGACAGTGCGAGACTCTGTGTCAAAAATAAAATAAAATAAAATAAAATAAAATAAAATAAAATAAAGCATCCAATTCAATGGTGTTTAATACATTCACAGAGTTGTGCAACCATCACCACAATCAATTTTAGAATATTTTATTCACCACCTAAAAAACCCACATTCTTTAACTATCACCCCCATCTCCTGATCACTCACTCCCGGCCCCCAGCAACCACTAATCTACTTCCTCTCTCTATGGATTTACCTATTCGAGACATTTCATATAAATGGAATGACATTATATGTTGTTCTTTGTGTCTGGTTTATTTCACTTACCATAATGTTTTCAAGGGCCAACCATGCCATAGCATGTGTCAGTACTCAACTCCTTTTTATGCCAAATATTAGTCCATTGAATGGATGTGCTAAATTTTGTTAGCTAGATATGGTAGTGCACATCTGTAGTCTGTTACTCAGGAGGCCGAGGTAAGAGGATCACTTGAGCCCAGGAGATTGAGGCCAGCCTAGGCAACATAGTAAGATCCCATCTCAAAAAATAAATTAATATATAAAAACAAACATCATCTCTAGAGAGACAATTCCAGTGAAAAAATAAATTTTATTTATACCTTCATTCATTGATGGACATTTGAGTTACTTCTACTTTTTCCCTATTATGAATAAAACTGTTATAAACATTTATATGCAAGTTTTTGTGTGGATATATGCTTTCATTTCTCTTGAGTATACACCTAGAATTAGAGTTGGTGGGTAATATGGTAAACTCTATGTTTAGATTTTTTTTTGGCCGGGCGTGGTGGCTCACGCCTGTAATCCCAGCACTTTGGGAGGCCAAGGTGGACAGATCACCTGAGGTCAGGAGTTCAAGACCAGCCTGGGCAACATGGCGAAACCCCACCTCTACAAAAGATAGAAAGATCAACTGGGCGTGGTGATGCGTACTTGTAGTCCCAGCTACTTGGGAGGCTGAGGCAGGAGGATCACTTGAGCCCAGGAGGTCAAACCTGCAGTGAAATGTGTTCACACCACTGCACCCAGCCTGGGTGATGGAATGAGACCTTGTATCAAAAAAAAAAAAAAAAAAAATTTTTTTTTGGAGACAAAGTCTCCTTCTGTTGCTCAGGCTAGAGTGCAGTGGCACGATCTCAGCTCACTGCAAACTTCGCCTCCTAGGTTCAAGCAATTCTCCTGACTCAGTCTCCAAGTAGCTGGGGCTACAGGTGTGCACCACTGCACCTGGCTAATTTTTGTATTTGGTAGAGACTGGTGGGGGGCGGGAGGGCATTGCATGTGTGTATTCATATTTTTTAACATACATTGTGACATGATTCTGTGGAACAAATGCAGTGATATAAAATGCTTTTGAAAATTATAACATTAAGGCCAGGCATGGTGGCTCACGCCTGTAATCCAGCACTTTGGGAGGCCAAGGCGGGCAGATCACCTGATGTCAGCCTGGCCAACATGGTGAAACCCCATCTCTACTAAAAATACAAAAAGTAGCTGGGTGTGGTGGCACACACCTGTAATCCCAGCTACTCAGGAGGCTGAAGCAGGAGAATCACTTGAATCTGGGAGGTGGAGGTTACAGTGAGCCAACATCACACCACAGCACTCCAGCCTGGGTGACAGAACAAGACTCCGTCTCAAAAAAAAAAAAAAAAAAAAAAAAAAAAAAGAAAGAAAAAAATTATGACATTAAGTGAGTATAAGGGGGTATATTATTTACGTACTCACTTTTGTAGCAAATCCCCCAGCTGTGCACTTTTCTGGGTGCATGCAATACTTTCACAAGTAAATAAATATCTTTATTTAAAACAGTAATAACAGAAAATCTCAGCACACTAGGGCACGATGGTTCACACCTGTCCCAGCACTTTGGGAGGCTGAGGCAAGAGGATCACTTGAGGCCAGGAGTTTAAGACCAGCATGGGCAACATAACGAGACCCTGTCTCTACAAAAAAATTTAAAATGAACTTAAATTTTTTTTAATTTTTAAAAAGCTTAGCGCAAGTGGAGTCATTCTAGAAAGGTGATGCTAATGATTAGTACCTATATGGTATTTACTATGAACCAATCACTGTTCAAAACACCTTATTTATATTTATTCACTTAAATCCAGCAACAACCCTTTGAGCTAGATGCTATTATTAATTTTGTTTTACAGAGGCAGCAACCAAGGCACAGAGAGGCTAAGAAACTTGCCCAGATCACACAGTTAATGCATGGCACATCTAGAATTTCTAGAGTCTAGAACCAGCCAGGATGGCCTCTCAAACTCTATCTTATACAGACTATCTATTGATATTAGATGAATTTTTTTTTTTTTTTTGAGACAGAATCTCACTGTGTCACCCAGGCTGGAGTGCAGTGGCACGATCTCAGCTCACTGCAGCCTCCAACTCCCGGGTTCCAGTGATTCTCCTGCCTCAGCCTCCCAAGTAGCTGGGATTACAGGCACATGCCACCATGCCCAACTAATTTTTGTAATTTTAGTAGAGATGGCGTTTCGCCATGTTGGCCAGGCTGGTCTCGAACTCCTGACTTCTGGTGATCCGCCTGCCTTGGCCTCCTAAAGTGCTGGGATTACAGGCATGAGTCACCGCACCCAGCCTTAGGTGAATTCTTAATACTGGTTAAATGAGAATAACTACATGACCTTTCTTAGAGACTACAAGAATATTTAACAAAATTCAATATCCAGTATTGATATGATAAAAACATATTTAAGTTTAAAAATAGCATCTTGTTTAATGTTGCACACTAGAAGCATTTTCCATTAAAGTCAGGAACAGGGTAAGAGAAATAATATTTCCACTTATTTAATATTATTCTAGGTATATAAAGATAAAAAATACAAATTTTAAGAATTACAAAGTGGAGACAACATAATGACTATTTGCAGGTAATATGATTGCATATCTAGCCAATCCAAGAGTACTCCTGGAAAGTCTCTCATAAACAATGAGTTAAGTCAGTAATGTAGTTGGTTACACAATCAACAGCACTTCTATGTTTCAGGGAAAAAGCTAGGAAACAAAATGGAAGAAAACCTTGTACTTAAAATAGCACCAACGCTCACACTTACAACATCAGCAACAACAAAAATGTAGGAAAATGAAAGAAGAAATAAATGAAAATACACACTTTGTTCATCAATTAGAAGATTTCATGATGTAAAGATGCACATTCTCCCTAAATTAAACTTAACCTTTAATTTTATATCAATAAAAATACATTATGAGGTTTTTTTGGAAGTAGCCTCATTGAGTCTAAAGTTCAAATGGAAAAATAAACAAGTGAGGCTAGCCAGGAAAATTTTGAAAAAGGAAAGTAATAAAAAAGAATTAACCCTCCTAGGTATTGAAGCACATTATAAAGCTACATTTATATTTTTAAAAGTTTAGTACTTGGCCGGGCGCAGTGGCTCACGCCTATAATCCCAGCACTTTGGGAGGCCGAGGTGGGTGGATCACGAGGTCAGGAGATCGAGACTATCCTGTCTAACACGGTGAAACCCCATCTCCACTAAAAATACAAAAAATAAAATTAGCCGGGCGTAGTGGCGGGCGCCTGAAGCAGGAGAATGGCGTGAACCCAGGAGACGGAGCTTGCAGTGAGCCCAGATCGCGCTACTGCACTCCAGCCTGGGTGACAGAGCGAGACTCTGTCTCAAAAAAAAAAAAAAAAAAAAAGTTTCGTACTTGTGCATGAAAAGAAAAGCAGATTAATGAAGCAGATTAGAATCTAGAAATAGACCCAAATACATTTGAGAAGCTACTAAATGGTAAAACCATATTTGAAATCAGAGAGAAAAAAATAAAATTAGGCAGTGCAGTAATTGCTGTTAGAGTAATTGGCTAGCCATTTGAAAAACTTAAGTTAAAGCTGGATGCCTGTCTGATTCCTTACGCCAAATAAATTCCAGACAGATAAACGATGTATTTATTTATTTATCTATTTTTATTTATGTATTTATTTATTTATTTATTTATTTTGAGACAGGGTTACTCTGTCACCCAGGCTGGAGTGCAGTAGCACGATCTCAACTCATTGCGGTCTCTGTCTCCAGGGTGCAAGAGATCCTCCTTCCTCACCCTCCTGAGTAGCTAGGGCCACAGGTGCATGCCACCACACTTGGCTAATTTTTGTATTTTTAGTAGAGACAGGGTTTCAACATATTGGCCAGGCTGGTCTCAAACTCCTGACCTCAAGTGATCCACCTGCTTTGGCCTACCAAAGTGCTAGGATTACAGGCATGTGCCACCGCATCCAGCCAGATAAACAATTTAAATGTAAATAAATAAAACAGGATGAAAGGGGAACATGGGCGCACACACACACACACACACACACACACACATCTTAAATAAGAGAAAATCTTTCTAAGCCAGACACAAAACTCAGATGCTAAAAAGAAAAAATTAGCTACATAAAATTCAAAATAGCTGCACAGTATAAAAATACCATAGGCTAAATTAAAAGGTAGGTAACAAGCTAGGAGAAATGTTTCTACAATTCATGCAACAGACGAAGAATAAATGTCCTTAATAAACAAAGAGCTCTTATAATTAAAAAGAAAAAATATGAATAGTTTTTAAATTGGGCAAAGAATGATGTAGCTCACAAAAAAAGAAATATAAATTGCTCATAAATACATAAAAACACACAAAAAATTTCTCAACCTTACTAGTGACTAAAGACATACAAATTAAAGTGAGATGAGTTGGCAAAGATAGTGTTAAATAATGGCCACAATGGGCCAGTGCGGTGGCTCACGCCTGTAATCCCAGCACTCTGGGAGGCCAAGGTGGGTAGACGTCTTGAGGCCAGGAGTTCAAGACCAGCCTGGCCAACATGTCAAAACCCTGTCTCTACAAAAAATACAAACATTAGCCCGGTGTGATGACACGTGCCTGTAATCTCAACTGCTCAGAAGGCTGAGGTGGGAGGACTGCTTGAGTCTGGGAGGTGGAGATTGTAGTGAGCTGAGATCGTGCCACTGCACTGCAGCCTGGGTGACAGAGTGAGACTCTGTCAAAAAAAAAAAAACACACACACACACAATGAGTGAGAGCAGAACAAGCAGGTGCTTTCATAAATTGCTGGTGAGGATGAAAACTGACATGCTCTTCGTTTTTGTTTGGTTGGTTTTTGGGGGTTTTGGTTACTGTAACTTTTTCCAGTAGTTTTTGGGGTACAGGTGGTTTTTGATTACATGGATGAGTTTTTTTTTTTTTTGAGACGGAGTCTCGCTCTGTCGCCCAGGCTGGGGTGCGGTGGCGCGATGTCAGCTCACTGCAAGCTCCACCTCCCAGGTTCACGCCATTCTCAGGCCTCAGCCTCCTGAATAGCTGGGTCTACAGGCACCCGCCACCACGCCCGGCTAATTTTTTTGTATTTTTAGTAGAGACGGGGTTTCACCATGTTAGCCAGGATGGTCTCGATCTCCTGACTTGGTGATCCGCCAGTCTCGGCCTCTCAAAGTGCTGGGATTATAAGCGTGAGCCACCGCCCCCAGCCATGGATGAGTTCTTTAGTGGTGAATTCTGAGACTTTGGTGCACCCGTCACCCTAGCAGTGTACAGTGTACACTGTCTCCAATATGTAGTCTTTTGTCTCTCACCCACCTTCCAACCTCCCCCTTCGAGTCCCCAGAGTCCATTATATGGCTCTGTATGTTTTTGCATCCTCATAGCTTAGCTCCCATTTATAATTGAGAACATACCGTATTTGGTTTTCCATTTCTGACTTACTTCACTTAGAATAATGGCCTTCGGTTCCAACCAAGTTGCTGCAAAAGACATTATTTTGTTTCTCTTCGTGGCTCAGTAGTATTCCATGATACACATATGCCATATTTTCTTTATCCGCTGATTGGTCAGTGGGCATTTAGGTTGGTTCCATAGCCTTGCAATTGTGAATTGTGCTGCCATAAACGTAAGTGTGCATGTGTCAGCCAAGCACAGTGGCTCACGCCTGTAATCCCAGCACTTTGGGAGGCTGAGGCAGGCAGATTGCCTGAGGTCGGGAGTTCGAGACCAGCCTGATCAACATGGAGAAACCCCGTCTCTACTAAAAATACAACAATTAGCCGGGCGTGGTGGTGCATGCCTGTAATTCCAGCTACTCGGGAGGCTGAGGCAGGAGAATTGCTTGAACCCAGGAGGTGGAGGTTGCGGTGAACCGAGATCATACCATTGCACTCCAGCCTGGGCAACAAGAGTGAAACTCTGTCTCAAAAAAAAAAAAATGTTTGGGTGTGACTTTTTCATATAATGACTTCTTTTCCTTTGGGTAGATACCCAGTATTGAGATTGCTGGATTAAATGGTTGATCTACTTTTAGTTCTAAATTTAAGGAATCTCCATACTGTTTTCCATTGTGGTTTTACTAATTTACATTCCCACCAGCAGTGACGCACTCTCCTTGAAAGGCAAATTAACATTTTTGATCACATTTTAAAATGTTCATTGAGTTTCAGGTCAAGGCTAAGTGAGGAAAAATAAATAAAATGTTTATATTGGCCAGGCCTGGTGGCTCACACTGTAATCTTAGCACTTTGGGAGGCTGAGGTAGGTGGATCGCTTAGAGGCCAGGAGTTCCAGTCCAGCCTGGGCAACATAGAAAGACCCCATCTCTACCAAAAATACAAAAATTAGCTGGGCATGGTGGCACAAGCCTGTAGTCCCTGCTATGCGGGAGGCTGAGGCAGGAGGATCACTTGAGCCCAGGAGGTCGAGACTGCAGTGAGCTATGATTACACTATTGCGTGCCAGCCTGGGCAACAGAACAAGACCCTGTCTCAAAAAAAAAAAAAAAAAGAAGTTTATATTCTTTGACTCGGCTATTCCACTTCGATGATTCTCTGTCACAGGTGTCTTAAATACATGAACAAAGGTATAAATTTTTTTTAAATTTGTAAATATGCTGGGCGCAGTGGTTCACACCTGTAATCCCAGCACTTTGAGAGCCCAAGGCAGGCAGAGCACCTGAGGTTGGGCGTTCAAGACCAGCCTGACCAACATGGAAAAACCGTCTCTACTCAAAATACAAAATTAGCCAGGCGCAGTGGCACATGCCTGTAATCCCAGCTACTCAGGAGGCTGACTCAGGAGAATCCCTTGAACCCAGGAGGTGGAGGTTGCAGTGAGCCGAGATCGCGCCATTGCACTCCAGCCTGGGCAACAAGAGCGGAACTTCATCTCAAAAAAAAAAAAAAAATTGTAAACACAAACTAACATAAAAGTTCAAAGCACAGAAAAAATAACTTTTTTCCTCAACAAAATAAGAGTTCATTGTTGGCCAGGCATGGCATGGTGGCTCACACCTGTAGTCCCAGCACTTCGAGAGGCTGAGGCAGGAGGATCACTGGAGCCCAGGAGTTCAAGACCAGCCTGGGCAACATAGAAAGGTGCCATCCCTACAAAAAACAGAAAAATTGGCTAGATGTGGTGGTGCACGCCTGTAGTCCTGCAGTGTAGTTTATGTGAGAATTCTTCATCTTTGACAGGAGCAGCACAGGGCTAATGCTGTGCTCTTCTTATTGCATCCTACTAAGCAGTGCTAGATTTCATTTGTTCCAATCCTGATGACATTCACTTTGATCACTCAATTAGGGTGGTATCTGTTTTTCCTTTTTAATTTAGAAGCATTTTGTTGGAGGTGTTTTGCAATTACTTAAATATTATTTTTGTTTCTCATCAAACTTTTTTTTTTTTTGAGATGAAGTCTCACTCTGTCGCCCAGGCTGGTGCGATCGTGGCTCACTGCAACCTCCGCCTCCCGAGTTCAAGTGATTCTCCCTGCTTCAGTCTCCTTAGTAGCTGGGATTACAGGCACCCACCACCATGCCCGGCTAATTTTTTTTTTTTTTTAGATGGAATCTCGCTCTGCCGCCCAGGCTGGAGTGCAGTGGTGCGATCTCAGCTCACTGCAACCTCCACCTCCCGGGTTCAAGGGATTCTCCTGCCTTAGCCTCCCGAGTAGCTGGGACTACACGCATGTGCCACCACACCGGGCAAATTTTTTGTATTTTTAGTAGAGACTGGGTTTCACCGTGTTAGCCAGGATGGTCTCAATCTCCTGACCTCGTGATCCACCTGCCTCGGCCTCCCAAACTGCTGGGATTACAGGCGCGCATTGCACCTGGCCAAATTTTTGTGTTTTTAGTAGAGATAGGGTTTCACCAGGTTGGCCAGGCTGGTCTCGAACTCCTGACCTCAAATGATCATCCCGCCTCGGCCTCCCAAATTGCTGGGATTACAGGCGTGAGCCACCGCGCCTGGCCCTCATCAGACTTTTTTTGAGGCAGCTTTATTGAGTCACATATTTAAAGTGTGTAATTTAATAAATTTTGACATATATAGAGAGAGCTGTGAAATGATCGTCACAATAAAGAAAACAAACATATCCATCATCCCCAAAAGTATTTTCCTCCGTTTTTGTAATCTTTTCCTCTCACCCTTCCCCTGCAATCTCCCCATCCCCAGGCACCACTGACATTCTTTCTATGACTATAGAATAATTTGCATTTTCTAGACTTTTGTATAAATTAAATCATGCAATCTGTCCTTTTGGGGGAGTCTGGGTTCTTTCTCTCAGTATTATTATTTTGAAATTCATCCATGTTATGTATTTAAATAGTTCCTTTTTATTGCTGAGTAGTATTCCATTATATGGACCTTTCATTTTATGTGACTTAGCTGACTTTAAACTTACATTCTGGCTATTGTTGTCTATTTGTCCCATTTGTTCTTCATTTCTGTTTTCCTTTTTTTGTTTTTGCATACTTTTTATTTATTTTATTTTATCATTTTTAAAAATAGAGATGGAATCACACTATGTTGCCCGGGCTAGTCTCAAACTCCTGGGCTCAAGCGATCCTCCTGCCTCAGCCTCCCAAATTGCTGGGATTACAGGGATGAGCTGCTATGCCTGGCTTCTTTCTTAATATTTTTAGTTCAGTAATTTTTATGATTCAATTTTATTCCTTTGAAGACTGCCAAGACCATTCAATGGGGGGAAACATCTTTCAGCAAATGGTCCTGCGAAAACTAAATATGCACATGCAGGAGAATGAAGTTGGATCCTTACCTAATACCATTTTATTCCTTTGTTAGTTTATGAACTGTAACTTTTTTTGTTTTTAAGAGAGACTCGGTGTTCCTGTGTCTCCAAGGCTGGAGTGCAGTAGCATGATCATAGACCACTGCAACCTCAAGCGATCCTCCTGCCTTGGCCTCCCAAAGGGCTGAGATTACAGGCATGAGCCACCACACCCGGCTGCTGTAACACATATTGTGTTATTTTGCTGGTTGGGGTGGGGCTTATATATACATTCTTAGCTTATCATAGTCTACCCTTAAACAATAGCATACCCCTTGGTAAATAGATCATATGACAAGATTTCTATTTCTCTCGTTCTAGTTTTTTGTGCTGTTATTGTCTTACATTTTAACTCTGTATATGTTGTAAACGCCTCAGTACATTTGTATTATTTTTGTTTAAAACAGTCAATTCTCTTTAATGACATTTAGATAATAAGAAAAATGTTTCATATTTACCTGTGTAGATAACATTCTTTCATGTATACTTAGATTTCCGTCTCATATCATTTTCCTTCTCTCTGAAGAAGTTTATTTTACGAAGTTAATTTTACCCTTTTTGTTGGTAATACAATCTGCTGGTGACCATTCCTTCAGATTCTCTATGCTTGAAGAATCTTTATTTCTGTTCTGTTTTATTTTGTTTCGAGACAGGGTCTCGCTCTGTCACCCAGGCTAGAGTGCAGTGGCACAAACACGGCTAACTGCAGCCTCAATCTCCTGGGCTCAAGGGCTCCTCCCAGCTCAGCCTCTTGAGAATTTGGGGCCATAGTTATGTGCCACTGTGTGTGTGTGTGTGTGTGTGTGTGTGTGTGTGTGTGTGTGTGTGTGTGTATAGAGGTGAGGGTCTCACTATGTTGCCCAGGTTGGTCTTGAACTCCTGGGTTCAAGCAGTCCTCCCATTTCAGCCTCCCAAAGAGTTGGGATTACAGGTGTATGCCACTGTGCCAGCCCAAGAGTCTACATTTCATTTTCAATTTTGAAAGTACTTTTGCAGGTAATAAAAAATCTCAGCTGGATGCAGTGGCTCTTGCCTGTAGTCCCAGCACTTTGGGAGGCCAAGTGGCTGGATCACTTGAGGCCAGGAGTTCGAGACCAGCCTGGGTAACATGGCAAAACCCCGCCTCTACTAAAAATACAAAAATCAGCTGAGCATGATGGCAGGCACCTGTAGTTCCAGCTACTCAGACAACTGAAGCACAAGAATTGCCTGAACCTGGGAGGCAGAGGTTGCAGTGAGCAGAGATCATGCCAGTGCACTCCAGCCTGGCTGACAGAGTAAAACTCTGTCTAAAACAAACAAACAAACAAACAAACAAACAAACAAAAAAATATATATATATATATGTTACCTTTTTTCTTTTAATGCTTGAAATATGTTGCTCTATTGTTTACTCACTTGCAGTGTTTCTAATGGGAAGTCTGCTGTCATCCTTACCTTTACTCTTGGGTCTATAACATGCCTTGTCTCTGGCTACTTTTAAGATTTTCTCTTAATCATTGTTTTTATTTTAGTTTAGTTTAGTTTTATTTTTTTTTTGAGACAAAGTCTCACTCTGTCACCCATCTTGGAGTGCAGTGGCATGATCTTGGCTTACTGCAACCTCTGCTTCCCAGGTTCAAGTGATTCTCCTGCCTCAGCCTCCTGAGTAGCTGGGACTACAGGTGTGTGCTACAACTCTGTTCAATCTTTGTATTTTCAGTAGAGATGGGGTTTCGCCATGTTGGCCAGGCTGGTCTTTAATGCCTGACCTCAGGTGATCCACCCGCCTCAGCCTCCCAAAGTGCTGGGATTACAGGCGTGAGGCAGCGCACTTGGCCATTAATCATTGTTTTTAAACGATTCAATTATGATTTGCCTTGGTGTCATTTTCTTCACATTGTGTGGGTATGTGTGTGTCTGTTTGGGGCTTGCTGACATTGTTGGATCTGTGGTTTATAGTTTTCATGAAACTTGGAGAAAATTGTACTATTATTTCTTTAAATCCTTCTTTTAGTCCCTTGTTCTCTCATTTAGGGTCTCCTATAACCCATATAGGTTGTTCCACAGCTCACTGGTGATCTGTTCATTTCACATTGGGGCTTTTTTTCCTGTCTTCTTCGCTTTAGATAGTTTCTTCTGCTATGTCATCAGATTCACTGATCTTTTCTTCTGCAGTGCCTGATTTGCTGTTAATCTTTTTTTTTTTTTTTTTTTTTTTTGAGATGGAGTCTCACTCTGTCGCCCAGGCTGGAGTGCAGTGGCGCAGTCTTGACTCACTGCAAGCTCCGCCTCCCAGGTTCACACCATTCTCCTGCCTCAGCCTCCCGAGTAGCTGGGACTACAGGTGCCCACCACCAAACCCGGCTAATTTTTTTTTAGTAGAGATGGGGGGTTTCACTGTGTTAGCCAGGATGGTCTCGATCTCCTGACCTGGTGATCTACCTGCCTTGGCCTCCCAAAGTGCTGGGATTACAGGCATAAGCCACTGCGCCCAGCCTGCTGTTAATCTTATCCAATTCTGTGCTTTTTTCTTCTCAGACATTGTAGTTTTTACCTCCAGAAGTTTAAGTCTTTCTTTCTAAAATATCTTTCAGGGCTTTGCTTAACTTTTAGGATATATGAAATACAGCTCTAATAACTGTCTTGATGTCCTTTTCTTCTAATTTTAGCACCTGTGTCATTTCTGGGTCAGTTTCAAAGAGCAAAATTTTCTCCTCATTTCAATAATATTTTCCTACTTTTTTGCTTATCTGGTACATTGTAGTTTTTTTGTTTTTTTTTTTTTCTGGGATGGAGTCTTGCTCTGTCACCCAGGCTGGAGTGCAGTGGCGTGATCTCGGCTCACTGCAAGCTCCACCTCCCGGGTTCACGCCATTCTCCTGCCTCAGCCTCCCGAGTAGCTGTGACTACAGGCACCTGCCACCACACCCGGCTAAGTTTTTGTATTTTTAGTAGAGACGGGGTTTCACCGTGTTAGCCAGGATGGTCTCGATCTCCTGACCTCATGATCTGCCTGCCTCAGCCTCTGTAGTTTTTATATTTATATAAATGTTCTACAGATTTGTTCTGGAATACACTTAATTACTTGAATGCAGCTTGAATCTTTTAGAAATCCCTTCCTTTTAAAACTTTTATTTTTTAATTTTTTGTAGAGACAAGATCTCACTTTATTGTCCAGGATGGTCTTGAACTTCTGAGCTCAGGTGATGCTCCTGCCTCAGCCTCCCAAATTGCTGTGATTACAGGCATGAGCCACCATACCTGGCCAGAAATTCCTTTTAAGCCTTGTTGGGCACAACCAGAGCAGCATCTGTTAAGAGTTAACTTTGTCCCACCACTGATGCAAAACCCTCCTAAGTACCATACCTAATGTCTGTGAATTACAAGGTTTTCTACTCTGCCTGATGGGATCAGAAATTATTCCAAGCTCTCTGTGAGTCCCAGATACTGTTCCTTCTAATCATTTTGGGTGGTTCTTTTCCATTCTTGAGTAGTTTCTTTTTTTTTTTTTTTTCTTTTTTTTTAATTAAGACGGAGTCTCACTCTGTCTCTCAGGCTGGAGTGCAGTGGCATGATCTTGGCTCACTGCAACCTCCGCCTCCCAGATTCAAGTGATTCTTCTGCTTCTGCCTCCCAAGTAGCTGGGACTACAGGTGCATGCCACCAAGCCTGGCTAAATTTTTTCATATTTTTAGTAGAGACGGGGTTTCCCTATGTTGGCCAGGCTGGTCTCAAACTCTTGGCCTCAAGTGATCTGCCCACCTTGGCCTCCCAAAGTGCCGGGATTACAGGCATGAGCCACTGTGCCTGGCCCATTCTTGAGTAGTTTTATGGCATGCATGTACTACACAGTTTTTAGCTAAAGACCCAAGCATGACCATCCATAGATCTCTGGAATTCTCTATCTGTGTGGTTCTCTCCTCTTTGGTACTCTGACCTGCAAACTAGCCACTTTGGTCTCTACAGACACCGAGATACATTGCTTCAACTCAAGAAGTCCACTGTGCTTGGGTTTTCCCTTCCTGTGCCACTGTACCAGTACCTGGAAACTCTCCTCAAGCAGTAATCTAGGGCAACCATTAGGTCCACCTCATTTCTTTCCCATCTCTTGGGGCTCACTGTCCTCCTTTGCTTGATGTCTAATGTTTTGAAAACAGTTGTTTTATAAATTTTGTCTGCATTTTTAGCCGTTTCAGGAGGGAGGGGTAAATACAGTTCCAGTTACTTCATGTTGGCTGGAAACAGAAACTGTTATTCCTCATCAAACATATAATGAATGGGCTGGGTGCAGTGGCTCACGCCTGGAATCCCAGCACTTTGGGAGTCCAAGGCGGGTAGATTACTTGAGGCCAGGAGTTTGAGACAAGCCTGAGCAACATGGTGAAAACCCACCTCTACAAAAAATACAAAAATTAGCCGAGCGTGATGGTGCACGCCTGTAGTCCCAGCTACTTGGGGAGCTGAGGCAGAAGGGCCATTTGCACCTGGGAGGTAGTCAAGGCTACCATGTTCACGCCACTGCATTCCAGCTTGGGTGACAAAGTGAGACCGTCTCTCAAAAGAAAAAAAAGTCTGGGCATGGTGGCTCGCACCTGTAATCCTAGCACTTTGGGAGGCTGAGGCGGGCAGATCACAAGGTCAAGAGATAGAGACCATCCTGGCCAACATGGTGAAACCCCGTCTCTACGAAAAATACCAAAAATTAACTGGGCATGGTGGTGCACACCTGTAGTCCAGCTACTCGGGAGGCTGAGGCGGGAGGATCACTTGAACCTGGGGGCAGAGGTTGCGGTGAGCCAAGATCGTGCCACTGCACTCCAGCCTGACAACAGAGTGAGACTCCATCTCAAAAAAAAAAAAAGAAAAAAAAAAAAAAGAAAACTTGAATGAATGAATAGATGAACTGATTAATAAATGAATACATTTATTTCTGTCTGTATAGATACACAGTTTCCTATGTTATTGTGATAATTGCTATTATTTATTTATTTATTGAGACAGGGCCTCACAATGTTGCCCAGAGCTGGAGTGCAGTGGTGCAATCACGGCTCCTTGCAGCCTTGATCTCCTGGACTCAAGTGAACCTCCCTGACCAGCCTCCCAAGTAGCTAGGACTACAGGCATGAGTCACTGTACCTGGCCTCATTATTTATTTTAATGTTCAAGTTATCCTCTACTTAATCAGTAGGTATAAGAATCATTACATATAAGAATGCTTAATGTAGCATTTCTCCAATTCTCCAATGTACATTCTCCAATGTAGCAAAATTCATAGACTGAGAGCAAAGGAGGACAGCCTCTAAGGAAAAGCTGGGCGCCATTATCAGAAAAAGTAGGGAAGCAACCAATGATTATTTTAGCAATGAATATCCAAAGGACCTAATAAGAGGCAGAAGTACCCACTTTATCCTCGGTGAAACAATGAATGTGCCTGTGGTGGATCTGGCGGCAGGCCCGAGCATCATGGAAAGAATGTTATTTGCATTTGTCAGATAAAGCAAAACCCAGGAGATCCCAGAGACCACACAGAAGTCTAGGAGAATCCAATTCTTGCTGACAGTCATGATATTAACAAACAGGGTAAGAAACTGGAGAACAACGATGCTTGTTGTCACGTCATTTAACTCCTTGGAAGAAAGACAAGGTTCATCTTTTTTTTTTTCTTTTTTTTTTTTTTTTTTTGAGAAGGAGTTTTGTTCTGTCACCCAGGCTGGAGTGCAATGGTGCCACCTCGGCTCACTACAACCTCTGCCACCTGGGTTCAAGCAATTCTCCTGCCTCAGCCTCCCAAGTAGCTGGATTATAGGCGCGTGCCACCACCCCCAGCTAATTTTATATTTTTAGTATTTTTAGTAGAGACAGGGTTTCCCATGTTGGCCAGGCTGGTCTCGAACTCCTGATCCCTGGTGATCCACCCACCTCAGCCTCCCAAAGTGCTGGGACTACAGGCATGTGCCCCCACGGCCTGCCTGTTCATTCTTCGTATTCAACAAATATGAATTCCAAACTTAATACTTCCCAGGCACTACTCTAGGTACTGGAGAATACAACACTGAATGCAGCAGACAAGTCTCCACTCCCAGAAGCCTTCTCTGCTGGCAGTGCCTGGATAAAATGAGTTATCTCACGAGAGCATGTGAGATTCCAGCCCTAAATGCTCAAGGCGTTCTTTTCAGAGGACTGTGTTTCCACCTGAATAGGAGGGGGCAGGAATGATAGCTATATTTCTATTGGTACTTGACTCACATCTGTATTCTTATGAGATCCAGAGCATTTCAGGGAAGGCTTACCAAGGGAGGTAGCATTTGAACTGGGCTTTGAAGCAGGAGTTTGTTAGGTAGACATAATAGGAGAGGACTTCCATTCAGAGGAAATAACATGTTCAAGTCATAGAGGCTTTGAAAAACACAATAAACTAGTAATAATTCACTATTGCTGAAGCACAATATAGGGATTGTCAGAAATATGCCAGGTTAGGTAGCAAGAGTTCTTGAAGAATCTTTTACGCTACACAAGGGGTTTCAGGTATAATTCTATAGAATGTAGCCATTCAAGAATTCATAGCACCAGCAGGACCTTATCAGATTAACTAGTTAGAAAGACCTCTTTGGTGGTGATGTGGATTTCTGGATTGAGAGAGATAAGCAGGCTGGGTGCAGTAGCTCACACCTGTAATCCCAGCACTTTGGGAGGCTGAGGCGGGCGGATCACCTGAGGTCAGGAGTTTGAGACCAGCCTGTCCAATATGGTGAAACTGCGTCTCTACTAAAAATACAAAAATTAGCCGGGCATGGTGGTGGGTGTCTGTAATCCCAGCTACTCAAGAGGCTGAGGCAGGAGAATTGCTTGAACCCAGGAGGCGGAGGTTGCAGTGAGCCGAGATCGCACCACTGTACTCCAGCCTGGGTGACAGAGCAAGACTCTGTCTCCAAAAAAAAAAAAAGAAAAGAAAAAGGAAAAAAAGAGATAAGCAGACTATGGAAAATTATTTATTCATTTAATAAGTATTATTGAGGGCCTAATATGTACTAGGCATTGTGCTAGAGGTGGAGATGTACTGATGACTAGGCAGATATGGCCTTTGCTCTCCTGGCGCTTACAAAAAAATCAGGAGTACCAAAGATTAAACAAAGCCAGGGGCAGTGGCAGACACTTGTAATCATAGCACTTTGGGAGGCCAGGGTGAGAGGATCATTTAGGCTCAGGAGTTCAAGAGTTTGAGACTGGGCAACGTAGGGAGATCCTATCTCTACAAAAAATTTTAAAAATCAGTTGGTGCTGGGCTTGCTGGCTCACGCTTGTAATCCCAACACTTTGGGAGGTGGGTAGATCACCTGAGGTCAGGAGTTCAAGACCAGCCTGGCCAACATAGTGAAACCCCATCTATACTAAAAATATAAAAATTATCTGGGTGTGGCGACAGGTCCCTGTAATGCCAGCTACTCAGGAGGCTGAGGGTGAGAATCACTTGAACCTGGGAGGCAGAGGTTGCAGTGAGCTGCAGTCATGCCACTGTACTCTAGCCTGGGTGACAGAATGAGACCCTATCTCAAAAAAATTAAAAAAATAAAAAAAAAATAAAAATTAGTTGAGTGTGGTAGTGTCCGTCTGTAGTCCCAGCAACTCAGGAGGTTGGGGCAGGAGGATCACTTGAGCCCAGGAGTTCAAGGCTGCAGTGAGCTATAATTGCACCATTGCACTCAAGCTCAGGCAACAGAGTGAGACCTTGTCTCAAAAAAAAAAAAAAAAATTTAAACAAGCGACAGTAATATTTCATTAGAAATGTGATGAATGCTATGAAGGTGTAGAGGATGTCTTTAGAATATATAACTGGGAGGGAGACCTTTTGAGTTAAGGCAGGTGCTGGTCAGGAAAGTCCTGAGGAAGTTACATTTGGATTGAGAGGGGAAAGATGAGGAGGAGCAGGCTTGCCTGAGGCATGGTAGGCAAGAGAGAAGGACTATAAGATAACATCAGGGAGATGTTATAGAACATGTTAAAGGTATCAGGCTTTAAATCGAGAGCCCTGGAAATCCTTTCTACTATTTTAAGCAGAAAAGAAGATGATCTCACTTTTCCTTTTCAGAAAAATTACCACTCTGGCCAACATAACAAGGCCCTGTCTACAAATAATAATAATAAACATTAGCCAGGCATGGCAGCTCACACCTGTAGTCCCAGCTACTCAGGAGGCTGAGGCAGGACGATCACTTAAGCCTGGGAATTGGAGGCTGCAGTGAGCTGTGATCACACCCGTCTGGGTGACACAGCTAGACCTTGTCTCAAAAAAAGAAAAAGAGGTCAGGTGTGGGGGCTCAAGCCTGTAATCCCAGCACTTTGGGAGGCCAAGACAGGCAGATCACCTGAGGTCAGGAGTTCGAGACCAGCCTGGCCAACATGGTGAAACCCCGTCTCTACTAAAAATACAAAAAAATTAGCCAAGCATGGTGGCAGGCTCCTGTAATCCCAGCTACTCAGGAGGCTGAGGCAGGAGAATCACTTGTGGCTGGGAGGCAGAGGTTGCAGTGAGCCGAGATCATGCCATTGCACTACAGCCTGGGCGAGAAGAGCAAAACTTCATCTCAAAAAAAAAAAAAAAAGAAAGAAAGAAAAAAAAAAAAGAAAAAAGAAAAAGAATTAAGGCTGGGCTGGGCTCAGTGGCTCACGCCTGTAATCCCAGCACTTTGGGAGGCTGAGGCGGGTGGATCACGAGGTCAGGAGATCGAGACCATCCTAGCTAACACAGTGAAACCCCGTCTCTACTAAAACAAACAAACAGAAAAAAAAAAACAAAAAAATTAGCCAGGCATGGTGGCAGGCACCTGTAGTCCCAGCCACTCGGGAAGCTGAGGCAGGAGAATGGCATGAACCCGGGAGGTGGAGCTTGCAGTGAGCCGAGATCATGCCACCGCACCCTAGCCTGGGTGACAGAGCGAGACTGTCTCAAAAAAATTAAGGCTGCTGTATGGAGAACGGTGTTGATGGGCTAAGAATGAACACCTGCAAAGCTGCTGAGGAGAGGCAGCAACTAGAACTCTTGATGAGGTTGAGATGCAACCGGGTACAACCATTTTAGACATGTTTTCTAGTTTCTTATATAGTCAAATATACACTTACCTTGTGATCCAGTAATTCTATTTCTGGGTATTTATCCAAGAGAAATAGAAACACATGCCCACTGTCCACAAAAATAGACTTGTACAAAAACTGTTCATACCAGATTTACTCATAATAGCCCCAAACTGGAAACAACCCAAATGTCAATTAACACAAGGAAGAGGCTGGGTGCGGTGGCTCATGCCTGTAATCCTGGCACTTTGGGAGGCTGAGGTGTGTGGATCCCTTGAGCCCAGGAGTTTGAGACTAGCCTGGGCAACATGATGAAAACCTGTCTCTACAAACAATAATGATAGTAGGGCCAGGTGCCATGCCTTATGCCTGTAATCCCAGCACTTTGGGAGGCTGAGGCGGGTGGATTGCTTGAGCCCAAAGAGTTTGAGATCAGCCCGGACAACGTGGCAAAACCCCATCTCTACAAATAATACAAAAATTAGCCCGGCCTGGTGGTGCATGCCTTTGGTCCCAGCTACTCGTGAGGCTGAGGTGGGAAGATGGCTTCAGCCCGGGAAGTGGATTATTATTATTTTAAAACAAAAGGATGAGTAAACAAACTGTGGTATATCCATTCAACAGAATACTTGGCAGCAATAAAAAGGAACGAACTTAATACACGCAATCATATGAATGACTCTCACAGGCACGTTTAGCAAGAGGAGTCAAGCCCAAAAGAATATACACAGTATGACTTCATTTTTATGAGGATCTAAAACAGACAGCACTAATTTGTGGTGATGTGAATCAGAAAAGCGGTTTCCTGGTGGTAGGTGTCTGTGGGAGGACAACAGGTGAGTCACTGAGAAGGGGCGCGAGGGAATTTTCTGTAGTGATAAAAGTGTTCTATATAGTGATTGTGGTAGTCGCTACATGGGCATATTTATTGGTCAAAATGCATTACATTTTTCACTTTAAAAGTGTGAGTATGCCTGTAACTCCTGTGCTTTGGGAGGCCAAGGTGGGAGGATCACTAGAGGCCAGGCATTGAAGACCAGCCTGAGCAACACAGCAAGAACCCATCTCTATAAAAAGTAATAAAAAATTTAGCTGAGCATGGTGACACACACCTCTCATTCTTGCTACTTGGGAAGCTGAGACGGGAGGATCAGTTGAGCCCAGGAGTTTGAGGCTGCAACGAGCTATGATTATGCCACTACACCCTAGCCTGGGTGACAGAGCAAGACCCCAACTATTTATTTATTTATTTACTTATTTATTTATTTATTTATTTTGAAACAGAGTCTCACTCTGTCGCCCAGGCTGGAGTGCAGTGGCATGATCTTGGCTCACTGTAACCTCCACTCCCGGGTTCAAGTGATTCTCTACGTCAGCCTCCCAAGTAGCTGGGATTACAGGCACCCGCCACCACACCCGGCTAATTTTTGTATTTTTAGTGGAGACAGGGTCTCACCATGTTGGTCAGGCTGGCCTTGAACTCCTGACCCCAAATGATCCACCTGCCTCGGCCTCCCAAAGTGCTGGGATTACAGGTGTGAGCCACAACTCTTAAATAAAGTGTGACTTTTATTGTATACGAATTATACCACCACAACAAAAAAGAGGCAAAGAGAATGAATCTTTGGAGTTTTAGGGGTGTTCTACGGTATGGCAGTGGAGAAACACAGGAAGAGAAGACAAAGAAAGCAGATTAGAGACCAGACGAGTTGCTTATACATTGCATGAGAGGCAGGGAAGAGTCAGAACTAACACTTAGGTTTCTGGCTGGGGCAGCTAAGTGACTGGTGGTGTTATTACCGACTTGGGGGAAAACTGGGAAAGGGTCAGGTCCATATAGGGTGTTGGTTGGGTCAAGGGAGGAATGAGGAGGCTAAATTTTGACATGTCAGCCTGAAATACCCAGGAGATATTACGTGGGCCCATTATGCCACACTCATCCTGTTTCTCTCTTGCCTTGCTGGTTTCTTCATTACAGTATCAGATTTTCCAGGATTCATTCCTTGGCTCTTCTCATCCTCCACAGCAATGGTTCTCAATAAGTAACACTTCACCTCCACTCCGCAGAGGGTTTGGGGGAAATGACTGCAGTGTTTTTGGTTGAGGGGAGATGTGTGCTATTAAGAGTCCATGGTGGCAGGGCGCAGTGGCTCATGCCTGTAATCCCAGCACTTTGGCAGGCTGAGGCAGGAGGATCACCTGAGGTCAGGGGTTCAAGATGAGCCTGGCCAACATGGTGAAACCCTGTCTCTACTAAAAATACAAAAATCAGCTGGGTGTGGTGGCATGAGTTTGTAATCTCAGCTACCTGGGGGGCTGAGACAGGAGAATTGCTTGAACCCAGGAGGTGAAGGTTGCAGTGAGCCAAGAACGTACCACTGCACTCCAGACTGGGTGACAGAGCAAGACTCTGTCAAAAAAAAAAAAAAAGTCAGTGGCTAGAAGTTGTGGATGCTGGACAGAGTTAATTCCACAAAATGAGGAATTCCTCCCTCACTGGACATTCACACAGGTAAAAGGGATGTTTATAATTATCTGAATACCTAACTTTTTTTTTTGTTCCATTTTAATTATTGCAAAATTTCCAGTAATGCAATTATCACATAAATTGAGAGACAACTGTTTCTATTTGTTCAGAACTTGACTGAGAGTTGTTCTCCATTCCAGAAAAATTATGTCTTCAGCATAACTACAGTTCTTGATGTGTGAGTAATCAATTCATCACTGCTGTGACTATTTATAGTAGTGATAGTACACATAGGTGTCAAGACCTAGCTACCCCACTGCATCTTCTAGTGTAGACCTCTTCCAAACATTTACATAATGAAAGACATTTTATTTTATTATGGTTACTTTTATTTCTCTTTTATATCAGAGATGTCAATATGTATGTATTGTGAAATTATGTCTTAGGTAAATTAAGACATAATTATCCATGATTATCATGTTGGGATAGAAAGAGGTGGTGTTACAAAACATTTGTTATCAAAAGGGGTATAGGATATAATATGGTTAAGAAAAACAGTTCTGTAATGTAGCGGGCTCTGGAAGCAAATCATTTGAGTGTTTGTTTGTTTGTTTGTCTGTTTTATCATTTACTATTTTAATATGACATTGAGCAAGTTAATTACCCCCATCTGCAAAGTGGGGATAATATTTCTACCTCACATGGCTATGTGAAAGCAACAATTAATAATTAATTAATATTTGTGAAGCACTTAGAACAGAGCCTGACTGGCACATATTAACTTTCAAATACATTTTAGTTAAATAAGATAAATACACTTGGCTGTGCGTGGTGGCTCACACCTGTAATCCCAGCACTTTGGGAGGCCGAGGCAGGCGGATCACCTGAGCTCAGGAGTTGGAGACCAGCCTGGGCAACATGGTGAAACCCCATCTCTACAAAAAATACAAAAAGTAGCCAGGTGCAGTGACTTGCGGCTGTAGTCTCAGCTACTTGAGGCTGAGGTGGGAGGATCACTTGAGCCCAGGAGGTGGAGGTTGCAGTGAGCCGAGATCGTGCCACTGCACTCCAGCCAGGGTGACAGAGCAAGACCTTGTTAAAATAAATAATAAATAAATAAATAAATTCTCTCCAGGAACTCATATCCACGTTCATGTTTATACATTACTGTGAAAAAATTTTAAAATTTAAAAATATTATGCATGAGCCTTGCCTAAAAAAAATACCTATATATCTCACAATGCTGTTTGGTAAAGCCTTGGGAGGAAAACAAAATCTTTTCTTCCAAGTACATAATTTCCAAAGTATTAGGCTCATCATTTGCCCTTCTCAGTAAGAGAAGGAGGAGAAGTTAGAGAACATCTTTGTCCTGATAACTTCAAAAGCCACAGGAACAAAGACAAATGGAGAAAAAGGGCTTATTTAAAATTAAATTTGTACAGCGTGTTTCTCTTTACAGGACCTTGTTTCTGGTTCCATTCCTAATGGATTGATGCAAGTAAAATGAAAATGACAACACTAGCAGTTTCATTTATTTATTTATTGAGAAAAGGTCTCACTCTGTCACCCAGACTGGAGTGCAGTAGCATTATCTTGGCTTACTGCAACCTACCCCCTGCCCCAGCCTCAAGCGATCCTCCCACCTCAGCCTCCTGAGTAGCTGGGATTACAGATGCACACCACCACACCTGGCTAACTTTTGTATTTTTAGTAGAGATGGGGTTTTGCCATGTTGCCCAGGCTAGTCTCGAACTCCTGAGCTCCAGCAATCCATTTGCCTCGGTCTGGCAGATTTAAAGCCAAATACAATATGAAGCCTGTTTCCCTCCGCACTGATAACCCACAAATGTAACCATAAATGTAACCCTCCAGCCTGAGACCCCCTCCTCTCCCCCTCCCCAGCTCCTCTCTCCATTCTCAGGTGAAGCTTTACATTTTCAAAGAAACATTCTTTGTTGCATAATCAATGTTGTGTTCCTTTGTTTTACACTTTCTTAGAGCAACATTCCTATCCTTCTGTGCACTTGCCATAGTTTGTAATTATACACTTTTTGTTTGCTTAAGAAAAAAAAAAAATCGGCCAGGCACGGTGGCTCATGCCTAACCCCAGCACTTTGGTAGGCCGAGGCGGGTGATCACTTGAGTCAGGAGTTCGAGACCAGCCTGGCCAACATGGTGAAACCCTGTCTCTACTAAAAATACAAAAATTAGCCAGGTGTAGTGGCACACGTCTGTAATCCTAGCTGCTGGAGAGGCTGAAGCAAGGGAATCGCTTGAACCCGGGAGGCAGAGGTTGCAGTGAGCTGAGATCATGCCACTGCACTCCAGCCTGGGTGACGGAGCAAGACTATGTCTAAAAAAAAAAAAAAACAAATCTGTCTGCCTTGCTAGACTTCATCCACCACTGTAGTTCCTCACAAGAACCAGAGAAGCCAGTCCTAGCACAGTGCCTGGCACATAGTAGGTGCTCAATAAATACTGTGTGAGTGAATTGTCATTTTGGCATTCAGGGGTACACAGGTGAGACAACGGTTAAGGTTTAAATCTGAGAGTAATCTGCATTCAGAGAGTACTTAAATACAAGAGAATAAATGAGATTACCCATCCTAAAGGGAGAGTAGAGAAGGGGGAAGAACAGAAGTCTGGAACAAAGCCTTGGGAGTGGGGAGATCTCCAACATTTATTTGATATAAAACAGAAGATGTTAGCAAAAGATACCAAAAAAAAAAAAAAATGGCTAGAGAGGTAAAAAGAACTCCAGAAGAATATACTGTCAGGATGGCCTAGCAAAGAGATTCTCTTAAGAAGGAGGGAGAGTTAGGTTGTGGCAAATGTAGCTAAGAAGTAAATCAAGATGAGGACAGACATGTTTCCATTGAGTTTGGCACCCTCAAAGTCATTTGCGACCTTCATAAGAGCAGTTTTGCAGGAGGGATGGGGATATCAGGTTAAAGAGAGCTGGGAGAAGGAGGAGAGCCAGTGGAAGGTGCTTGTGTTGAACAGTTTCCCAAGAAAGCATTGTTGGGAACGAGAGCAGAAAAATGGAGCTGGAGAGGAATGACGCATCAAGGGAGTTTTGGGCTTTTTGCTTTTTAATGAAAGTTACTAGAGTTTGTGTGGTGATGGGAAATATTCAGTAGAGAGAATGATTACTTAGTAAAAAGAAAAGATAGTAACAGGAAAAGATCCCTTAGAGGGTCCCACATAAGGAATCAGTGCTGATCTTATATTGTCATTTTTCTTCGATGTATGCACCAAGTTTAAGTAAGAGATAATTTAAAAGTGACTAGCATGACCTCATATAAAACACTCTACATTGCAGCCCAGGAGGGCTCAGATGGGATGTCCAATCACTGTCAACAAACCTTCTGGAAATCACATCTTTTTTTTTTTTTTTTTCCCTAAGGTGGAGTTTCACTGTTGTTGCCCAGGCTGGAGTGCAATGGTGTGATCTCAGCTCACTGCAACCTCTGCCTCCTGGGTTCAAGCGATTCTCCTGCCTCAGCCTCCCAATTAGCTGGGATTACAGGCATGCACCACTATGCCTGGCTAATTTTTTATTTTTACTACAGGCCGGGTTTCCTCATGCTGGCCAGGCTGGTCTCAAACTCCTGACCTCAGATGATCTGCCCACTTCGGCCTCCCAAAGTGCTGGGATTACAGGCATGAGCCACCGCGCCTGGCCAAGAAATCATATCTTATTAGCTTTGCTGGAGCTGGGAATTAGTTCCAGGCTTTCTCAACCTTGGTGCTATTGGCATTTTGGTTCAGATACTCCCGTGTTGTAGGGGACTGTCCTACGCATCGTAGAATATTTAGTAGAATCCCTGGTCTGTAGCTATCAGATACCAATCAGTAGCATCCAGTGTGACAACCAAAAAGTTCATTGCTAAATGTCCCCAGGGGTAGGGATGGGGGCAACATTGTCCCAATTAAGAATCACTGAGTCATTAAAACCTAAAAAAGTCTAATAAAAAAAAAATCAGCCAATCTTAACAGCTGTGCAAATGTTGATAAATATGACTGTTTTCATTGCCTTATGTTGTTGTGAAAAATTATTCCTAAACCTGGTATGAAAGCATATTGTGCCATTACGTATATGTTCATATTTTTAAACTCCTAATGAAACACCATAGTAACTTTTAAACATTTTAAGTAGAAAGGATTATGAAAGAAAAACAAATATGTGTGTAGGTAAATGAACCTCAGGGATGATAGCAGGAAAAGGAAAGTCACTAGCATTTATTCGGTGCCCACTACATTTTATATTTTGTAAACCTGATTTTTTTTTTCAAAAAAGTGTTTTTTATATGCTCATCGCAAAAAAGAAAAAAACAGATACACTAAAAGAAGAAAATGAAAAAAAGTCATAATCAGTTAACGTTTTGGTGCATATGTTTCATGACTTTCTGTGCATTCATTCACTAGCTTAACCTATCGGAGAGGACAGGAACCCAACATGTCTAGGGAAGTTTTGTTTGTTTTTAACGGGAGAGATTCAAGCATGTTGTAAAGCCAGTTGAAGCTGGGCGCGGTGGCTCACGCCTGTAATCCCAACACCTTGGGAGGCCGAGGGGGGCGATCACCTGAGGTCAGGAGTTCAAGACCAGCCTGGCCAACATGACGAAACCCCGTCATTACTAAAAATACAAAAATAGCTAGGCGCAGTGGTGCGTGTCTGTAATCCCAGCTACTTGGGAGGCTAAGGCAGGAGAATTGCTTGAACTCGGGAGGCGGAGGTTGCGGTGAACGGAGATCGCGCCACTGCACTCCAGCCTGGGAGACAGAGCGAGACTCCGCCTAAAAAAAATGATAATATAATAAAAAAATAAAAAAAAAAGCCAGTTGAAGAACTTAGGTTAGAAAAAGGAGAATGGGATGATCCACAGAGTGGGGTTTCTGAGAAAGTAAAGGTTATAGATTTTAAGCACAGAGGAGGAATTATCTTTAAATTAGAAGAAAAAGCTTGATGAGAGGTTGGAAAGAACACACGCAAGTGAAAATATGTATCTTACTGTATCTACATGTATGTGTATTGTTGTATCTACCTGCAGATATGTATGTCTTATTGTATCTACATGTAGGTATGTATGTATACTTTTAATGTACACATATGCATCTGTGTCTACATATATACATATCTTAGTCTATCTACATGTATGTATCTTACTGTGTCTACACTAAGATGTTTCTTACTGTGTGAGCTACGTTGGAACCTGCTTTTTCATTTATTCTATTGCAACCATTTCCTCCATGCCGGGATTATTCCTCCACATCATTTTTACAGTGTCCTAATACATGCCAGTAGCTGTTTTTGAAGCCATCTAGTAGCGCTGGACATTTTGGCTGTTTGCAATTTTTCACCATCATCAATACCACAGCTTAGTATCTCGAAGGTGAAATATTTGCAGATACCCAGAATTATTTCCTGAGCAGAAAATCCGTGCAGGCGGAACTGCTGAGTCAAAGGTCGGTGGATAAAAATCGCTTTTAAGCCTCACAACCCGCCTCAGGTATGCATTCTTTACCTGAGGAGGAACAGAGAAGCAGAGAGGTTAAATAACTGGCCCAAGGTCAAAAATAATTAGAAGTGGCTGAATTCAAAAGCCGCGCGGGCTCATCAGGCTGCAGTTGGGGTAAAATTTGCGTTTTAGGCAATTTTTTTTTTTTTTTTTTTTGGCGTGTGTCAGTGGGGGAGGGGCCGGGCGGCGGGTAGGAAACTTGTGTCGCAGCAAAGAAGGAGGAGGAGGGGAGGGACTCCCCTCCTCGGTCAGACCGGAGCCGGCCGCACCGAAAAAGGTTGGACTCGGGACTCCGCAGGCCCCCCCAGCCACTCCGCGGGGCGCCTCGGAGGCTGTGACCTCCAGGGAGGTCCGGCTGGGTGCAGCGTGACACGCCGGGGCGGTTGCCAAGGACCTGCCCAATCTGCGGGTCCAGTTGCTAGGGCCTCCATCTTGGGGGCCAGTGGCCGTGGCGCCCCCGGAAGGGGTTGCCGAGTGGGGCATTCACTTCCGGTCTGGGGCCTGCGGCGGCGGCGGTGTCGGCGGCGGCGGCGGCGGCGGCGGCGGCGGCGGCAGCGGGTCGGTGTAGAAAATGGCGCTGGTGCAGCGGCTCGGGCCTCTCCCCGCGGCGCTGCGGAGGGCTTGAGGCTCGCGAGCCTCCTTCGCCGCGCCCCACTTGCTCGTGCACTTTACACACATGAGGTGAGCGGAACAAGGGCCTCCCTCCGGGCGGGAGGAGCCGCGGGCGCTGCCGCAGGGCCCGCAACCCGCGGCGGCGGCAGCAGAGGCGGCGGCGCCGGGCGTCCCCGAGACTTCGGGCCTCGGCGGGAGGGCGCAGGCTGCGTTGCTGCGGAGGCCGAGCGGGCGGCCCGGGGGAGCCTCGCTGCGCCGCGCCGCGGGGGCCAGGCCGGGGTTGCGCCTCGCCCGCGCCGCGGGACCGCAGTCCGGGCTGCAGCCCCGCAGCTTTGTGAGTCCCCCTCCCCCCGTCCTCTCCCCTCCCCCATCCGGCCCCGGCGCGAGCCTCTGCCGCAGCAGCTCCGTTTTCACGCGCATCTCGTTTTTGTGTGTGTGTTTTTGTTTTGTTTTTGTTTTTGTTTTTTTGTTTCAGAGAATTGGAAGCTAAAGCTACCAAAGACGTAGAAAGAAATCTTAGCAGGTAAGATGGGCGAGCTTTCCGTCTCCCGCCCCACGATAATCGTATATTTCTACTCCGATTCGCCTTTTCTGGGTTGAGAAGTTCCCCCGTGACATTTTCTTCCGCACCCGGAGAGCAGACATTCGGGAGAAGCGGCCTGGGGGAATACTGGAGGGATTGCGGGGAGATGCGTAATTACGCGTGTGTTTCTTTCTTTAAAAAAAAAAAAAAAAAGCGCAAAGCAATTCTTGTAAACTTAGTTAAAGCATTCTCACCCTTTTAGAATTTAATTAGGGGACTTGTGCATTAATTACTATTGTAAATGGTTGCAGGCATTGTGTGACTCATGATTGAGGCGGCCCTTATGGCGGGCTGTCAAACTGTTTTGGCTTCCCCGTTATTACTTTGTAGCTCAAATTGTTGCTTTTATAAAAAGATACTATGTGTTCGCATTCCCCCCCGCCCCCCCCCCCCCCCCATACATTGTAGTCAGGCGGATTCTGTTGCATTGGACACAGTTTTGTCCTTGAACTTTACCAAGCATAAGCTGCGTTTTGTTTTCCTTCGAAACTCCATTTCTGTCCATGTTCGGTGTGTGCTCTTTTTATCAGCTGGTAAAATAATTAAAAATCTTTTCTCCAGAAGAGGTTATCGTTCCTGTTGGGCCCTGCTGCTTTTGCATCACCGTGAAGGGAGAATTTTTTTTTTTTTTTAAACGATGTCTTTATGGAATGGAAATATTTAGCTTCATTGAGCTGTAATTGCTTAAGCATCAAGGAATTGTACTGTATTTAACTCCTTTTCACATTCATTTTCTTTCCTACCGTCTTTTCCTTTCTTATTCCCCTTTTTCTTTTGCATCATATTGGGACACTCAGGGAAACTTAGCCAATTAACCAAATCCGTGAATAGCTTTCTTTTTTTCTTTTTTTTCACTTGTTGAAAATAAAATGAAATTTCTCCTATCTCAGGTTTTAATGTAGTTTGCTCTTGATGATTGCGGGTTTTAGGTTTACATTGGGGTTTTTAACACTCACATTTCAAATCGTCTGAATATTTTGCACCGCGTAGAATTGTTCCAAATTGCTGGCCTATTGAGTTTCATAAGATACTAATCTGTTCAGGTGATCGTTAAAGAATGTGTTCAGATGGTGAAGGATAGGCATCATTGGTTTACCCAGTAAGGGATTCTCTGTTACTCAAAATAATTATGGGATCATTTAAAGGAAATTAAGTCTGACATCACTGACTATTTGTGGTATATTTACATAAATTTTGTCAAAATCTAGTAAGGAAATGTTAAGATATGAAACCATTAAAGAAAACAGGTTGAGCCATTAAGGTGTAATATCAGCAGAACAGAGCTTAGAGGTCTGTTTCTCCTTCCATTTTTGTTTTATCAGGTAACTATATCAGTATAATTCCTATGAAGGTGCTCTAGTACTTAATTAAAAATTGTCTGTGCCACAGGTATAATTTTAATATTAGGTAGAACTCGAGTCTGGGTTGGCTATTTATCAGAGTTTGAATTCCAGCTCTGCTACTTGCAATATGACCTTGACTCTTGGCAAGTCACTTAGCCTCTCTGTCCAATCTATAAAACGAGCGGCGTGGGCCAGCCAGTTGCTGAGGTCTGTTAGGCCCTTTGGGTTACATAAAAGGAGTAAAGTGCTGTCCGTGTTCACAGAGGGCATGTACAGTCTAGTAGAAAGACTATCATAAATGCATAAATAACAGTAGTACTAGGTAGATGACGTAGGAATCAAAAGATACCATCCCATTCATGTGCTTGAGAATATTCAGTCGGTCAGAAGGCATGAAAGGAAAAACAAATATCAAAGAGATTGTAAGGCAGTGTGTACTAAGGATCCAATGAGAGGGGAGCATTTCTTGCAGGTTAAAAGTGTTCTGAGGAAGGAGAGAGGTGATTAGGTGGGCAGATGCTTCCTTCATCTCCATCTCTAGCTGTGTTTCCTTTTTCACAAAAAAGAATGTATCTGTCTTTACCCATAGTGCTCTCTCCAGGAAATCAAGGCATTGTATTCATTGAGTAACCATTTTTTGAGCATTTTCGATATTTCAACTGTGGGACTGGGCACTAAGCCAGGGAAGAATGTAAGTAGTTAAATTTATTGATTGCTTACTATGTGCCTGGCACACTTTTCCTAAGATTTTACATGGACTCATCTGATCCTTGAAAAACCCTGTGAGGTAGGTAGTATTGTTATCTCCGTTTTACAGATGGAGAATTTGATGTATAAAGAGGTTAAGTAACTTGGAGGAGACCATATCACTGGTAATTGGAGTAACTTTTTAGGCTTCGAACTTGCAAAATTTGAAAATTTCTTTTGGTAGGCGGGACCCACAGATGCATGCAATACTTCTAGATCAGTTTTTTCATCTGGGCACTTGACATTTTGGACCAGATAATTTATTATTTTGAGGGTTGTTCTGTGCATCACAGGATGTTCAGCATCCGCAGTAGCACTCCCCGTCCAGTTGTGACAATCACCAATGCTTCCAGATATTGCTAGATGTCCCTGGGAGTGGCGCAGAATCGACCCTGGCTGAGAACCACTGCTCTAGATCTTCATTAGGAATTGTAACGTGAAAGCCTCCAAACTTTTAGATGTTGAGTTAATTTAAACATCTTTTGGTCGAGTGCTGTGGCTCACACCTATAATCCCAGCACTTTGGGAGGCCAAGGCAGGTGGATTGCTTGAGGTCAGGAGTTCGAGACCAGCCTGGCCAACATAGTGAAACCTCATTTTTACTAAAAATACAAAAATTAGTTGGGCGTGGTGGCATGCGCCTGTATTCCCAGCTACCCGGGAGGCTGAGTCAGGAGAATTACTTGAACCCTGGGAGCGGAGAGCCGAGATTGTGCCACTGCACTCCAGCCTACTTGACAGAGTGAAACTCTGTCTGAAAAAAGAAAAAAAAATCTTTTAATAACATGGAAGCCTAGACCCTATTATGTAGATCCTCAATTTGGAAGCCCTGGTTTCTGAATGTCAAAGATGTGTTGCCATTCTCCTTTTCCTCTGCTAAGCTGCAAATCCTCAAGACAGTGTGCCTGGTAGCCAGTGCCAGTTAAACAACATTGGCACAAATAATAAATTTAGTTTACTATCATAGGTAAACTGTCTTTTAAAATTCACAGTTGGCCATTAAAATTGTCACATTATGTTAGTATCATGGGAGCCATAATATCTACATGAGGGCGATTACCATTAGAACTGAACTTTGAAGAATGGAATCAGTTTTGAAAGGCAGATAAAAGGGCATTGTAAGAACAACAACAGAAGTAAGGACACAAAAATCCAGAAAGTACAGGAGATTTTGATATTGCAGTGGGTAGTTCAGGTTATATAAGGTATTTGTAGCAAACTGGTTAAGGCCAGATATAGAGGTTCTTGAATGTCAGGTTGAGGAACTTGTGCATAAATTTTTAGGTATGGGAGCTATTGCATGCTTTTTGTTGCGTACTGATGTGATAGAATAATCTTCTGGTCTGGGATTACTAACCAGGTGTATTTATGGGAGAAAACTAGCGATCTAGGCAAGAAGCGATGGAGGCCTGAATTGAAGTGGTGGCAAAAAGAGGTGAGTGAGGCTGGACCCAGTGGCTAACGCCTGTAATCCCAGCACTTTGGGAGGCCAAGGCAGGAGGATTGAGCCCAGGAGTTTGAGACCAGCCTGTGCAACATGATAAGACTCTGCCTCTACAAAAGAATTTTAAAAAATTAGCTGGGTGTGGTGGTGTGCACCTGTAGTCCCAGCTACTTGGGAGGCTGAGGTGGGAGGTTTGCTTGAGCCCAGCAGTTTGAGGCTTCAGTGAGCTGAGTTTGTGCCACTGCATTCCAGCCTGGGAAACAGAGTGCAACCCTGTCTCAAAGCAAAAAGAGAGAGAAAGGAAAAAAAAGATGAGTGTATAAGATACTGAGGAAGTTAAGAATCTGGGATTTGACAGCTGATTAGGTGTCAGAGGAGTCAAAAATACATAGGAATCTTCATCATGGGTGAATGAGAGTTTGACCCAACCTCTGAACAGAACAAGTCAGAGCAGAAATAGGAGTTTGGGGAGAGAAGATGCTAAGTTACATTTTGCAGTTGTAAAAAAAAAATCTACCAGTACTGGTCTAGACCAGTAGAACTCAGCTGGTCTAGTCTGAAAAAATATTTTGGAGGCCAGAATCATAGAATCATTGAATATTTAGAGCTGGACTATGACTTTAGATAGAGATCAGCCAGCATTCTGACTTCTTCATTTCTCAAGTGAGAAAGCTGTGGTTGAAACAGATTCAGTAACTTACGCAAGTTTATATTCTCTGTCAAGTGACCCAGCTGGGATTTAAACAGGCCTTTTGACTCTAATTCTAGTATTCCTCCCATGTGCAGTATTTTATTTTATATTGCACAATAGATAAAATATAATTTTGGTTTCTCCTTTTTTATTCTAAAAGAGTAAAAGCAGTTATCTCAATATGTTATGTTCATTCTAGTGATGACTTTACTATCATGTACTAAATGTGTTTTGTTTAAAGTAGAAGTTAACTTCACGTTATACTGATTTGTCCCCCCATAAACCAACTGTATGTCATCATATAACAAAAGTTGTTAAAAGTGCTATATACCATATAATGTTGCATCTAAACTGGGACACTTATCTGAGATGCTTTTGCGTGGGACAAATGCTATATTAGAAATGACTAGGACTGGCCAGGTGCAGTGGCTCACACGGGTAATCCCAGCACTTTGGGAGACTGAGGCACGTGGATCATTTGAGGTCAGGAATTCAAGACCAGCTTGGCCAACATGGTGAGACCCCGTCTCTACTAAAAGTACAAAAATTAGCTGGGTGTGATGGCATGTGCCTGTAATCCCAGCTACTTGGGAGGCTGAGGCAGGAGAATCTGAACCTGGGAGGTGGAGGTTGCAGTGAGCCGAGATTGTGCCACTGCGCTCCAGCCTGGGCAACAGAGTGAAACTCTGTTTCGAAAGAAAGAAAAGAAATGACTAGGACAGCAGGAGTAAAACCCCAAGGCATTAGGTCTCCGTAGCTAAGGTGGATCCCACTCATGCAATTCATCAACCTTTGTCTGAAAAAAAAGAAAGAAAATCTGATTTTGTTAAGCTTTTCTTTTGCTTTGCTGTGATACGGTTTGCAGGCCAACACATGCATATTGCTATAGGTTGGTGCGAAAGTTAATTGTGGTTTTTGCTCATTTTTAATGTACCAACCCAATATGCTTTTTTTCCAGCTTAATTTGGCAATTAGGTGGTAAATCACTTGATAGGATAAATTAATCACAATCTGTAAACTTAATTTAAAAATGTGTAACAACCCTCTGTGGAAAATTTGAATATAAACATCAAAAGAATACCATTCTGTAAGCTCTTTTGATTTTTGGCATCTGAAATGTCTGAAAGTATAAATTGCAAAACATATTTACAATTTTAATGACAACTGCAAAAGTATTGCCCATGATTGGAAAGACTAAAATGGTATGCGTTATATGTATTCTGTTCAGGCTGATGCATGATAAATCTCTCACTGAAAAAACAGAAATCCCTATCTCATTTTAAAATTTTAAAAAATTGGCCGGGCACAGTGGCTCATGCCTGTAATCCCAGCACTTTGGGAGGCCGAGGTGGGCAGATCACTGGAGGTCAGGAGTTCAACACCAGCCTGACCAACATGGTGAAACCCCATCTTTACTAAAAATACCAAAATTAGCCTGGTGTGGTGGCACATGCCTGTAATCCCAGCTACTTGTGAGGGTGAGGGAGGAGAATCGCTTGAACCTGGGAGGCGAGGGTTGCAGTGAGCCGAAATTGCGCCATTGCACTCCAGCCTAGCCTGGGCACAAAAGCAAAACTCTGTCTCAAATAAATAATCAATCATTCTAACCTTAAGCAAAATTGGAAAAATGTTGCAACTAATACCTGTATCTCTTTACCTAGTTTTAGTGATTATTAATATTTTGCCACATTTGTTCTATCGTGACATTGCACACCAAAGTATGGCAGTAGGTATCTCACAGAATAAGGGCATTCTACCTGACAGCAATCAAATGATCACCCACAGGAAGTTTAACTTTACAATTCTGTCTGGTCCCTATTCAGATTTTCCCAATTTTCTCAAAATTTTTTTTAAAGTTGTATTTGTTCTTTCACTCAATTGCTGTATCCTGGGTTGCATTTAGTTGTGTCTGAAGTTTCTCTTACATTAGGAGCATTTTCCTGCCCTTTTCTGCTTCTCTCTTGACAATGACATTTTGAAATAGTCCAGTCTAGTTGTTTTTGCAGACTGAAATTTGCATTTTTTGGGTCTTGTCTGTATGATTAGGTTCAGGTTGACCCTTTTTGGCAGGAGTATCCCATAGGTGATGATGTGTTTGTCTTCAGTATTCCCTCCCCACAGCATTTTGAAGTAAATTAACCGAAAGGTTATCCAATATTCTTACTTCTACACTGACTTGGTGTTTCTTTCATTTTAGGAAATGCCAAACAATTGGTTTAAACCGAGATGTAATTTTAAATATTTGAGGTTACAGTAATTACAGGTCTTTGTATTTAAATCGATCAGCCATAATGATTACTGCTTTTATGAAGATTTATGCCAAAGGTAGCTCCCTTACTGTGGGACATAAAAGTTGCTTGTTTTCAGCTTTGACCAGTGATGAACTGATAACCCTGGTAGGAAAATGAAACATTGGGGCTGGGCTTGTAATACGCTTTCTTAAAAGAATGCCCCATTGAAATTAGAGTGGCACGGTGCCACCAGACCAAGGGTTCTCATCCCGATGCCACAGAGGGACCACAGGTGTTATGAAGTGGTTTGCAAAATTGAATGTATGCCAAAATAAAATAATAAAAATAAAAATAAAACCCCACAACAAAAGCAGATATGGTCTTTAGTGCTCATTAGATCTCAAAGGGTCATTACTCCTCAAAGATTAAGAAACTGCTTCTTTATGAGGAGGTTGTCAGAGGAGCTGAATAGTATCAATAAGAGGAAGATGTTTGAGATTCAAAAGGAAGTAATATTCGACTAAGGCATAGCTTCTTTCCATCTTAAAAAAAAGCCACCCATGAAAATAAATATAGTTTAAATTTCCTATTTAAGATGTCTTATTTTAAAAATGATTTGCATACTCTGTGTGTTTGAGTTGGCTATGAAGGAGAAATCCTAGCATTTCCACTCTTGTAACTAGGGAAAAGCATTTTGAATTTTTAGCAGTAGTATATTATGTGATGATGACTCAGCTGACTTCCCGTTTCAAATGGAATGTTCAAAACAGATTGAAACCTGGTTGAAGAATTTTATACTTTGAACCTTACAAGATATTTTCTGCAAACAGTGACTGATTGGATTTTGTATAATAACAAACAAGATTAAGCCAACTCAGTTGTTTTGCTGTTCTTATTAGTGGTTTTCAGTCAGGGAGCACTTATTGAGCAGTTTGCTGCAATAATATTGAATATTTTTAGAGTTATGACGTCTGTGTTTTGTTGACTTTGGTCCCTTCTTTCTCCCATTCTTTTGAAGTTTCCCTAAAACATGTGTGCACAGACGGGAGAGAATGGTAGTTAAGTGTGTGCTGATTTTAAATGTCCTTTTAAATATCATTTATTCCTTGATAATTGACTGTATAACTGATGTAAGAGAAATATGTTTTATATGTTATTCCACTTGTGAATCTCTTTGCAATGTGAGGCATATAGTGAAAATCTTACAAAGATAGGGTCATAAAATGTGCATTCTCTACACTGCTGCAGGTTAATCGTCCTCGAGCCACGTTTCTGAGGCCTGTCAGTCACTATTTCTTAGAAACCTTTGTTGGCTCCTTCCCAGTGACTCTGGAATTAAAGCCCAGACTCTTGTTTTTTGCTCAGCTTATCAATTTAGCACTGTCCCTTCCACCTTTTGCCCTGTCCCTAACTCTTCCTTCTCTGAATGTACCTTTCAGTTTCTCTCAACTTTTAAATAACAGCTTTATTCAGATAAAATTCCCATATGATAAAATTCACCCTTTTAAAGTCCACAAAGTGTATGATTTAATGGTTTTTAGTATATTCACAGAGTTGTGCAATCAGCACCACTGTCTAATTCTAGAATTTTCACCCCTTCACCCAAAAACCCCATAATAGCAGCCACTCCCCATTTGTCCCTTCCACCCAGCCTCTGGCAACCACTAATCTACTTTCTATTATAACTCTATGGACTTACCTATTTTCGTTTAAGTGGAATCATACTATATGATACTTTTGTACGTGACTTGTCTTATTTAGTGTAGTGTTTTCAAGGTTCGTCCATCATGTCGCATATATCCTTTATTCCTTTTTATGGGCAAATAAATTTCATTGTATGGCTATTGCCCATTTTGTTTGTCCGTTCATCAGTTAATGGGCATTTGGGCTGTTCTAACTTTGGGGCTATTATGAATAATATTGCTATGAACATTCATGTACAAATGTTTGTGTGGACATATATTTTCAATTCTATTGGTTATATACCTAGGGGTGGAATTGCTGGGTTATATGGTAACTTTGTTTAACTTTTGTTTGTGTTGTTTTGTTTTGTTTTTGAGACGGACTCCCTCTGTTGCCCAGGCTGACGTTCAGTGGTGCAATCTCAGCTCACTGCAACCTCCCACCTTCCAGGCTCAAGCCATCCTCTCACCACTGCCTCCCAGGTAGCTGGGACTGCAGGTGCATGCCACCACGCCTGGCTAATTTTTTCTATATTTTGTAGAGATGGGGTTTCACTGTGTTGCTCAGGCTCTGTTTAACTTTTTGAGGAACTGCCCGACTGTTTGCAAAGCAGCTGCACAGTTCTACATTCTCATCAGCAATGTATGGAGGCACTAGGTTCTCCACATCCTTTCCATTGCCAGCATTTGTTAGGGTTCTTGTTTCTGATTTTAGCCATCCTAATAGATGTAAAGTGGTATCTCATTATGGTTTTGATTTACATTTTCCTAATGGCTAATGATGATTAGCATCTTTTCATGTCCTTATTGGCCATTCGTATATCTGATCTGAGAAGTGGCCATTCAGATTCTTCTCCCATCTTTAAATTAGGTGATATTTTTTGTCATTGAAAAAGGTCTTTATATAGCTTAGATACAAGTCCCTTATTAGATATATGATTTACAGGTATTTTTTCCTATTTTGTGGCTTTTCCTTTCACTTTTTTTTTTTTTTTTTTGAGACAGAGTCTTGCTCTGTCGCCCAGGCTGGAGTGCAGTGGCATGATCTCAGCTCACTGCAAACTCCACCTGCCAGGTTCAAGCGTTTCTCCTCCCTCAGCCTCCTGAGTAGCTGGGATTACAGGCACCCACTACTATGCCCAACTAATTTTTGTATTTTTAATAGAGACAGAATTTCACCATGTTGGCCAGGCCAGCCTTGAACTCCTGACCTCAAATGATCCACCCGCCTCTGCCTCCCAAAGTGCTAGGATTACAGGCATGAGCCACCGCATGCAGCCTCTTTTCACTTTCTTGATGAAGTCCCTTGAGCACAAAAATTTAAAATTTTGTAAATCTAGTTTACCAGTATTTTTTTCTGTTACTTGTGTTGTTGGCAACAAATCCAAGGTCACAAAGATTTACTTGTATTCTAATAATTTTATAGTTTTAGTTCTTAATGTTTAGTTCTGTAATTCATTTTGAGTTAAGTTTTGCATATGGCATGAGGGCTCCAATGTCATTCTTGTTATGTAACTATCCAGTAATTCCAGCTTCATTTGTTGAAAAGACTTTCATCTTGGCACCCTGTTGAAGGTCACTTGATCATAAAATGAAGAATTATTTCTGGACTCTCAATTCTATTCTGTTGATACTATGTGTTCATCATTATGCCACTTCCACACTGTCTTGATTACTTCAGCTTTGTTGTAATAAGTTTGGAATCAGTATGAGCCTTCCTTCAAGATTGCATTGGCTGGATAACCAGAGACTAATTATTAAAAAAAAATTTTTTTAAAGATTGCATTGACTATTCTGGTTGCATTTCTATGTGAATTTTTGGATCAGCTTGTCAATTTCAGCAAAAAGGCAGCTGAGATTTTGATAGGAACAGTGTTGAATATGTAGGCCAGTGTGGACAGTATTGCATTTTATAATATTAAGTCTTCCAGTTCACGAACATGGAATCTTTTTCTATTTATTTAGGTCTTTAATTGTTTTCAAAGATGTTGTGTAGTTTTCAGTGTGTAATCATGCTTCTTTTGTGGAATTTATTCCTAAAACTTTTTGATGCTATTGTAGGTGGAATTGTTTTCTTGATTTACTTTTTGGGTTGTCCACTGCTACTGTATAGAAATACAGTAGATTTTTTTTAAAGTTTTTTAAAAATTGTGAAACACGTAAAATTTACCATCTTATCCATTTTAAATGATGTAGTTTGGTGGCATTGTCCATTCACATTGTTGTGCAGCCATCACCACCATCCACCTCTGCAACTCTTCATCTTGTAAAATGGAAACTCTGTACCCGTTAAATCATAACTCCCTATTGCCTTCAGCTCTTGGCAGCCACAATTCCACCTTCTGTCTGTATGCATTTGATTATTCTAGATACCTCATTAGTGGAGTCATAGAGTGTTTGTCCTTTTGTGACTGGCTTATTTCACTTAGCATAGTGTCCTCAAGATTTGTCCATATTGTAGCGTGTGTCAGCCAATTGATTTTTGTATGTTGATACTGTGTTCTGCGGCTGTGCTGAACATGTTCATTAGTTCCAGTAGTCTTTATGTATCTGGATTCATTAGGACTTTCTGTGTACAAGAGCCTGTCATCTGTGAATAGAGACAGTTTTACATCTTCTTTTCCAATTTTCGTGCATGCTTACTCACACACGCACTCTCTTTTTTCTGACTGGAACCTCGAGCTCAGTGTCGAATAGGAAGTGGCAAGATCAGACATCCTTGTCTTGTTCCTAATCTTGAGGAAAAGTATGCAGTCTTTATCATTATGTATGTTGTGAGCTGTGGGCCTTTATCAGGTTAAGGAAGTTTTCTTTTATTCCTGTTTTGAGTGTTTTTGTCTTGTAAAAGGATACTGGATTTTGTCAGATGCTTTTTCTGTGTCTCTTGAAATCATCATGTAGCTTTGTCCTTCATTCTATTAACATGGTGTATTTCGTTGATTTTCATGTTAAACCACCCTTGCATATCTGGGATAAATCCACTTTGTGTAGTCCTGTTTGTTGCTAGATTTGGTTTGTTAGTCTTTTGTTGAGGAGTTTTATGTTTGTATTCATAAGGGTTATTGGCCTATAGATTTATCTTTTGATACCTTGGTTCTCTTTTGGTACCTGGTACCTGATTTGCTCTGGTTTGCAATCTGGGACCTTTAGCTGTTGGTTTTGCGTCCACCTAATTCTGCATTGTACAATAATAATTGTTTTTATGTATTCAGTTTTATTTTCTACTGTATGCACTTCCTCCTTTGGTTGCAACCTTCTTTGCATCCTAACCTTAGCTTAGTGCAGTGCTTTGTGCCTAGTCTCTCATGGCTAGCAATTAGTGTACACTTTTTACATTTTATTTATTTATTTTTTGGGGGACATGGTCTTGCTCTGTTGCCTAGGCTGGAATACAGTGGCGTGATCGTGGCTCACTGTAGCATTGAATTCTTGGGCTCAGGTGATCCTCGTGCTTCAGCCTCCTGAGGAGCTGGGACTACAGGCATGTGCCACTGTACCTGGCTAATTTTTTAATTTTTGTAGAGACAGGGTCTTGCTGTGTTGCCCAGGTTTGTCTCAAACTCCTGGCCTCAAGTGATCCTACCACCTTGGCCTTCCAAAGCACTGGGATTACAGGTATGAGCCACCACACCTAGTCCCACTGTACACTTTTTACATGCATCTGTTAAGTACTTCATCTGCATTACCCAATTAAATCTTCACAACCACCCATTGAGGGAGGTACAGTTTGAGACGTCTCATAAATTAGATGATGAAGGCTTCAGAGAAATAAAATAAATTGCTTAAGGTTACACACGTAGATGGTGGAATTGAGGTTTAAGACCACTTCTATTTGACATTTGGACCCAGGGGTCTTCACTGCATGCTATGCTGCCTAGGAAATGCTTGTTTGAATAGATTGGAATTGAACTGGTCCTTAAAGGAAAAGTAACATATGGATAAGAGTAAGAATTAAAAGAGTGCATTTTTGGCAGTGGTGTTGGTGTTACAGTGTTAGTAAAGGCAAGGAAGCAGGAATTGGAATCTAATTAGAGTGCCCAGTGACAGGGAGTATTGTACAAGTAGGACTGTTTTTTGTCTCCAGAGCAGTAATTAGTCCTATTTGGAAGAGTGAGATTAACATCTAAAATAATTAGAAAATGTCTGGGCGCAGTGGCTCACGCCTGTAATCCCAGCACTTTAGGAGGCCGAGACAGGTGAATCACCTGACGTCAGGAGTTTGAGACCAGCCTGTCCAACATGGTGAAATCTTGTCTCTACTAAAAATTTCAAAAATTACCTGGGTGTGGTGGCAGGTACCTGTAGTCCCAGCTGCTCAGGAGTATTGTACAAGTAGGCAGGAGAATCACTTGAACCAGGGAGGCGGAGGTGGCAGTGAGCCGAGATCGAGCCATTGCACTCCAGCCTGGGTGACAGAGCGAGATGCTGTCTCAAATAAAATAAAATAATTAGAAAATGAGTATTGTTTAATTAGAGGTCAAGGATGAGGTTTGTTTGGATTGGAAAGAATCATGAAGGGACTAGTAATTAAGCCTTAAAAGAAGAGTAGGATTTGGGTGGGTAGATGTAGCAAACTGAGTTTTGGGTCAGCCTTACCACAGCCTTGTACCATCTGACAAGTCATTAGGACTTTCTGATCCTCAATCTCTTTAACTGTCAAAGGGGAATAATACCAGTGCTATGTTTCAGGGTTGTGAGTTCAAAATGGATAATATCTCAGAGTACTTTGTAAATTGTAGGTGTTTCTGTCCTTATGGTGGAGTATCTATTGTTTTCTAAGTTTCTAAACTCACTAACTTTCCTCAATCTGAGCTTTTAATTAATTTTTTATTATTATTTTTGAGAAAGGGCTTTACTCTGTCACCCAGGCTGGAGTGCAGTGTGGAATGATCTTAGCTCACTGTGCGACCTCTGCTTCCCTGGCTCAAGTGATCTTCCCGCCTCATCCTCTCGAGTAGTTGGGACTACAGGCATGCACCACCACACCCAGTTAATTTTTATATATTTGTAGAGACAGGGTTTTGCCATGTTGCCCAGGCTGGTCTCGAACTCCTGGGCCCAAGCAATCTGCCTTGGCCTCCCAAAGTGCTAGAATTGCAGGCATGAGCCACCTGCAGAGCTTTTTATTTTGAGTTAATTTCCGATGTAGAGAAATGCAAGAATAGAACAAAGAACTTCTGAATATCCTTAACCCTTAATCCTCAAACATTAACATTTAATCACATTTACTTTATTCCCTCTTTTTATACATACTGTTTTTTACCATTTAAGAGTAACTTACAGACATGATACCCCTTTACTCCTAAACACTTAGTCAAAGATCTTTTCTTGGTAACTACAGTACCATTATGAAAATGGGCACAGTAACATTGGCACAGTCTTAATAGCAGATCTACAGATCTTACTCAGATTTTGCCAGTTGTCTCAATAATTCCCTTTAGAGCCAAACGAAATCTATTTTTTCTTGGTCAGGTCTTCAATCGAAGATCACAAGTAGCATTTAGTTTTCATGTTTGTTTAGTTGCCTGCATTCTGGAAGTTTCTTAGTTTCTGCTCTTCAGGACCTTGATATTTTTAAAGAATACAGGCTAGTTACTTTGTAGAATGTCCCTCAGTCTGTATTTGTCCGTTATTTCCTTATGACCTGATCAGGTTATGCAGTTTTGGCAGGAATAGTACAGAATTGATGTGGTGTTCTCAGTACATCATGTCAGGAGATGCCTGATATCCTTTTATCCCATTATTGGTGATGGTTAACTTCAACTGCTTGGGTGAGGTGGTCTCTGTCGGGTTTCATCACTGCAAAGTTAGTATTTTTCCCTTTGTAATTAATAACACTATTGTTGGGAGATACTTTGAGAGTACGTAAATGTCTTGTTTTCTCATCAATGTGCTTGCCTTAACCAGTAGGGCCAAGTAGTGATTTTTAAAGTCAACCATTCTTCTTACATTAGTTGATATTTTACTGTAAGATTTGGTACTTCTCTCCATTCACTCACTCAATCATTCATTCATATCAGTATGGACCCATGGGTTCTTATTTTATTCAGTTGTTTGTAATTTTTTATTAGCATAATTTATCGCTCAAATTATGGTGCTAGTGGAAGCCCCTTTCAAGCTCAACTTCCCACTTTTTGAGATCCATACTGTCATCTGGATCCTTACTGCTACCTGTTTGTATGCTATTCTCCTTCCTTCCTAAGGGGAAGACATGCCAGCTAAAGCTAAGCTAAGAAATATACAGCATTGCTGCCACTCTGTCTGTTGTCCTCTTTTGTGCTCATACTCTGTCACAAATATATATTTTTTATTAATTTGTATATGTACACGTCTCCAGAATTTCTTTATGCACGTACAAGGACATGTAAATATATATATATTCATATCCCTCCCAACACAAAAAGATAGCACACTGAGCCTTAGATTTTGTTTTGTTTTTCCAGTTAACTTTAAGCCTTCCTGATCCTTTCACATCAGGGTGTAGAGGAGACCTTTGTTTTGCAGCTGCATAATATTCCATTTTATGGATATATCCATTTTATTTAACTACTGTATTTGCAGATAATTGTCAGTTATTGTAAATAGCATGTTCCCCACCCTTCAATACGATGACCCCTTTCCACTTCCAGATAACTATTAGTTGTCCTTACTTTAAAAAATATGCAAAACTTCATTTTATCCTATTCTCTTCATTTTACAGCTGAAGCTTTTGAAAAACCGATCCAAATCTCCAACTTCCTTACCTATTTTTGCTCCAGTTCAGTTTTCATCTCTACTGTCTGGTGAATTCTATAGTTTTGAAGGTTGCTAGTGACTTCCTGTTGTGTAGTGCTAGACAGGTTTTGGTGATTAATTTAGGTAGGAGGATAAAAATGAGAAAAGGAATGGGGGGTGGCAATCAAATGGGAAAAGAGGAAGACTGGAAGGAAATAGAAGAAGGTGGGATCTGCATGGGAGAAAGTAGGAGAACAGAATGTTTTTTGGCAGAAGATGTAAAGTGTATTTTTATTTCTAGCTTGTAACATACAGCTGGCTTCTATGTGAGGATGAGCTAGCTTGTGGTGTGTTGCTGACTGATAGGCTAGTTGGGCCCTCAGGAAAGTTGCTTCCTGTTTTCTGTCTCCTAAAGCAAAATAGAGACACCTAACCCCTTGTCCCATTATTGTCATTTCTCCCTCTGTTGCCCAGGGTGGCATGCAGTGGCACAATCATAGCTCACTGCAGCCTCCAACTCCTAGGCTCAGTTGATTCTTGGGCCTCAGCCTCCCATGTAGCTGAGACTACAGGTATGTACCATCCCCCCCCCCCCCAGCTAATTGTTAGGATATTTTGAGTTATCTCAGATTTATTCTTTGCTTGCTTTTTTCACTGCCACCATGCTAGTTTGGGGAACTACACATTCACTTAGATTTTCGCAACAGTCTTCTCACCCTTGTTTTTGCCAATTTATTGCCTATTCTTACCCAACATTTTCCCTCCCTTTTTCAATTCCAGTCAGTGCTGGTCCCTGCAATTGTCATGCTGACAAGTCTCCATACTTCGCTTGTGCCCACACCTTTCTGTGCTCCTAAAAAATCTTGCCTCTTTTGCAAGAGCCAGATCAACTTCTTACTGCTCCATAAAGCCTTCCACAGTTGAAACAGCTCTTATACCTGTCTTACTTCACTAATCTTGTTTACAACCTGTACCAAATGTTTGCTTGTTTTCTTATTTCAGATGTGTTCAGTTGTTTCTACAAAATTGTAGGAATTTTTTTCCTATAAAAAAAATCATGTTTCCTAGCTGAGTGCAGTGGCTCACCCCTGTAATCCCAGTACTTTGGTAGGCCGAGGTAGGAGGATTGCTTGAGCCCAGGAGTTTGACACCAGCACCACCTCATTCCAGCTCGGGGCAACTGAGTGAGACTTCGTCTCTAAATAAATAAATAAGAAGTTTAGTGCTTGAGGTTTCTATTGGGAGCTGGTTCTGTACACTATGGAAATCTACTCCCCGCCCCACTTTAAAATTACTGTGTAGTATTCCTTGGTGTGATTACAGGATGATTTAACTTTTCCCTATTGATTGGTTTTTGGTTATGATTTTATGCTGCGGTGTCTATCTTTGTACGGTTCCTTTTTCAGAGGCTTAGATTTGAATTGATGGATCATAAGATAGTGACATTTAAAAATTCATTGTGAATAGATACTTCCAAATTGCTCACCAGAAGCTTAGTGCTAGTCCATACATACTTCTGATAGCAAGTACAAGAGTACCCTTCAGAAGGGATTAATTTTAATGATATTCAGGGCTGGGAATGTAGGAAAAATTGACCATCAAGTGTCAGGAGGCGCAAGAGTAGGAAGGGGCATTCTACCTCCAAGGTGTACCCTGCTCCCTTGATAGGCCCTTGAAATAGAGACAGACTCTCACTATGTTGCCCATTCTGTTCTCAAACTCCTGGCCTCCCAGACTCCTGGGATTACAGGCCTGAGCCACCATACCCGGCCAGAAACGCATTCTTGAACGGTACAAGTAAATCATTTGTAGTGGCTACTGGAAGATACGGGCAAAATTTGAAGCTTAGCTTGATTTGTTGTGTGGAATCCTAATCTTGATCTATTTGTTTTTTCAGATCGAGATATTGCATTTCCCCTAGTCAATGTATGAAACCAACTTTAAAATACAATTTACATACAGTAAAATTCAAACATTGAGTGTGTAGGTGAATGATTTGACAAATGTATACACCCTTGTAATTATCACTCCAATCAAGTTAGAAAACATTTCCATTTTCCTAGAAAGTTCCCTCAGTGGCATTGACTTTTACAGGCCACCTCAAAGCCTTTATACATGAGATGCAGGACATAAGTCAAGTTCTGATAAAAGGGGAGTCTGGTTTTTACAGACAACGAGGTAGATTCATAGAACTTACAGATGTGAGGTATCCTGCAAAGTAGCCTTCAGGGCATGGATGATTGCTAACTGGAGTGTTGTCTTGGTGGCAGGTGCATCAAACAGGGTGGCCCACTTAGGCCTTTCAAATCCATCAGTCCTTGCTCCTCTTGATAGTTGTGGTAAATGATATAGTCAGATGTCTTAAGTGAGTCTCTATGAACATTTAACTCCTGGAAGCTGACGTGTTTGGGCACAGGTGTTGTTGTTGTTTTTCCAGTTGGCTTTCTCTGAAGGAGGAGATATGGGAAAAAGCATGACTGGTTGGCTGTGATGATAGTGTTGAAGAACAAAACTTACTCCCCTCTGTGCTTACAGTATCGGCTGATACTGTGATATTTCCTTGAGAAGAAATGTCTGGTACATCTTTTAAGTACTAAAGGGGATATTTTTGGCCAGGAAAACACTTGCTAGTAACCTCATCAGAAAGTCTTGAAAATGAAGTTTGAGAAAGGAGAAAATACTCCAGATAGAGACCATTACATGGAGTAAAATTATAGTGACATAGAAGATCAGAAAAGGACATGTCTGTAATTCACAGCAGAACATGAAGAACAAATGCTGAAGGTGCTAGATGTTTCTGAATAAGTACCTGTGCTATTTTGACACAAGAAGGGTAAAGACAGCCTTTTGGGTGCCACTGAGGACTGGTGAGTTGGATTCATGGCTAGGCAATTGAGTGCTTACTAGATAAGCTTTGTGCTAAGTAAGCAGTCCTAATTCTTATAAAAATATTAAGACATTGACATGTATGGTCATTTGCCCCCAGTTTTTTCATGAAGAAACAGAGGCTGAAGAAGATTAAGTATTTTTAACTAGTAATCAGCTTTTAATCTTGACTTCTGCATGTCTCAGGGTAGGTAACATGACAGTGGTGTAACCTAGTTGCCGTTGTTTACTGATTTTACTCTGCTGCTCTCATATGCTGTGGCTTTCTTGCTCCTTGACTTCCCTGGGATTGTAGTGTGAGTGAGCTTGTTCAGTCTTACTACCTCCTGCACACAGAATTCAAAAGAGAGTGAGTCATGGCCACAGTTGGCAGGAATCTGTTATGTTACTCCATTAGCCACATGACACTTCTGCTTGTAACAAAATGACAGCGAAGTATAGCAACAGTTATCATACTCTTCTTCCAGTTATCCTTTTAGCTGATTTTAGTAGTCCTATACTTTACTAAGTTTTTATCAATTGTGCATAATGTCATTCATTTCATTTTTCGGTGTCTGCATCTCCTCTCAGTCTGTTCCATCAGCAAAGCCAACTTAAATTTTGTTTAATCTCATTGCAGCGCACCTATAGCAACAACCCCTTCCAGTTTCTTAGGCACTTGTCTTTCTCCTTTTATCTTCTTCAACATCCCTACTGCCATATGCATTCCAGCCTTGATAAATAATGTGCAGCTTCCAAAATGTCTAGTTCATATCTCCAAATCTCTCTTTTTCTGCCTGATATTCCTTTTTTTTGAAACAGAGTCTTGCTCTGTCGCCCAGGCTGGAATGCAGTGGTGCCATCTCAGCTCACTGCAAGCTCCACCTCCCAGTTTCACGCCATTCTCCTGCCTCAGCCTCCCGAGTAGCTGGGACTACAGGTGCCCGCCACCACGCCCCTGCCTGATATTCTTAGTGTCCCCTCTGGAAAGCTTCCTCAGGGCAGAGTTAGGTATTTTCATTTTGTGTGATGCTTTTCTTTGGGTAACTGGTTATTTTGGTTGTTGGTATTATGAATGAAGGTTTAGGGTCTAGACTTTAGGGTGATGACTACAGGTAGCCGGAGTGAGTTTCTTCCGCCTTTGCAAAGGTTTTTTTTGCCCAGTAGACTCCTTCCCTGAATGGGAAGGCTGATCTGTGTGAAGGGTGTTGATTGGCAAGCTTTACTTTACAGTGTGATGGAGGGAGTGGCAGCAGCCTCCAGTAAGATGGGCTTTGTTCTGGGACAACCAAACCCATTCAAGCACCTATCAGACTCCTGTGGAAGGTTTTGTTTCTTTAGAGAGTATTTCTTTGGCTTGAGGCTGCATTTAGAAGCAGCTACTATCTGTGGCTGTGTAGGCATCTGGATGGGAAGTGGGTGGGGTTGAGTAGCTATGGCTTTTCTATTCCTTAGGCAGTCTTTTTGCTTCATGCTCTCTTGCTCTGGTCTTCTGGAACCCTCTCTAGAGCTCCACCAGAAAGGATGGTGCCTAAAACATCTATTTCAGACTGCTCTTATGTTTATTCTTGGGTGGGGTGGCTTTTGCTTTTGCTTATTCATTTGCTTTGAATAGAATAAAAAAGTAATAACCCTTTTTCCTGAAAGGTAATAACCTGTTTCCTGAAACACATTTGCGCAGTCTGTCACTTTGAAATCCTGAACCAGAGGTTCTGTTGACAACTTTAACCATTTGAGATTTTTAAAATTTAAACAAACTAATATGAAGAATACATTATTAGACCAGGCGTGGTGGCTCACACCTGTAATCCCAACACTTTGGGAGGTCAAGGTGGGCAGATCACTTGAGGTCAGGAGTTTGAGACCAGCCTGGCCAACTTGGTGAAACCCCGTCTGTACTAAAAATACAAAAATTAGCCAGGCATGGTGGCAGGTACTTGTAAACCCGGCTACTCGGGAGGCTGAGGCAGGAGAATCACTTGAACTCGGGAGGTGGAGGCTGCAGTGAGCAGAGATCATGCCACTGCATTCCAGCCTGGGTGACAGAGCAAGACTCTGTCTCAGAACAAACAAGAGTACGTTATTGTTTCCCAAGAATTGATAGAATACCTTGGAATGTTGATAGAATATGAAATTGTTGTAATGCTGAAATACAAATCACCTATTTATTAATAAGTTATATTCTAAAAATATTTACAAAGCTTTTTAGAGCAAGGAAAACTAAAGGTAGCTTCCAGAAACCTAGGTGAGAGAGGATTGTGGGGAGGTCTCAGGCATTGCCATTAGCTACTAATTGATACTTGGGGCCAGTAGCAAGGTAACTCCAGCTTAAATGATGAAGTTTACATTCTAGGATTGGAGGAAATTGCTTGTTTCCCAATGTAAAATTTGCTAATTTTAGGTTGTCTTCCTTGATATGATATTGAGATAAAAGCTGTGCTACTTGTGGCTTATTAAAGTGAATTGTACCATATAGTGGCTATATAGTTAGGGTTAGGTTGCAGGTTGTGTTTTATTTCAATGAATGATAAAATAATAATTTGCCATGTCTTCTAATAAGAGTGAAAAAGTGAAAATGAATCTGTATGCAACATTATTTTTATTTCTTAATACATTTTGGGAAACTTAATTGCAACTGTGTGGTTCAGGGATTTAGTGCAAGAAGAAGAACAGTTGATGGAAGAAAAGAAAAAGAAAAAAGACGACAAGAAAAAGAAGGAAGCTGCTCAAAAGAAGGTAGTATGTGTGTAAACTATTTATATTAAGCAGTTTAAACATAGAATTAAAAAAAAATTACTCTTACAGATTTTGAAGGCATTTATTTGATTTAATGTTTTAGCTTTAATGGAGATTCATTTTAATATTTAATGTCTTTGAATATGCATATAAAGTAACTTGCTGAGTTTGTACAATTTAATGCATATTTAATCTTGTCAATAGTTTTTCAAAGGTAAGTACATTTTATGGATCTTTATCTTTCAAATAGCTGTTCCTAGGTGTTTCATAATATATCATTTTATAAGTGGGAAGAGCATGGAATTTGCAGCCAAGTTGAGAGTATTTGAAATCTCACTCTCCCACATAGCACATAGAATGGTGTGACTTTAGATTTTATTTAGCCTCTCTGGGCCTTAGTTTCCTTGTGTTTTGTTAAATGAGGGTTGAATTGAGATGATGTTATTATATGTAATACAGAAATAGAGTATTAAAGGAAAATGTAATAGACATAATAGGAAGTAAAGTGTCAGTTTCTTTTTCCCTCTTTATTTAGTACCTGGGCTGATTTTTAAAGTGTGCAGTGTACATTAGCCTTAAAATAAACCTCGGACATTGTTTACTGCAAGGGAATTCTAAACTAGCTAATTTAGTATAGGAAACTATAATTCAATGCAAAGTAAGTTAAAAAAATCTGTAATTATTAAAAATTTTCCATTTAATTGTTACATACCAAACAATTGTATTAGTATTGTTAATACTAAAAACTGATAATAGTTAGCTAAATGGGCACTCATCTCCTACTATGTCAAGGTTTCAAGACATTAAAATGCTCTAAAAACCTAGTGAAATTACTGTTTCAATTATCTGTTGTAATGAAAAATTATTTTAATTTCTAATATATGCCTTTTTTGAGCCAGGCATTGTGCTAGGAACTGGATGTAGACTATAGCAAGATACTTATGTCCACATTATTTAATAGGGGAAAACACAGGCTGTAAAAATGGCAGGTGAGGCATTTATGGGGAACTGTTGCAGTACAGAGAGAGAGGTGCATAACTCAGGCTGAAATGGGGCAGAGGGACAGAGAAATTTCGTTAGAGTAGAAATTAGGTGAATAAGGAGCAGAATAGAAAAGGATTCCAAACAGTGAAAACTCAGAAATACTTGGTAGCCTGTATGCATTAAAGGATGGGTTTTGCTTGGGGGAAAGGGAGGGAACCAAGGGTAGAACTCTGAAGAGTTGAACTAGGAAAGGCTAGGAGGTTTTCTCAAGGCTTTGGGGAAAATGCTGAAAATGTTTTAGTAGAGTGACATAAAAGTTTGTATTTTAGTATGTTTACCTTGGAAAATTGTGGAATTGGTTTAGAGGGGGTAGATACCAGAGTGTGAAATACTGGTGAAGGGACTATTAAAGTAATCCACAGAATTTGTTTAAAGGATATAGAGGGAGAGTCAGCTTAGATTGACTCGCAGGTTCCAGATGAGTGACTACATTTGAGAGGAGTTAATCAGGCTAGGGGATACAAAGAAAGGAGAAATGATAAATAATTCAGTTCTGCATGTCCTGAGCCTAGGGGTGTCATCAGCAAGTATTAGGGGAGGAGAATTAAGTATGAGATGAGAGGAGATGATGTGGCCCTAGCCACCTGCCTTTTGCTTGCTCTTAGGGGTGCCTGGGAAGGGATGCATAGGTATATGCCATGGTTAGGGTTTTGGTAGGCTTCTCGTGGTTTGGTATTGATGGATGTCTTGGGCCTCTGTCAGAGGCTGTTTATGTAGGACAGTCTTTGCAGTCTGGTCGGTCATTGCTCGAGATTTCTTATGAGAAAGTTGTGTCCTCTGTAAGTCTGAGGTTGGGGTAAAGGCTTATCAGACTCTTGTTCCATGGTGTGAAAGGCCATTTGCCCAATGAAAAGAGCTTCTAAGAAACTTAAGAGGTTTATTGAAAAGGATGGTTGGATATACTTTATGTAGATTCAGTAGTTTGGCAAGCATCTGAGTGTTGAATTAGGCTCTGTTGGTCCCTGTGTCTAAGGAGTTCAAGAATTAGCTGATAAGTCAGAATGTATGTGAAATGGCTAGAGAAGAGGCCTAAGACAATATATAAGCGTATTTGTTTGGAATTTATTCTATTTACTGAGAAATTTTAAGAAAGGGAGGGGTCACTTGAATGATGTCTTTAAATATTGTATTTTTGTGAATATAATTTTAAAGTTGTAACATATACAGCAATGGCTCTAATTGTTACAAGTAAATCTTTACATTCTTGTATAATCAAATCTCTAAATCACCAAGTCAGTATAAGTGGTCACTTATGTGTAGGCAGCTTATAAATAAGCCTGTAACACATGAGTGGTGATTATTGTGCCATTTGACTTCTCACCAAATCTGAAGTGACAGCTTTTCATACTGTTGCCCACTTCATTCCTGTCTCACCCCATGGTTCCAGTCTCTCACCTCAACCATGTCCTTACTAGAACCATCATCAGAAGCTTAGGGATATAAGAAGTTTTTCCTTCTTTTGCCAGATCTTCAGCACTGATAGGGTATTCCTGTGTGTCTCATAGACACATCATAGTATCTACCCACTGAACACAATATAAAGGAAGGTTTAATACCTCTAATAAATGTTAAGTTTAGCAGGCTAGGCCGCTACTGTAAATTAGACTGTTCTCCAAATTTCAAATAATCAGCTTACAACTGAATTTGAATACAACCTGTCGGTGAAGTGAGGACAGCTGGTATTTCCATAGAGTGTTACCAGATAGCTCTTGAAAAGAAAAGAAAACCCCCAAATGACACACTTATAGCCCATATGAGGAATTGTGAGTCACAGGGTTTTTAAGACAGGTTTCCTGGAACTTGTCTTTTGTCGCTAGTAGGAGCCAGCAGGTGTATCCAGGCAGATATCTACATGAGCCAGGTGGGCAGGCCCATTTATATAAATGTTGGCACATAAACTCACTACAGTAAAAAGTATTTTATGTAATTTATATTTTCTTATTTTTGAAAAAGGCCAGATATTATCTGTTCTAATACATTTGTTCATTTTTAATATAAGGAACCTAAGCATCAGAATGAATTAAGTGATTGACCTTGGTTTTATCATGGTGACAGAACCAGGAATATAATTGAAATCTCTCTCCTCCAGCTGGTGCTTTGCCAAAACCCTGTGCCATGACTTTATCCTTTTCATGCAGAACATTATCTTATACTTTGCTTTATTTTTTGTCATTTAAAGGTGAACTTTAAAATTGGAAAATAATATATTGTGATAATTTTTATAATAGGGTATAAAATAGGTTCTTATACCATGAATACAGAAAATGCATACATTTAATGGTCCCCAGTAGCCACTGTGGTTTTTTTAAAATTAACACCATGGGTTATTTTCTATTTTAAATAAAAAGCCAGATAACACAACTTCCTATAAAAACAATTAGACACCGACGAGCCTTACAACGATATTTTCGTTTTGATAGTTTTTATTATCCTATCATTTAAATATTAATTTACATATTTAGATTCTTTAAAGAGCTTTTTCACATTAAAAACAGGGTGATTTGTATTGTATTTCAGCCCCAATACATTTCTAATTAATATGGAGACCGATGACTTTTGTTCTTAAAATTTTTTGAAAAGCCTTTTCATCAAAGATTATGTATAACACTCTTTTCTGTTTCATATCTAAGAACCAGGGCTATTATTTTCTGATTCTTGGGCTTAGAAAATAATTTGACAGAGCATGGAAATGTAGTTTCCATACTTTAAAAAAAGGAGGGGGGTGACAGTAGTAGCAGTAGGTTACCATGGATTTCTCTCCAGGTTCTGTTTTTAGAAGAAATTTCTCCAAGGGATCTTAAGGGAAATGTAATGAGGAGGAAAATAGAGGTTGAGAAATAGGTTAATTATAGAGGGGTAGTTTAGTGTAACCTTTACTTGAAGCATGCAATTGTAGTTCCTAGAAAGCATATAATCGTTGAAGGCCGAGGGGAAGCAACAATACAAGTTGGGATCTCTTGGTGTTGAGAATGTTTCAACATCCATGGGCTTTTTGCTGTTACTGTGTTAAGAGCTGAAGGGATTTTTATAGGTGTTATTGACTTAAATATACCAAATTCAAGTTTAAATGAGACCTAGGTTTTAGAGAGCTTCCAGCTTTATTGCCATTTTTGAGGATCATATTCAGCAGCTTAATTAGTAAATTTTCTCAGTAACCTTGGTGGTAACATGACCAGGCCTGAGTTGTGCTCTCATAGAGGGCAGTTAGGTGTTCTCTTACAGTCTTGCCCCTCATTGCACCTTACACTTCTCTTTTCCTCTTTTATAAAACTCATTTTATTCAACAGATCTGGATTCTAGACTGAGTGCTGATTGCTAAGTCATAGGAAAGCTCTCTGAGCACTAGGTGTCTCATTTAAAATCAGTGAATTGAGCTAGATTAATTCTTTATTCTTAATGTTAGGTTGTAATACTTGGCACTGTTAAGACATTGTAGATGATCAGAAAAAAAGAAAAGCAAGACCTGGAAGGGATGAATGTAGAGTCAGCTTATTTCCAACAGTGAGAGCCAATACTGAGCCAAAGCATGGGCAGATAGGCTGAAGATAGCAGCCGCCAGCGCCACAGCAGCAGCTGATGTCTGCTGAATGCTTTCTATATGTCAGGCTTTGTCCTAAGTGCTTTTATATGAGTTAAATCCCTTTAACCTTACAACTCTGAGGTGGGTGTTTTTGCCACAGTTCTATAGATGAGGAAACTAAGCTTTAGAGAAGTTAACACATTTGACCATGGTCACACAGTGTAAGTGGCAGAGCCAGGTAGGCAGTCAGGCTTTAGATCCTGAGGTCTTAACGAAGTGTGCTTCAGGACCATGTTGTTGGGACAAGCAGTGCAGAGCCTGACAGGCAAAGCAAGTGGAGTGCTGTGCTCTGCCACTGCACTGCTGTCTTCAGTAATGAAGGAGGCAGTTGTGATCATTGCTGGTGGAACCATAGCTCAGATTTTTTTTTTAAAGAATAATGTATTAAAAATGGAAATCATTTTGCTTCTAGATTGGCCAGAATCTTTTAATTATCTGTATGAGAGGATTTACAGTGATACTTCACATTTGAAGTAGTGTTGTATAGTTTTTCAAAAAAAATCTTTCACATTTTATTATTTGACCCTCATAATAACCCTGAAAGGTAAGCAGGACAGTTATTTTGTCCATTTGAGAGATTAGGAAACTGAGACCCAGAGGGTTTAAATGATCAGAGCATTTCAAAGTAAAAATAACCAGATTAATTTTAATATATTTTATATAACCTAATATAGCTAAAATGTTACTATTTTGACATGTCAGTATAAAGTATTTTTAATAAGGCATCTTGTGTTCTTTTAAAAATACCAAATATTAGAAATTTGGTGTGTATTTTGCTCATCTCAGTTCAGACTAGCCACATTTCAGTCAGTGGTCGGTAGCCACATGTGGCAAGTGGCTGTTGTTTTGGATAGTGCAGACAATTACTCTTAAAATGACTGATCCCACCTGGAAAATTCTTTTTAATAATTTGAATAATATACTAGGTCTCCAGACCAGCCCGCAAAAACCTGTTTTAAAAAAGTGGAACTCTTAGTTCCGTTTCTTCCCATTCCATGAGGAGCTCTTGGTTTCTATACTACTACTTTCATTCCTTGTATACATTAAATCCGATTCTTAGGGGCAGACACACCTTAGGTGTCTCCATGGGGCCATTCTCTGTTGATGACAGAATACTGAATGAGGTTGACCGTTGTTTTAAAGCATCTTTTTCCAAAGGAGTTGTATAGCATATATCCTTTATGTTGTAAGGCCTAAAAGAGCAACATGGTATACTTTGTTTTGTTTTGCTTTTTTGTAGAGATGGGGTTTCGCCATATTGGCCAGGCTGGTCTCAAACTCCTGGCCTCAAGCATCTGCCTGTCTTCTGCCTCCCAAAGTGCTGGGATAACAGGCGTGAGCTGCACCTGGCCTACTTTGGGTTTTTATGTGGTCATTGTTTCTATGTTCTGAAACTTAGTTTCCATTGGAAGTAAATTGTGAAAGAGACCAGGAGAGTGTTTTTTGTCTGTTTGTTTTGTTTTTTTTTAAGCCTTTCAACGTGTAAAAGAAATTTTCTGCTAATTCTTTGGCTTCAGAAGATTATGCATCTTATTGTTTGACATGACATTTCTGATACCTAAAAGTGTTCATATACTAACTTCTCTCTAATAAGACTTGTTTTTCTACTCTCAGATTTTAAAAATGATTTTCCCAGAAACAAATGAAGTGTTGTTAGCTAGTTGACTGGTTGTTTGGCATTGTCTTTCCATCAAAATTTTTTTTTTCATTTAAATTTTGATCCATAGAGTAAAAGATGAGCCTCCATTATTTTGTATTTCACTAGTGCTCTAAAACTTAGCAAAGCACTTACGTGGTGGAGCAAGACTCCCTGGCTTTCTGGGGAAAGATTAATGTTTGGTGTGGCTTCAATATTAGGGAGTTACTATAGCTTTTACCCATATATCTATAATAGTATAATTTAAAATGGTATTTTTGATAACAGTAATTTCATATAACTAAGCAAAATGAATTATGCCCCATGGCAGCTAAGAAAAGCTTTATTGCTATTTAGAAACAACAACTGGTTATTCAGTTACTAATTATTCAGTCTTTTCTCACCTCCTTTCCTGTTCTTGTATCTGTTATTTTCAGGATTCCCATAATATTGATCTTGATCAACAGATTGATGTTTTGCTTGGGTTTTTCTGTCTGTGGTTCTTTTTGAAGCCCTTGGGAGTTTGAGCTAGTCACCTCGAGTTAACCCTGCTGTCCTCAAGCCCCTCTCCTCAGTTGTGGTGTCAGAAAATAAAGGAAGAGCAGACATTGGAAGGCAGTGAAAGCAGAGTTCATGTCAGTTCAGCTTCTGATCACAGTAATTTTAACAGATTGTCAGATGTGTCAGAAGTGATAAATCAGTTTGAAATTTTTTTCCACTCAAAAATACTTAGATACTTAAAAGTTGACTAAGTTTAATTGCAATAGCAGCCTAACCTCCAGGAGTTAAATTTATTACTAATTTGGCTAAAGTGATTATATGTACAGCTTTTCTTACAGAAAACCTAATTCGTCTTTTTATCACTTGTAACAATTTTTGAAGCCATTTAAACATGCAAAATATATTAAATCCATTAAATGTAAAGGTGACAGTTTGTATAAAAATCATTTTTAAAGGACATGAGAAAAGTGCAGCTCCCATTTAAAAAATTATATACTGTCATACAGTGATGTCTTCTATGCTTAGTGTCACAAAAATTAGGTATTTTAAATTAATAAACATAGTATCAGGGATAATGGGGCACATCTGTGGGAAAAGCATGCTTTCCTTGCATATCTTTTCCTGTGCAGTTCATCTATTTGAGAAATTCCTTGTTTAATAAAGGTGTATATGTCTTATATTAATATATGAACATTTTATCATAACAGTCCATTTCTTTCAGTTTCATATTTACATTGTTTTTTGTTTGTTTGTTTTTATTTTAGGCCACTGAACAAAAAATCAAAGGTACGTTGTTTAAAGCTATTTTTTATCCCTTTTTTCATTAAAGCAAGGTTGTTTATGTGCATTTTTGTTCACCTCAAGGATGGGAGAGAGAAGAGCATGAAAGAAGCGGTTGGGATTAGCCTTCTTCAGTAACATACCCTGGGGTCGTCCTTTGGAATTTCATGGTTATTGTGGTGTATGTGACCACATTTAGAGTGCACTGCCTCAGACCTGCCTTAAAGCTGTGTCATAGGATAAGAGTAAGCACTGCTTCCTAATGTACTCCCTTGTTTTGACTCTTGGGGCACAGGCACCTTTCCTTCAGTCTTCCTTCTAAAAGTCTTCTTGTGTGGGGTAACCTCTAGGACCCCACTGTATCCCTTAAGAGTTCTGCCTCCTTTATTTCTTGTTCTCTGAAGAATGTCCCCCATTCCTTCTTATAGACAGATAGTGACATCCATCTCTGTATTATCACTTAGAATAGTAGATTGCAAACCTTACACATTGTGTCAGGTTTGAACAGCACCCATTAGACCCCAAGCAAAAGACATCGGAGTGATAAGGAAACAGGACACTAATTCCTCTCAGATCCTGAATCAGGAGTTCTTCACCCTCCCAGGAGCTACTTGGTAATAAAGGTGTAAAGCTCTCAGGTGCTGAACTTATTAAGCCTCAAGATTCTGAATTTTTATTTTAAGCTCTATCAAAAGTATAATCTTACCCCTCAAAAAAAAGATGAATAAAGGAATGAAATGGTTCAAAGAAGGAATGAAATGGTTCAAGCATGATTCAAGACACAGAGATAAGAAATAACATGATGTGGCTTGCAGTGGTGGAATTCCATAACATGATGTAGTATGCAGTGGTGGTATTCCTAGAGCGTTAAATATTCAGTGATAAGTGGGCAGGGTTGAGGCTGAAAAGATAGATAGGGGCCAGGTCAAAGTGGGTTAATTTATGTGCTGTTTGTACCAACAAGCTTGGACTTTGTATGTGACAGGCAGTTAGGAGGCATTCAAGACTTAAGCAGAGTGACATGGTGCTTTGTTTTACGTTGTTTTCCATTTTTTAAAGCTATCAACTACTGTACATGGAAAGTATTGGTTGGAAGACAGGTAGGGATTTGAAAGGTAGAGCTAAGAGAAGAAAGGCATTGTGAGCAGAGGAGGCAGGTAGACAGCATGGGGAATACGACGTGCATCTTTTGTCTCTAGAGTTGGGGGGAAGTGACTGAATATAGGCCTGGAGATAGAGGGAGCCACAGGGCTTCATGCTGGTTAAGCCAGCAAAGGTGTTTGGATTTGGAATGTCATGGTCATAAGCTGTGGAAATTTAACTTTGCCAGTAGTGCCTAAAGTCACCAATAGAAGCAAGATTAGAGAGGGTCATGAGGGTTTGAACTGAGGTCTTGGCAGTAGAGGTAGAAGGTGGGTGACAGATGTGTGAGGGATAATTGACAGGACTGGCAACTGATGAGATCAGAAGAGGAGTTGAAGGCGCATTTGTGGCTTTGAACTTGGAATGTCTAAGACAGTTACAAGGATGCGGAATGTAGGGAGGAACATTGCCAAATTAGTAGGAATGTTACCAAATTAATTTTCCTAAAACTCTATTTTCCCCACCCCTCTCCCCCACATAGCAATGGTAAGTTGTCCCTATTTGTTCTTGCTTCAAGACCAAACTCCTTTGCTTAGCTTTCAAGGCCCTCATTAATCTAACCTCCCTTGACCTAACCAGCCTGTTTCCCATCAGTCCTTATACTTTTTAGAGCATTCTTAGCTCTTTCATGTTCATTCTTGTTTCTTTTTTATTCAATTTATCAGCCAAAGATGTCTTTATCAGGCCTTTCAGCTTTCCTAAACCTCTCAGAGTTCATCCTTGAATGGGTCTCTCCAAGTACCATTGATCTCTCCCTTTCCAGTTTCTTAGGATGTTATAATCTCAAATTTGGGCACTTGGTTATATTCTTACATTTTTGACTGATCCTTGGATATTTGTTTCTTCAACATCTTTGAGTACCTAGTGTTTATATCATTTCTAAATGTAAATAATTTTCTTCTAGCCTTACATAAAATATGAACATATTTAGTCTTCTTGTTTTTAGATTTTTCCACGACTCTGTAGATGATAGGCTGAGTATATGAAGGTCACTTCAGAATACATTTTGTTGTTTTGCCAGTGATTTCACTCATGTCATCCTTCTTTTCACGCTGTCTCTCTTCATAATTGTTCCCATTTTTTCTGATTCATGAAAATGTATTGTTTTATTTCTGTGCTATGTATTTGTCTAGGTAGTATTTATAGTTTGGGGTTCACATAGTGGTTAGAGATTACAAACTGGAGACTTGAGGGGCAGATGTGGCCTACTTGGTGGTGGTGGTGTTTACTAAACTTTGTATTTTGGAATAATTTTAGATTTACAAAAAAGTTGGAAAGATAGTACAGAGACTTCTCATATACGCTTCATTCAGTTTCCCCGATTATTAGCATCTTACATTACCATGGTACATTTGTCAAAACTAAAAAACCAACCATGATACTAACCTCACCAGTTTTTCCATTAACGGCTTTCCATTCTAGGATCCGATGCGAAATGCTGCCTTGCATTTAGTTGTCAGGCCTCCCCAGTTTCTGGTTTCTGCAGTGTTTTTATTGTTATCCTGTACATTTTAAAATGACTGCCAACATTTAAAAATCAGAAGAGTCTGCCTATTCCAGAATTCCTGCTTCTCTTACAGTTCATAATGTCAGTATGATTTTTTTCTCTTTCTGTGTTGTAGAGTCTGTGTAAAGACCAAGTTTAGCCACATGTGGCTGTCAAGTACCAGAAATGGGACTGTGACTGAGGAACTAAATTTTTAATCTTACGGGACAACATAGCTCTAAAGTGTAATGGGCAACGTAATGACGTTCTTGAAAGTTTTATTCTTGTGACTTCAACTTTGAAAAACTGTAAAGAACACAAATATTTGAATATTTAAAAAATCTTTTAAAATATGTCTCTTACGAGTATGTCCTTGAAACAGCAGGAGAGTGAAGTGCTAAAAAACTTCAGGTGAGGTATAGGGATAGATGGATAAATTTTAAGATGCCCTGTGGTATATGTAATGTAAAGGCAAGGAAAGAGCTAATGTTCCTTCTTCAGAGTGTCCTTGGGAACTTGGTTGAGAATAAGAAAATTTTTTAAAAACAGTTTTACAACTCTGGCATTGACTTTTTTTTTTCTTTTTTTTTAAGGAGACAGGGTCTCGCTCTGGAGTGTAGTGCACAATCATAGCTCACTGCGGCCTTGAACTTTTGGGCTCAAGCAATCCTCCTGCCTCCTGAGTAGCTGGGACTGTAGGGGCAGGCTATTTTTTTTTCTTTTTCTTTTTTTAAACGTGATCATGCTACATTACCCAGGCTGGTCTCAAACTCCTAGACTCACACGATCTTCCTGCCTCAGGCTCCTGAGTAGTTGGGACTGTAGGCGTGAGCCACCGCAGCTGGCTGACATTGGGTTTTTTGGGAAGCATGTTGATTGTACATTCATTTCAAAAGAATAAGTAAGCACTGTTGATTTTTGACAGCTAATTTTCTCTCTCTCTCCTGACCTCTTTTTCCTCTGTCTCTTCCCCTTCTTGTCTCACTCCTTCATATCAGTGCCAGTGCCTTTTTTGAGTGATTTCATGAGCAAGGTATCTTCCAAAGAGTAATAAACCCCTGAGCTCCTAAGGGAGTTATGGGAAGCCCGGGGAGATCCTAGTGGGAAACAGCAATGGAGAAAAAAGGATTGAGATTTTATTTTTTGGGTGATAAAATAGCGAAGTTTAGTTTATTACTGCCGCTCTGTTTCTGGGTTAATTAAAAACTCATGAAATTAAGTCAACATTTATACATTTTTTCCTGCCACAATTGGCACAGTTATTTTTTATCAATTCTAGCCTTAATATTTGTTTTTCTGTCAAACACAATGTTACTACATCTGGGTGATAAAAATATTCACTATCTATTAAGTCAGCTGCATGTCAAATCATATTGTAGACATTATTATAGCTGACTTAGAGCACCTTCTATGTGCCAGGCACTGTGCTTTATTTCATTTAATCAAGGAAAATATTCTAAATATTTAACCACTAATAATGAATGGGTATCAGCAGTTCAGAACAGGGTCCTGAAAGCTTCTTAATGTGCTAAGAGTTACTTTAGTTACTGAATTTTGGAAATCTTTGGGATCCAGAGCAGGGGCTGGGTATTCTGGGACTCACGTAGTCTATATTTAAAAATTGATGTGAGAGTAGGCCTTCAGTGTATACTAGCACAAGGTAAGTTTACGTTTAATCCTCTCAGCAGCCCTTTGAAAGTAGATATTAGCACCACTTACAGGTGAAATTAGGCTAGGAAAAATTAACTAACTTGCCCAGGTTATGCAGCTAACGAATGCCTGAGCCAGAATTTGACTACGAACTTGACTGGGCTCTACCGCTTCTGTTTCTTTAAAAACAGCCCCTGCAGTTACATGGAAGACAAGATGTGAAGGACACACCATTGCTCATGCTGCAACAGTAGTCACTGAATAAACTAAAACAACTCATCTTTTAAAAGGAATCCAGAAAGATCTTGGAACAGATTTTACAGTATTTCTCTATTGATTAAGCGTGTAGATTTTTTTTTTTTAAATTGTAGCACCAGTATAATTTTGTGAATCAGAGAATTTGACAGCTTTGTGATGGGTGAGGCATTGGCTCTTAAATTGTTTATTACATCTTTGGTTGTTGATGAAAATGAACAAGAGTTTTGAGAGCCAAGCAAGCAGCTGATTCTAAAATCTCCTGCATGCTTTGATCTCTATGCAGTAAACACTGATCCTTCTGTGGAGCAAAACCAGAGTACTAAATTACGTTCAAAGTGTTTTTTTGCTACACCTGTAAGGGAAATGTAATGACAATTTTGCTAAAAAAGAACCCTTCATTTCATCATTCTTCAAAGGGTGGAGGACCCTTTCTGAAGGGCTTGAATAACAGTTAAATCCTTTTCCAGTATGCCTGTTGACCAGTACATTTGTTAAAATCATAGCACACAGTTTAGCCTCTAGAATGTGACTGAGATGGCTAAGTTTGTGTTGAAGGAAGAAGTTTTTAGTTTGTCCCCTTCTCATTAATAAACAGAGCACCTCTTTACTTTTTCTTTCAGTCATCACTGCCAGTATCATCCATGTTTCACTATCTCATGAGGTCATCTTGAGAAACGAAGGAAATGAAAAATACTTACGTAATAATCCATTATTCTAAACTCAGGTTTCATAAAGTGACATTATTTCCTTCATTCATCATTCATGAAATACTTACTGTTTGCCTACCCTGTTTTATGCAATGTTATGGTCACTGGTAATAAGCATGAACAAAACAACCCCCAGGTTCCTGTTCCCACTGCACTTCCATTCTCATCTTTATTTTGGTAAAGGTAAATATGTGATTAAAGGCCTTTGTCATTTACCTGTGATCTGAACTTATCACTCCATTTTCTCCATAAGATCTTGTTTATTATATATATTTAAGGTGTACAACATAATGTTTTGGTATGCATATGCACAGTGAAATGAATACCACAGTCAAGCAAATTAATATACTTATCACCTCACAGTTAACCCTGTTTTTTTGGTAGAAGCACCTAAAACCTACTCTCAGCGAATTTCCAGTATACAATACAATATTATTAACTATATATCAGATCCCTAGACTTACCCACATACGTGCAACTTTGTACCCTTTGACCTATATCTACCCTCCCTAACCACTATTCTGTTCTCTGTTTCTATGTATTTGACTGTTTTTTTTTTTTAAGATTCCACTTGTAAGTGAGATCTTGGCAGTATTTTTATTTCTGTGTCTGGCTTACATCACTCAATGTCTTCCAGGTTCATCCATGTTGTGGCAAATGGCAGGCTCTCCTGTTTAAAAGCTGAATAATATTCCTTTGTATATATTTGCCACAATTTCTTCTTTTCTTTTCTTTTTTTTTTTTTTGAGACAGAGTCTTGCTCTGTCGCCCAGGCTGGAGTGCAGTGGCATGATCTCAGCTCACTGCAACCTCCACTTGCCGGGTTCAAATGATTCTTGTGCCTTAGCCTCCTGGGTAGCTGGGATTACAGGCGCGTACCACCACACCTAATTTTTGTATTTTTAGTAGAGACGGGGTTTCACCATGTTGTCCAGGCTGGTCTCAAACTCCTGACCTCAAATGATCCGCCCACCTAGCCTCCCAAAGTGCTGGGATTACAGGCTTGAGCCACTGCACCCAGACCACAATTTATTCATCTTTATTTATCCATAGGTTGTTTGTTTCCATATCTTGGCCATTGTGAATAATGCTGGCATGAACATGGGAGTACAGGTATTTCTACATGGTTCTGATTTCATTTCCTTTGGGTATACAGTAATCCCCCTGTATCCACAGAGAATCTGTTCCAAGCCTCCAGTGGATGCTTGAAATCTCGGATAGTACTGAACCTCATATATGCTATTAATAATATGCTTTTTCCTATACAACATACCTATGATAAAGTTCAATTTATAAATTAGGTATAGTAAGAGATTAACAACTAATAATAAAATAAAATAGAACAATTATAATCTGTTGTAATAGTTATCAGAATTTGGTCCCTCTCTCAAAATACTTTATTGTACTGTTCTCGCCTATTTTTGTACTGTGGCTGACCATGGGGTAAGACTTTGGAAAGTGAAATCTTGGAAAAGGAGGGGGACTACTGTATACCTAGAAGAGGAATTGCTGAGTCATATGGTAGTTCCAGTTTTAATTTTTGTGGGAATCCATAAGACCTTAAGTTTCCCAATTACAAGCCTTCTATTATAACGAATTTCAGGAACTTTGATGGCTTCATAGGGGTTACTGTACTGCCTGGATTCTCAGAGGAGAAAACTGAGGCTCAAGTAGTTTGTAACTTCAAGCATGTAACCTAATGATACACAGAGAAAATGATACTTGCAGGGCCATTAGGGTAAACAGAAAAGGCCACTCACAGCTGAAGATGACAATCCCAGAGAGTCAAGTCTAGTCACCCCATCTCCCCATAGCCTGTTTCCATCACACAGGTTGGGTAGTTCTGCTGTTACAGTTGGGGCTTAGTTCACTGTTTTTCTCCACAGTCTACATAGTAGAAATGATTTTTGTGTTGTAGGGTGGTATTAAGTAATAATACCAGGATTTTAAATGTGCTACGGTGGTTTTTTATGAGATATTTAGAAGGCATATGTGCACTAACCTCTTTAAAATAGAAGCATAGGTTCATACCGGTTAAGAATTTACTAATGGCAGGTATTTTTCTTCCTGTGGAAGATGTCTTTGAGCTATGTAACAAATAAGATTTGTAGCTCTGCACTAACAGAATGAAAAAAAAATGGCCTTCCACTTTCATGGGAAATAGTTAATAAAATGATTATTTTTAGGTAGATCATGTAACAAAGTCACTATTTTTTCTTTCCTCCTATTGTGAAAGGAAAATGATTTCCATAGATTTATACATGTAAGTCTAGATTTATGTACTCAGGGAGGCTATGAAGAATGCTAAGGAGACCCGTTTTGGCTTTAGGCAAGGATTATTTCTAACAAACGTAGATTTGTTGCTTTTAAATACTAATACATTTATTAAATTTGGTAGAAATTTATGTCTGATGAGACTGATCTACAGGACAAAGGAAACAGGAAGTAGATATGAAAAAAACATTAATGGCTATGAAATAATTTTTAAAGTGGTTAATCGGTACTTAGCCCTTTATTTTTAGAGAGTTTGTTTTTGCCCTTATAATTAAGATGAAAATAATGTATACTAGAAGGAACACTTGTTTGGGAGTCACATTGGGTTTTAAATTTCACCTCTGCCATTTACTAGACGTTCGAGCATGAATAGCTTTCTGAACTGCATTTGCCTCATCTGTAAAATGGGAATAATATTTCAAATTTATGGACTCACAAAGAGAATAAAGAGATAACAGATACATTGCCTGGCATCTAGCTGATACTTGGTAAATTTTAATATCCACCATTGTGGTTTTGCAATATCCTAGCAACCTTTCAGTCCCTTGAAATGACATGCTAGCAGTTTCTCCAGCTAATTCAGGGTTCCTCCATACCCAGAAGTGATTTGCTTTTGCTTCCCATTAAAGTAGAACCCAGCCCAGCAAAGGTGAATCACAGTGCAGTGCAAGGAATAGGTCTTAAAACATGAGGATGGGATCTATCAACTTCATAAATTTGGCAGGCCAAAATTGGTCTTTTTTCTTTGACTTGTATTTATTTGTTTGCCATGCATAATCACTTGTACTTTTTTCTTTTTATCTTTTTTTTTTTTTTTTTTTTGACGTGTAGTCTCACTCTGTCGCCCACGCTGGAGTGCAATGGCGCGATCTCAGCTCACTGCAACCTCCACCTCCCAGGTTCAAGCGATTCTCCTGCCTCAGCCTCCTGAGTAGCTGGGATTACAGGCGCCTGCCACCACACCCAGCTAATTTTTGTACTTTCAGTAGAGACAGGGTTTCACTGTGTTGACCAGGCTGGTGTCGAACTCCTGACCTCAAGTGATCCACCTGCCTCGGCCTCCCAAAGTGCTGGGATTACAGGCGTGAGCCACTGTGCTCGGCCACACTTTTTTCTTTTTATGAATTTCCCATCCTTACTATTTGCCCATTTAGTTCTTGGACCTAGAGTTTTATTTAGCAGTTTACTTGAGCTCTTTGTATAATAAACTCATTAACATTTCATCAGATGTATTTGATGCAAATATTTCCCACATTGTGGACCATATCGTATATATGAAGTCATTCTGAGGATGAGATACGAGGCAAGAATATCTAAATTTTGCCTAATCCCAGGTGCCCCATTGGGAATACATACGCTGAAGATGCAAATACATGTTCAGAAGGAGGAAAGCACAATTAAATCACATTTGTACTATTAGCTTGGACTTCAGTCCTAAACTCTAGTGTGTTGAATGCTTCTCTGTATTAGATTTAGTATCCTTAAACTAAAACATATCTTTCCTTAGATTAGGGAAAGTCGAGGTGAGGAGGGTTGGGAAGGAACAGAATGGATCCCTTTAATTTGTTCTAAAGGACAGGTATTTTCCAGTTTCCCTTTTAAATTGGAATATACACATTTGAAAAAATACACATCAGTATTTTATCTATTTTATCAAATTTATTTTTTATTCTTAAAGTTCTTGACTAATTGCTATGCTGAGAAAACATACCATTTTTCCAGATTTAGAAAATAGTTTGCCCATGTTTTGCAAAAGCTTTTAAAATCTCTAGCATTTTATAGTATTAATTGTTTAATTTAGCTGAAGTTTATTTTTATACTGTATATTTGGGACTTTTTTCCTAATTTAAAAAATCAACTAACCATTCTGTATTTCTTAACTAATTTATATCTTCAGTGATTTAATGACAGTTTCTTTATTATATAACTTTAGGGAATTAAAAACTCAGTGGGAACTAACTTCTACTTGAATGTTCAGGTATTATGTTTATGTTTTTTCTTATTTTTAAATTTTGAGTCACAAATGGAAGCTGAAGCTCTCTAGAGATTGCTACAGTGTCTTCCAGAACTGTTTTCCAGACTTACTCAGACATGAGAACCCCATGTGATACTTGTTTTTAAATATATGGATTCTGATTAGTAAGTGTAAGGCTGAAGAATCTTTTGCTTCTAAACAGTTCTAATAAGCAAATTTGAAGAGAGCCATTCTGTACTTTTATGTTATGGAAGAGAGATTAATAGGCAATCTGAATTTTTTTCTTTTAAAAAGTGTGCCTGGGCCGGGCGCGGTGGCTCATGCCTGTAATCCCAGCACTTTGGGAGGCTGAGGCGGGCGGACCACGAGGTCAGGAGATTGAGACCATCCTGGCTAACACGGTGAAACCCCGTCTCTACTAAAAACACAAAAAATTAGCCAGGCGTGGTGGCGGGCGCGCCTGTAGTCCCAGCTACTCGGGAGGCTGAGGCAGGAGAATGGCGTGAACCCGGGAGGTGGAGCTTGCAGTGAGCCAAGATCGTGCCACTGCACTCTAGCCTGGGGGACAGAGCGAGACTCTGTCTCAAAAAAAAAAAAAAAAAAAAATCTTAATTGCAATGAAAGATACTTAGGAAAATCCTTTGTTGTTGCTCTTACTTGAGAATAACATTTTCTAACTGAAGAGCTGTCATTGGTACACTCCATCTTGTCTTTTAGGAGCTTAACTTGATGGTTTTTTGTTTTCCTATATAACGACACATATAGAAATAGCAATTTTAGGTAAATTTAAAGTTTGCCAAGAGAAGTATTAAAATGCACTGTATATTTTATAGGTGTTTACTAAGTTATATTTTCTAGAGGTCAACTTAGCACTCCAGTCTCTTAAAGTGACATCATGTGTTAAAGCAGCGTTTTGTGTACTGTATTTCTGCCAGTGTTTTAGAAGATTTACAAAGTAGCCAATGTGAAAACTATTATACAAAGTTAAATAGTAGACTTTGACAGATAGGAATAATGTAAGGGCTTGAGGTATTAAGGCATGGAAATTGATGTTTTGGGGATTGGTAGATGATTGTTGGCTGGTCCACATTTAACTTCTTTCTGTTAAACTTGTAGATAGTCAAAGTGAAGTTCATTAAATATTTTCTGAAATCAGTTTATTAAGGTGACATAAAGTATTTTAAACATTTAAAGAAGTATTAATTAAAATGGTATTACAAATTTAGAACTTGGTATATTTAGAACTTTGGTTATATTGTCTGTTCTTGGGTTTTCATGTGAATATAAGACAATTGCTATTTTTTTTCAATTAAGAGGCTATTTTTTAAAACAGTTTTAGACTTACAGAATGATATGTTTTTATATAAGAAATATCAAGAAAGCTTGTAGAATAGCAAAGCTTAGCAAAAATTAATTTATTTGTCTTATTGGTGCATTTCATTGTTTCACAAAGTGGGGGGTCCTGATTTGGAACACAGACTAGGAAAAGGTAGGGTGAATTCTTTGAATAGATAATTTTTCCATTCTTAAAAGTTTAACTTGTTCATTTTTGGACCAGTTAAAATTTTTTTTCCCATTTCTTTAAAACTGTGAAATAGATGGGTGGGGTCACAGTATGACCAAAAAAAAAAAAAAAAACCCTAAAAATAGAGCTCTTTACTAGATATCTATGTTTTATCCTAGCTAAATGTAACTCTTTTCCATTAAAATCTTTTTTGATATGGACCAGGGCAGTCTCAGGGCTAATTAGAGAACCTTCTCACATTAATGATCTCAGTGGCTGGTCTTGTCCTGCTCTCTCCATGCCAGCTGTAGGTGTTTTTTAGAGCAGAGATTTATTTAAAACTATTGATGCATTCAGCAGCATACTAACCAGTGACCATCATTCTTACTTACTCTTCCTCTTGATCATTCTTTCTCTTTTCTTTACTGGTTCTTCATTATTGCACCTCTTGAATATTGATATTCCACAGTGTTTAATCCTCAGTATTGTTCTATCTTGTTTTGCATAGATCCAGTCACTTTGTGTATGCTTGGCAATTCCTGGATTATTCATTCAACCAGCATTTGCTTTGCTTGGTTCAGGAAATGCTAGTGATAAAGTGAAGGAGAAATAAGAAACCAGCACTTACAGAGCACATTGACTGCATTGTAAGGGATTTGTAAGAGTTTCATCAGAATAGAGGAGGGCAATCTGGTTGTCATAACATAACATGCTTCTAAGATACGCCCAGTCTGGGGGTGGGGGAAATTAGATGTTTTCTAGGCAAAAACGACAAAAATATTTGCAAGAAAGGTATCAAGGCATTTTGAGCAAAAGAAATAGCGTGAAAGAACGTGATACGTTTTGGGGAATTGCAAGTATTTGGTGTGGTAGAAGAGAATGCAGTGAGTGTGGACATAGCAGGATATGAATCTGGAAAAAGGTAGAGAGGGGCCATGCCAAGGAGTTTAGAAAGGAGTTCCAAAAGTGGTTTTATGATACAGATAACTTGGGGCAGGTAGATGATAGATTTCGGGATGCGTGAAAGTGGGTGGGGCAGGGATCAAGACTTGAGCCAGGCCTGCAGTCCCATTAGGAGGTTTTTGTGAGAGTAAATTGTTGAGGGCCTAAATCAAAGAAGTGGCGTTGGAGACACAGGATGCATTTGAATTTGAGGTATTCTGTTGGGCCTGTTGACTGACTAGATACAGGGGAGTAGGGAGAAATTGAGGAAGAAATTCCTGCTTGAGTAACTACATAGATAGTTAAGCCATTACCTAAAATGAAGTTTCTCTCCCGTCACTCTGGCAGTTATGACTTATTCTTGCCTTTACTTCCCTCCTTCTATCTGCTGCTTAAACCCATTCTTAGGTTTTGTCATTTCTTCCTCTACAACTCTTTTCTCACCTGTATGTTGAATCTTAAATCCATATTTTTAATCCAAACTTTTTTGAACTCCAGAACCATATATTCAGTTGCATCCCGTGTGTGCATATTCTGTAGCAATGGTTCTCGAAGTTTACCTGAGGACAGGATCCCTAGGAGGCTCCTCAAAACTCTTTCATGAGATCCATGAGGTCAAATCAATTTTCATAATAACAGGAAGACTTTATTTGCCTGTTTCACTTTTATTATGAGTATATAGTGGAGTTTTCCAGAGGTGACACAGTGTGGGATACCACAACAAATTGGATGCAGGCGCATATGTGATAATCCACCTACCTTCTGTTAAGCCAGATGTTAGAGAGACTTACAGAAATGTTAAACAGTGCCATGCTTCTCACTAATTTTGTTATGGAAAATAGAACAATTTTTTTTAAATGTATGTATGTTCGTATGTAATAAATTTATTTTTAACTCACTTAAAATATTTGTTTAAACTTTTATTATGGTAAATGTATATACAACACACATAAACGAAACCTTTTGGAGTTCTCAGTGTTTCAGAGTATAAAGGACCTTGAGACCAAAACATTCGAGATGTGAGTCAGCAGAGGCAGTGTGGTTAAGTGCCTTGCCCATGGTCATATAGCTAGTAAGTTGCAGAGCTGAGATTTGAATCCATCCAGTCTTTTGAACCTATACTTCTTGTCCTGGGACAGTTTAGGTAAGATTAATATTACATGTTTCTTGAGGATACACACCCATCCACACACGCCCCCTGTAAAGTTATCTGAGCCTGGTGCATGTTATGTTATGTTATGTTATGTTATGTTATGTTATGTTATGTTTTATGTTATGTTATGTTATGTTGTTATGTTATGTTATGTTATGTTATGTTATGTTATGTTATGTTATTCAGGAGTTGGGGCCTTACCATATTGCCCATGCCTGACTTGAACTTTTTGGCTCAAGCGATCCTCCTGCCTCAGGACTACAGACATCTGCTGCTGTGCCTGGCTTTTTTGTTTTTGTATTCCTGGTGTGTTTTGGAGGGATAAATCTTGGGAGACCCTTTCAGAGTTTCTGCTGTTATACTATAGGACCTTCTATTCCTCTGTGAGCCTATTTTGGTAAATTATATTTGATAAAGCAGAGTTTGGAAAACTACAGTCTGCAAGTGAAATCTGGCCCACTGCCTGTTTTTGCATATGCAGTGTTACGAAATATAGTCACATCCATTTGTTTGCATTTACCTGTTGTCTATGACTGCTCTGGTGCTACACTGGCAGAGTTGAGTAGTTGTCACAGATTCTGTGGTCTGCAAAGCCCAAAATATTTACTCTCTCATCTTTACAGAAAGAACTTGCCAACCCCTGTTGTATAACATAGTTCAATTTAGTTGGGTTTTGTTTTACTGGGATAGATTGTACATAGTATTTTCTTGTCTTTTGGTAATCTCCACGTTTGAATTTGTGTCTTTTTCATTCCCAGTGCTATTTATATCTCTTGTTTTTATTCCCATTGTTTGGGATGACCAAAATTTAGCCTGACTTATTGGTAACAGTGTTATGTTGGTGCTCCATCTTTTACTGTGCTCTCCAATAATTTAAATGCGATTAGATTTAGAGATACGTGTTTCTTTTTCTTTTTCTTTTTTCTTTTTTTGAAACAAGGTCTTGTTGTTGCAAGACTTCGGGAGGCAGACAGAGGTTGCAGTGAGCCAAGATCCAAGATCGCGCCATTGCACTCCAGCCTGGGAAACAAGTGCAAAACCCTGCCTAAAAAAAAAAACACTATTAAAGGCCATGTGCAGTGGCTCCCAGCACTTTGGGAGGCCAAGGCAGGAGGATCACCTGAGATCAGGAGTTCGAGACCAGCCTGGCCAATGGCAAAACCCCATCTCTACTAAAAATAGAAAAATTAGCCGGGGCTGGTGGCACACACCTGTAATCCCAGCTTCTCCTCAGGCTGAGGCATGAGAATCACTTGAACCAGGGAGGTGGAGGTTGCAGTAAGCCAAGATTGCACCACAGCACTCCAGCCTGAGCGAGACTCTTGTCTCCAAAAACAAGTATATACTAGTGAAAAAGAAAAAGTATGGTAGTATTCATCAGGGAAATTATCTGATCCTGATGGACACTTTCATAAATTTGTCTTATTTCTTCTATGTAAACTAGCTAATCTGTTTAGATTTCCTGCCTCTTCTATAGTCAGTGTTAAATTACTCCCTCCTCCAGCTTTTCAAACTATTTATAGATTTGAACATAAATATATTAATTGCCGAAGGTTATTTTTTTCCATTTTCATTTTTTTAATAAAGTTTTAACTATTCTTTTTCATAGAAGCATGCCTTGGATTATATAGATTTACTTTAAAAGTCATTGATCTCTCTTTTATATTTACTAATTCCGTCTTTCTATTTCCTTTACTTTAGTATGTGCGGGTGTTTTCCCCCTTCTTGAGTTGGATTATTATGTTCTTGTTGGAAATAAGGCTATGAATTTTTTTGTGTGCACTGGTTTAGCTGGATCTTAAAATGTATTGTATGCAGTGTTTCCAGTATTAATTTCTTGGTAACCCTGTAATTTAGTGTTTATTTCTTCTTCATCTTGAAATGTACTTTTTTCTTCTTTTTCTTTTCTGTTTTTAGCTGCAAAATTTGTGTTATGCAGTTGAAATTTATTTAAGGCAGATTTTTATTTGCTAGTTTTATCATTTTAGTGACATTGTATTGTAATCCAGAAATATCCACTGTATTATTTCTAGCCTTTGCAGTTTATTGATGTTTTCTTTGCTGCTGTATGGCATGCATGTGTGTGTGTTTGTGCACGCGTGTACATGCATGCATGCATGTTAACCTATGATTGTTTCATGGGCATTTGTCAAAAAGATGTTACCTGTTTTCAAGATACATGGTTTTGCTTTTTTCCGGTTTTCTCTGTCTCCATTTATTTTGCATGTTTTGGTATTATGAGGCTTGGCATATGAAAGTGCTTAATTGCTCATATCTTTTTAGTTGTTTTTTTTATTATGAATATGAAATTTGTCTTATCCTTTATAATGCTTTTCTCTTTGAATTTTGTCTGATATCAATATTGTTTTCATTTTAATTTTCTTAGCCTTTCTTGGTTGTATATCTTCCTCTCTACTTTTTTTTTTAACCTTGCTGCATTGTTTTGTTTTAGGAGTGCTTTTTGCGAAGTATATTGTTTTTCCTTTCTTAGTTTAAGAGGCTTTATCTTTTAACAAGTGAACTTAACCCATTCACATTTATTGTGACACAGATAATTGGGGGCTTCTATTTAGCATCCTAGTTTGCATTAACCAGAATTTTGAAATTTTTTAAAATTCCATTTTCCATGTCCGTTGAATAGATGAAGTTTTCTAATTTTCCTTTTTCCCCCCTTCCAGTGGTTTGGGTGATTATGAACATAGTTAACTTAAAATTTTTAACTACACATAAACCATGCCAGTATTAGTCAGTATTGATATTTGTTACCTAGCAACCCCCACCTACGTTCACTGTTTACTCCTTCTGCACTCATTACTTCTATGTCTTATTTTGTATCTAAGATTGTACTTCAGATTAGCTTCATGTAATAATCAGTAGTTACATTGTCTTGATGTCTTTACTGGTTTTAATGAAGCTTTCTGGCCCCGGAAATGAATACCTATCTCAGCTTTGTATTCCACATGGTACTTTACTGATCAGAAGTACAGCAGTTACTTGAGTTCATGCCTTCATATAGATCATTCACAGTTTTTGTATATAGGTTTTCTTCTGGTTCTTTGATAAATAAAAAGCATCTTCCTGCTCCTTTCTCACAGACTTTGTTTGGACCTAAAACTGTCACAATTTTTTTTTTAATGTTTAGATTTTTAAAGTAATGAAGTGGCAACAAACCTGTATTACAGCAGCAGGTAGCTGCCACCTTAAGTTGATGTTCAATTGCCAGATGCCACACTAAGTCCAGTACTAAGCATGTAAAAGCTGAGTAAGCATTTTTATGTTCCTCATAATGTTACATATACAGTTGTCCCTTGGTATCTGTGATGCATTGGTTCCGGGACCCCCAACAGATACCAGAATTCATGGATGTTCAAGTCCCTTATATAAAATGGTGTAGTATTTGCATATAACCTAGACACATTCTTCTATATGCTTTGAATCATCTCTAGATTACTTACAATACCAAATATAATGTAAATGCTGTGTAAATAATTGCATTGGTTTTTATTTATATTTTTATTTTTGGTTTGTTTGTTTGCTTAGTATTTTTGATCCATGGTTGGTTGAATCTGTGGGTGGGGCACACATGGATGTGGAGGGCTGCCTGTACTTTATCTTCCTTAGGTTTCAGAGGTACTTTAGAATATTCTAGTGCCATATGGTCTTCATGAAGTGTTTTTGATAGCCAGTGTCTGCTTATTACTGCATGAGGTACACGAAGGAATATACGTTATTGTTACATATTAGAAGCATTATATTGTCTGGGAGACAAAATTTTCACCCATAATTAGGCCTAGAAAGCACTTTGCCCCAATTATCAGTAAGAGACTCATCAGTGAGCATCAAGAATGGAAAGGATTATAAACAGTAGATGGAATATTTGTAATTATTCACTGTAATTCTTCCTGAACTACAATTTGTATTACTTTAGAAAAATGGAAGTCACATGGAAAAAAAAAAAGAGGCTAAGATCATATATTATATTAAAAAAGTATAAATGACATAGACTAAATTTACCAGATGTTCAGAGAAGAAAGAAAATGGGGAGATCAGTTTGTTAGGTGAAGGGAGGCTAGAGCTGAGAGTGTGGAAGAGGAAGTTGGTGGCTATTGTAAACTCAGGTGACCAAGGCTTTAATGACATTGTCATATATATTGTAGGCATTTGATAAAGATTTCTTTTGGACACAGTAATAACTTCACTTCTGTTTACTGAGTGGTTACAACACACTGGGCACTTGACCAAGACTGTTGCTACTTTATGGAGGAGAAAGACACAGAGGTAACTCAGATGGTGAATAGTGGGCTGTTTTAATTCCAGGGTGGGAGCTCTTAACCCTTGAATGGAGATTTTTCTCTGAGTGCCCTCACCAGTAACATGGGGGTGTTTCACTTCACTTATCTGACAGTGGTATCTGTGAGGATACATTACAGCATTTCATAGAAACATTCAACTGCTACCAAAGTATAAGGTGGTATTGTGTCAGTCATTAACGAATAGCCACTGTTTATATAGCCTTATGTTCTGTGTTTTATAAACATGAAGACATTTAACCTTAGGATAGCTCTGCAAGGTGTAGGTACTATCTCCATTTTACCGAGAAAACAGCAGGCTCAGTTAGGTTTATACAACTTGCCCAAAGACAGAAAGCTTGTAAAGGCAGGGCTGGGGTTGAAACCTGGCACCAAAAGCTCATACACCATGCATCTCTGTACTTCTCCAACTGGGTTTACTTACACTAGCTTAAGGCATTTCCATCCGTTTTATTTCTTTCTTTCCACTCTTTTATGAGTCAAAAATTTCCCTATTTGCAGTTTCCGATTTATTTTTCAGATTTAAGATAGAGCATCCAGATTATTTATCTCATTTTGATTCATCTCATAGATAACGTTATCTTTGTCTTTAGTTCCATGTTCTGAGTTTGTCTTATATGATTCAGATATTACATTTTTAGCAAATACAGACATTGTTAACTTAGCCTTTTTGTAAGAAAACCAGCAGGTTGTTTTCTAACCTTGTGTTGTTCTTGTGTTGTCTTCCAAAGATGAAAAATAGAGACCAAACACATTAACAATGAGGCAGAATAAGAACAGTTGCCAAGGAATAGAGGATTCCCTTAGGACTACTGAAAATTGGTTGGCCACATTTGTTCTTTGAGTCATTGCGAGTTCCCTGGTTTTGTAATGATCCGATGATGATGTCTTTGACCAGAGAGTAATGTGGTAAAAGAGATAGTGAACATGAGTTGTTGTCTTGGCCGAAGGTCCCTGGGCCCTTATTGGGTAGGTAGGTAGCAGAAGTGAAATATGACTCTTGGCAGTGACATCTCCTAACAAAATTTGAGCCTGTAAATGAGGATATCCCTGCTCACAGAAAGCTTCTGTTTTTTTAGGATTATTTTTCTTAGTGCCTTTGAATTTAGATGGCTTACTTTGGAGGTACACTTTACTGGCTAATCTTTTCCACCCCTTTTCTTTTGTTGGGATTAGTGCCAGAACAGATAAAGCCCAGTGTAAGCCAGCCTCAGCCTGCCAACTCTAATAACGGCACTTCCACAGCAACCAGCACTAATAATAATGCCAAGCGAGCTACAGCCAACAATCAGCAGCCACAGCAGCAGCAGCAACAGCAGCAGCCGCAGCAGCAGCAGCCACAGCAGCAGCCACAGCCGCAGCCGCAGCAGCAGCAGCCACAGCAGCAGCCACAGGCCTTGCCTCGGTATCCTCGTGAAGTACCTCCACGATTTCGCCACCAGGAACACAAACAGCTTCTAAAGAGGGGTCAGCATTTTCCTGTTATAGCAGCAAACCTTGGATCTGCTGTTAAGGTGTTAAACAGCCAGTCAGAAAGCAGTGCTTTAACAAATCAACAGCCACAAAATAACGGAGAGGTGCAGAACAGCAAAAACCAGTCAGGTGAGAGAAGGCATTTCTTACGAGACTCACACCTTATCATCATTAGCTGTATAGCAAGTTGATAAATTCGTAGCTTTTTGGTGATGTATTTGTATTCATCAGTATGTGGGCTTTAATGTAAGAGTTCTTTATAGGGAGTTATGAATGGGGAATCTTAGAATATTTCCTGTAAGTTACCTACTTTAAAATGATTATTTTAATTACTGATTCTCCCTTCAGGTTCTGCCCATTTTAATAAGGAGCTTATAGCTAAAGTTGACTATAAGACTGTAGCTAAAATTGAGCACCCTTCCCCCCAGGCCATGTGCTGAGCAGTTATACATATTATTGCATTTAATCTTCAACAACGTTGTGAGACTGAGTTCTTACCTCCACTTTCAGTAGAGGCAGCTGACATACCAAGATGTTAAATAACTTGCCCAGGCTCATTCAGTTACCACATGCCATAAAAAGACTGGCACTCATAGAAATTATATTCAAACAGAGGAAATGCATTCAGTTATTTGTCTCAGAGTGGCTTCTCTGAGCTTGGTAGTGATGGTGAGGCAGAAAATAAATCTGGTATGTGATTACAGGTTTTCTCAAAACCCAGTTTGTTTCAACATGTTCTGGAAAGTTTTGATGGTCTGTTAGTCTGTCCATCCATTCATTTATCCAACTATTTGAAAGCTTTACCACAAGCCAGGTAGAGAATTAGGTGCTAGGGTTGAGGGGGAATGAAGGTGCCCATACAAGAACACACTTCTAGAGGCAGTATAGCATACTGATAAAGAAGGAAGTCTCTAGAATCAGATAGACTAGGGCCTTACATCCCGGTGCCCCCATATCCCAGTGTGTGTGACCTTGGGCAGGTTACTTAATTGCTCTATGTGCCTGAGCAGTCTTTCCTAACTGTGCCAGGTAGTTACTCACTTTCTATACCTGTGCTCTCTTTTATATACCAAGAACTACTCTGTACATTGTAATATATTATGGTATTTCACAGTGAATAAGTAGCAGATCCTGGACTCACATCAAGATCTGTCTGACTCCAAAGATATGCTTGTAACCACCATGCTGTGCTTTGGCAACATACAGGATGTGATTGGTAATGAGGAAGAGGACACAAATGTGAGTTTTCTAGCATAGGCACATTGTTATTGGAAAGGATACAAATTTAAGTCATTGTCCTGAGTTAATATTTACTTGCTAATTTCCCAGCACCTTATTACCTGTGTGAGCTTGGCCATAACACATCTGACCTTCTTTGCTAATCTGTAAAACAGTAGTACCCAACCCTATAAGGCTGCTGTGTAGACTTAATTACATGACATGTTATTAAAGGAACTACCTTAATGCCTGGTATCTAGGTGCCAAATAAATTATCTTCCTAATAACTCTTATAGAAGGACCTGTACTCTTCAAGAAGAGTTTGGTTAATACTAGATCTAATGCCAAGTAGTAGGCAATTAGTCATTTGAAGTTCATCTGGGGAGTCAGATTGGAAGCAAATGTACTGGTCATCAGCATAATGAAAAATGTGGTTAAAAACTTCGGGAGAGGTTAGTTATACAACAGATGATGGAGTACCTGCTGTGAGCTAAGGAAGGTGGAATGGTACTGAACAAGACAGTGAAGTGGGATAGTATATTTAGAAAATATGTCAAATATGCCTTTTCACTTGGGGAAATGAAGAGAACCTGTTTTTGGATGGAAACAACAGGAGTGTAAGAATCTTGCTTCTCAAAAATAACTATGAGTCAAAAATATCAAAAGTGTTACAGGTGTGGGTTCAGATGAGAAGAAGGCCTCAGGTGTGGGCATAGGAAGAAGCTTTCAAAAAATGTCTGAGAAGGAAAAACGTCATGCCTATTTCTAAAAGAATTTTACTAGGGTGGACTGCATTGATGTGGAGGCTAAGGTGGAAGTGAGGAGGGTGCAGCAATCTGACTGAAGCCTGGATTCAATCTCAAAAAACAACTAGAAAATGCAGATGATGAAGCCAAGGCATTCCAAAGAAGAGCCAGATTTGTACTTTTGTCTCTTAAAAAATTTATGAATCCCCACTTAACAGCATATTTTACATATTTACATTAAAACATCTTTCTAAGTGTTACTAGGATTGGTAATAGAAACTTTAGCTTGCAAAATAGACCAGGAGAGTCAGTGAAGGCCTCTTATGAGTTAGGTATCTCCAGCTCCTACCAAGTTATTAATATTAATAACGATACAGTGGCTAATCCTTATGGGGTGCTTACTGTGCCCACACACTACTAACTCATTTAATACTTCTTTTACAGAGTAGATAGTATCATGTTCATTTTACAGATTAGGAAGTAGCCTAGAGGCCAGTGAAGAACAAGGTACTAGTTAGTATAAACAGCGTGCACAGTAGCCCAGAAACACAAACATTCTTTGTTGTGAACTACATGTAGTTCAGAATTGGGAGAACATAGTGTTGGCTTGGTTTTTTGTTTTGTTTTGTTTTGTTTGATCTATTCGTATTTGGCTTTTTTACATTCTCATTTTTAATTTTTTTAGAATCCTGTGCTAGTCAAACTAGACAACTCTGCAGACCAGCCCTGGGCTGCCATTTTGGGGCTGTGCCTCAGACACTTATTGATGGTTTAAATTGAGACTTGAGACCTCTTTTTTGCAGTTGACCACTTAGACCCCAAAGAGGTGAAATAACTGTTTAATATGGGGGCCCACAAACCATGTAATGAAAGTGAAGGCTTTGGGGGGATGACTAGGCTCAACAGGAGCAATATTGTTCTTATAGGCCAAAGTGTTCTATCCTATTTTTTATCCACCTGACATGATCCATACAGAAAAATTAAGAAGACTAACATAGTGAACACTCGTATACCCTCCACCCAAAACTGGTGGTGGTTAACATTGTCCCATCTTGACTTGACACACCTCTCTTTCTCTCTCTCATATATGCATGCATGTGCACATTATTGTTGAACCACTTAAAAGTAAGTATGCAAACATTATGGCACTTCAACTTTAATCCTTCCACAGGTAATTATCCTAAGAATAAGCATAGTCTCCTATACAACCACAATACCATTATCACCCCTAAGTAAAAGAACAACAACAATATCTTCTGATAGTTTATATCCACATTTTTGCTAGTTGTCCCAAGAATGTATTGCTTGCTTGTTTGTTCACAGTATGTTAGTGTTTATATAAAATATAAAGCATATAGAACACTATGTATTGCTTAGGGGATGAATTCAAATGTAGTGAGATATAAAGATTTACATGAGTGATTACCACTGGTATACCTACTGGCGAAGGAAAGAGAGAGAATACCTGCGAGTTTTTTCTGCCATATTAGTAACGCATTTCTTAAGGTGTATGAGTATATTTTATATTACTCTTTTATGGCCTTATCTATTATGTTTGAAGTAGTTTTTTTTTTTTAAAGAAAAAGACATTTGAGGCATAATGGTGAATGACCAATAATTGGGATGTTTTAACCAAAAGTGTTAACATTAAAGTTTCTGGAGATATTTAAAGGTTAAAATGCTGTCCATCCCCATCCATCCGTGCTCTTGCATTGGGCTTTTAGCACGGTGTACCTCCTTGCTGTCTTGCAACTTCTACTACTTGCTTGCAACTTGCACCTTCCCCTTGGACGATAAACAAACTCAGATCTTCTCTATCCTTAAAAAAATTTTCTTAAGCCTCCATACTCTTTTTTTTTTTTTTTTTTTTTTTTTGGAGGAGACAGCGTCTTACTTTGTCACCCAGACTGGAGTGCAGTGGCATGAACACGGCTCACTACAGCCTCAACCTCCCAGCTCAAGTAATCCTCCCACCTCAGTGAGTCTCCCTGAGTAGCTGGGACTACAGGCGTTCACCACCACACCTGGCTAATTTTTGTGTGTTTTGTAGAGATGGGGTTTTGCCATGTTGCCTAGGCCAGTCTTGAACTCCTGAGCTCAAGCTATCTGCCTGCCTTGGCCTCCCAAATTGCTGGGATTACAGGTGTGAGCCACCACACCCGGCAAAATTCCCATACTCTTTTGAGGCTATTACAGAATTTCTCCCTCCCCCCTTTCAGTGTTACTGAAGGAATAGTCTGTACTTGCAGTCTTTAATGTATTACATCAGTCTCTCATAATCTGGCTTCTGCTCACTTGACTAAAATAACTCTATTGCTGAAGTCACTGATCTTCTGAATGTCAAATGCAAACCTTTTTGTTCCCTCCCAAGGCTTTGTTTCAGATCTCGCCACATTTTAGGTCCTCTTCTGGAAGTCTTCAGCTGATGTTGGGCCCCTCAAAACTCAGTATGTCCAAACTTGAACTCTTTGTGTTGCCCCGTACCACTTCCTCCTCCTGCGTTCCTTTGCTCAAATAGTTGCCACCCCCATTCATCCAACCACCCATCTAGAAACCTTGAAATCATGCTTTACTCTTCCCTCTCCTATATGTCTCACAGGCCAGTGGGTTACTGTACTCTGCTGATTTTAACTCTTTTTTTTTTTTTTTGAGATGGAGTCTCGCTGTTGCCCAGGCTGGAGTGCAGTGGCACGATCTCGGCTCACTGCAAGCTCTGCTTCCCAGGTTCACACCATTCTCCTGCCTCAGCCTCCCGAGTAGCTGGGACTACAGGCGCCCGCCACCATGCCCGGCTAATTTTTTGTATTTTTAGTTGAGATGGGGTTTCACCATGTTAGCCAGGGTGGTCTCCATCTCCTGACCTTGTGATCTGCCCGCCTCGGCCTCCCAAAGTGCTGGGATTACAGGCGTGAGCCACCGCGCCCGGCCAATTTTAACTCTTAAATGCCTCCCACTTTTCCCATCTCCCTTTGATACTGCCATCAGTTGCAACAAGTTGCCCTGGTTGAGGTGTTCACCATCTGGTCTAGAGCAACATCCCCAAGGATGTCTTTTATATCCATCTCCCTACCACTTTCACCCCATCTCTCAAACCGGAAGCCAGTCATGATTCATGCATTGCATTTGGTTGTGATATTGCATTTGTCTTTTTTATTCTGGAACAGAGATCTGGGCCTATTTTAGTCCAGCTTTTTTGGGAGGTACCTACACCCATTCATTTACATGTCGTCTGGGCTGCTTTCAAGCTACAATGGCAGAGTTAAATAGTTTTCACAGACCATCTGGCTCGCAAGGCCTAAAATGTTTAACTGGACCTGTATAGAACAAGTTTGCCAACCCCTGAACCAAAGGCAAGAATAACCAGATGAGACATTTTGAATTTTGTACGTAAGAGTGATTTGAGGCCGGGCGTGGTGGCTCATGCCTGTAATCCCAGTGCTTTGGGAGGCTGAGGTGGGCGGATCACAAGGTCAGGAGATCTAGAGCATCCTGGCTAACAGGGTGAAACCCCCTCTCTACTAAAAATACAAAAAACAAAATTAGCCAGGCGTGGTGGCGGGCTCCTGTAGTCCCAGCTACTCGGGAGGCTGAGGCAGGGAACCCGGGAGGCAGAGCTTACAGTGAGCCGAGATCGCGCCACTGCACTCCAGCCTGGGCGACAGAGCAAGACTCCGTCTGACAAAAAAAAGAGTGATTTGAAACTGTACATCTAAGGTTCTCTCGTATTCCCAATGGTACCATCTCTCTCATACTCCTTGGAAACATTGTAAAACATAAATATTATTTACTTTCGAAGCTCTTCCCTTTCTGGCAAAATTGAAAGTCTTTAAGGCAGAAAATAAATATTTAACTGTTTTGTTTGTTAGATGCTGTATATTTAGAAGAAAAATATTTGAAGGTCCATGGATCTAAATTCTTCCTGAATAAGTGATGCTGTTTCTTTTCTTTTTTTTTTCAAACAGTCTCGCTCTGTTGCCCAGGTTGGAGTGCAGTGGTGCGATCTCTGCTCACTGCAACCTCCGCCTCCTGGGTTCAAGCAATTCTCCTGCTTCAGCCTCCTGAGTAGCTGAGATTATAAGCGTCCACCACCATGCCCAGCTAATTTTTGTATTTTTAGTAGAGATGGGATTTCACTATGTTGGCCAGGCTGGTCTCGAACTCCTGACCTCAGGTAATATGCCCACCTCGGCCTCCCAAAGTGCTGGGATTACAGGCATGAGCCACTGCGCCCAGCTGATGCTGTTTTTTTATGTCGCTAGAATTATCACCAGTCTTCGTTCAGCCCCCACATAACCTCTTTGATCTTTTTTGGATAGATGTTCTATTATGTACAATTTTTTTTTTTTTTGAGTGTGGTACTGTAGGTGATCACACTTCTGTGGGCATTTTGTATGAAAGTAGGATGTTAATGATGCTTTAGATTTCAAATATTTCTAAATAACGCGCAACCTTCCAAATCTTAAGTTTGCCTACAGCATTGCAGCGTATAAACATTTTGCATTACACTCAGTAAAACTCAGCCGCTCCCTTTCTTCCTACTAGCACAGAGATTAACTATTTCTCATTATTTCCTGGAAAGCTGAGTGATAATACTCTACTTAATGATGTTCCTCTATGTTTATCTTCCAGATCATTTACAACACTGGGTCTTGTGTGTCTTTAAGTGAAATAAATTATTTGACTTCTTCCAAATCTGAAATAATCTCTGACTCTGAAACATATTAGTTATACCTGAGGAGTCCTGTTCTTTTCATCCTTTCAGTTTTAATAGCGTCTTTTCCCATCCCCTGCAACACATTTTGTTTTTGTTGTTGTTGTTTTGAGATGGAGTTTCGCTCTTACATAATGCCCAGGCTGGAGTGCAGTGGTGCGATCTCGACTCACTGCAACCTCCACCTCCTGGGTTCAAATGATTCTCCTTCCTCAGGCTCCTGAGTAGCTGGGATTATTGGGGCCTGTTACCACACCCGGTTAATTTTTGTATTTTTAGTAGAGATGGTGTTTCACCCTGTTGGCCAGGCTGGCCCCAGGCTCTTGACCTCAGTTGATCCTCCCGCCTCGGCCTCTCAAGGTGCTGAGATTATAGGAGTGAGCCACTGTGCCCAGCCAACACTTTTTATTGATTTTTATTTGTTTATTTATTCATTTTGAGAGAGGCTGTAGCTCTGTCTCCTAGGCTGAGTGCAGTGGTGCAATCACAACTCACTACAGCCTCAACCTCCCAGGCTCAAGTGATCTTTCTGCCTCAGCCTCTTAAGGAGCTGGGACCCCAGGTATATGCTACTACACCCAGCTGATTTTTTTATTTTTTGTAGAGATGGGGTGTTGCAGGGTTGCCCAGGATAGTCTCACTTCTGGACCCAACCAATATTCCCGCCTTGGCCTCCCAAAGTGCTGGGATTACAGGCATGAGCTAGAATGCCAAACGAATTTTTTTTCCTAAACTACAACCTTTTTTACAACCCAGAATACCTTGTAACTCACCATTGGTAACCCAATTTTTAAAATAATCTTTAGGTTTTGATCAAGTGGCTTCTAGATTAAAAATGGGATTTTAGTTAATAATATTTTAAAAGACAAACTTAGCCACCAAACCGGGTCATGACCAGAATCTGAGAACATTTTTCACTAACATTAAAGGTGATAGAACTCATTTGCAGAATATATTCAGGCGTTTGCTTTTTTGCTTTGCTTTTGATGTATTCTAACATTAACAAGTGAAATCTGCCACGTATGGTTTATGTATAAAAATACTTATTCACTGATAGCTTCATGATTTCGTCTTTTACTTTTAATGTTTTAATCATTTGGGATTATTTTTATTTATTATCTCATTTTAAAAAGTTTTCAAGTACTGAATATTCCCTTTCTCCACTGATTTAAAATGCTAATCCTTGAAATAGTATCTTTGACATATACTTGGATCTGTTTCTGGGTTACTTTTTCTGTTCAGTCAAAGTGCTCTCTGGCAATGCAGTGCTGTTCAACTATTTCCTGATAATGCAGATTCCCTTCTTCACAACCTCTTCTTTTTGAAATTTTTTAGAGGGTTACTTCCCCACTTGCTTTACAGAATTTTTAAATCACTTGTAATCATTTTGCAGACTCTTGTTAACAATTTCTTATAACTGAATTAAACTTAGAGCATTGTTACACCTTCATATCCAGGAACAAGTTTCTTCACTTTCAAGTGTCTTCTATAGCCAGCAATAAAATATAATCATATATGACTTTAAATATTTTTGCTAGCTTTATTCCTGTTACTTTATGGCTGTTAATGATTAAGATCTTTTCCCATCAACATTTTCTCCTGGATTATTTTTGGCATATAGAAAGGAAATTGTTTTTTCATGTTGATCTTTTTTGCCTCTATTCTATTATTTTTACCTCTCATTTTTGAGTCATATTTTATCAGTTACTACTTCTAAAACTGGACCAAATAGTAGTATTGATGACAAGTATTTTTGTCTTTTTCTTGTCATTATGGGAATGCTTCTGGTGTTTCCCTCTTGAATTCTGGATCCATTTCTTTATTTTCCATTTGGGTAGTTTTGTTTTCGATGGCCAATCTTGTTTTCTTACTCCTGCCTTGTGAAAGTGGCCACACACACTTAACGCACGCAAATAGTGGCAGCAGAAATACGTTTGTAGTAGTCCAGGAAAAGACAGTGACAAGGGCTGGACTGTCTTAGATTTGGAAAAAAGATGTATGGATTTTGGACTTGATGATGTTTTGGATTTGCTGTGCACAGGGAGGAATAAAAGATAAATTCTAGGTGTTAGGAAACTTACTGAGATGAGAAAAACTTGTAAAGAAGCAGTTTTTGCCCCGTTTGGGAGGAGAGCAATTTATACTCTGTTGGAGTGTAAATCTGGAATCTGAAGATTCTGCTAAAGATATCTAAGTGGAAATTTTAAGTAAGGAAGTTATATGATTTCTCATTTTGTTCTTTATAAGGGAGACATGGTGGAATGAAAAACATGCTTTGGAGATAGGACTAAAAGATGATAATCATTAGCATGCATTTATCAATGATAATAATGGCCCTCATTTATTAAGCACCTAATATGGATCAGATATAGTTCAGAGTCCTTTTTTGTTTTTTTTTGTTGTTGTTGTTGTTTTGTTTTGTTTTGTTTTGTTTTTTTTGAGACGGAGTCTTGCTTTGTTGCCCAGGCTGGAGTGCAGTGGCACGATCTTGGCTCACTGCAAGCTCTGCTTCCCAGGTTCATGCCATTCTGCCTCAGCCTCCCGAGTAGCTGGGACTGCAGGCACCCACCACCACGCCCAGCTAATTTTTTTGTAGAGATGGGCTTTCTCCGTGTTAGCCAGGATGGTCTCGATCTGCTGACTTCGTGATCCTCCCGCCTCGGCTCCCTAAAATGCTGGGATTACAGGCGTGAACCATCACGCCTGGCCAGTACAGAGTACTTTTAATAATCTGCACCACAGTTGTGTGAGATTGGTACTAATACTGTTTCGTTTTTGTTGTTGTTTTTGTGTTTTGAGATGGAGTCTCACTCTGTTGCCAGGCTGGAGTGCAGTGGCGCCATCTCGGCTCACGGCAACAGCCTCTGCCTCCGCGGTTTAAGCAATTCTGCCTCAGCCTCCTGAGTAGCTGGGACTGCAGGCGCCTGCCACCACGTCCGGCTCATTTTTTGTATTTTTAGTAGAGACAGGGTTTCACCATGTTGGCCAGGATGGTCTCAAACTCCAGACCTCGTGATCCCCTCGCCTTGGCCTCCCAAAGTGTTGAGATTACAGGCATAAGCCACGGCGCCCGGCCTGGTACTAATACTGTTTCTACTTTAGAGATGAAACTAGGCACAGAGATTGAGGATCTTGCCATGGTCACACAGCTAGTAAATGGTAGAGTGCCTCTTAAACCCAAGCATTCTGGCTACCCAATCTGTGCTGTTAATCACTACATCAAATTGACCCTAACGAGGCACTTATTTGCAGCCAGCACTGAGCTTAATGCTTTACATATGATGATAAAATTAACAAAAGAACCAGGTTAAGAAGTATTGTTTATCTTCTGGTTTTGCAGATTTGGTCATACAGAGTCCAGACTTGAATCTTGGTGTTTCTAGAGTCCTGTCTACATTCTTAGGCACCTTGCTTTATGAAGGATTCTGACGAATCCTGCCTTTCTCACTTAATTTTCCATAAATTAACCTGTGAACCTCAGTTTTGTCATCTGCAAGTGAAGGTAATACCTATCCTCTAGTGTGGCTCTAAGGATTCAGTGATAAAAGTGCGCACAAAGTTGTCAGACATAGTACTGAATGCCAAACATTTGTTGATGGTGCTGGTGCAGATGTTAGTGTGTTGGTTTGCTTACACCCAATGAGACTGACTTATTGTTACCCTTTATTTCATGAGAAATTCTCCTTATGGGCACTGAAAGATGGCAAATCTTCTTTGGCAGCTTTAGGAATCATTAAAGAAATGATTCTTAAACAGGGAGTGGAAATTAGAGTCACTTATGGAACTTTGAAGTATATTATTTGATGCATTTATATCATTTCCGGTCTCTCTCCAGTCACTTTTCCAGACTGTTTCCAGATCTTCTTTTGCTTCTTAATGATTGTGCTTTGAGAGCAAATGATGCAAATTGAATCTGATTTTCCATTTTAGCAAATCACCTTAATAGTGACTTCTTTTTATCTCCTAGGCCTACAACCCCTGAAGGTTGGCTCATTAGGTCTGGGACACTGCCTTGAAGATATATACTTAAAAGCACTACGTGTGATTCTGATTTGTACTCTAGTAGAAAACTGCAATATAATGTACCTCCTCAAGACAGTCAGAATGCACGTGACTTATGCAGGTTAATGGCCCTGAGGAGTGTCTGCCTACCAGATCCTTAGACCAAGTGAGAGTTAAGAATCTGGGGAACTATTCAGAAGCACTAGAACTGCCCTACCTGTGGTAAAATAACTAAATAGTAATACATAGCAGGAAGTCCAAGATTATAGGATTGTATGACTGGTCATTAAACATCTCCAGTGTCAGCATTTGATTTTTTGAGATCATAATAATTCTGTGATCTTCAACATAACTAACCATTACTTTTCTGTTCTTTTATATAAATGTGGTTAGGAAGGTAAATTAAGAAAATTTTATGAGAGGAAGTTGAACTGAAAATACTGTTACTTGGCTGTAATATTTCAGGTTGAATACGGACACTAATGAAATAGAATGTAATGATAAAAGCTTTCCAATTCTTACCATTCTTATAAATTTTTATAAACTTGTTACAATACTCAAAACAGTTGTGTGGAAAAGCTATACTAGAAAACAGAGGGTGGAAAAATATTTCTGATACATTTTATCAAATTTTGGCTATTCACTTCTCCTTACCTGTCTTTCCATGTCAGGCTTCTATGCCTGGGTTGTTCCGTTATCCTAATGCGTAGCTGCCTCCTAGACCTTCTTGACTCCAAAATTCTTTTTTTTTTTTTTTTTTGAGACGGAGTCTCGCTCTGTCACCCAGGCTGGAGTGCAGTGGCACTATCTCCGCTCACTGCAAGCTCCGCCTCCCGGGTTCATGCCATTCTCCTGCCTCAGCCTCCCGAGTAGCTGGGACTACAGGCGCCCACCACCATGCCCGGCTAATTTTTTGTATTTTTGGTAGAGATGGGGTTTCACCATGTTAGCCAGGATGTTCTTGATCTCCTGACCTCGTGATCCACCCACCTCGGCCTTCCAGAGTGCTGGGATTACAAGCGTGAGCCACCACGCCCGGCCCAAAATTCTTTTATTTACCGATATGTTAACAATGTATTCATTCAGCAAGTATTTATCAAGGGGCTGTTATGTCCTCTAGGATCTTAGGATAGTATCAGTTGAACATAGAAAGTTGGTGGCTAGAAGATAACCAGTGCCCTTGTCACCATTCTGCCAAGGATCATAGCTTGTTAAATTGAGGAGCCACATATATTTATAACATATTCGTCATTTTTCTTAGATTTTAGTATCATTTTGAAATGGCCTAACACTTTATAAATAGTTGTACTTCTCCTTTATCCTAGATATAAACCACAGTACTTCAGGATCCCATTATGAAAATTCCCAGCGGGGACCTGTGTCTTCTACAAGTGATTCTAGCACAAACTGTAAGAATGCTGTTGTAAGTGACTTGTCGGAAAAAGAAGCATGGCCCTCAGCCCCTGGCAGTGATCCGGAGTTGGCTTCAGAATGTATGGATGCTGATTCTGCCTCCAGTTCTGAATCAGAGAGAAACATCACTATCATGGCTTCAGGGAACACAGGTGGTGAAAAAGATGGCCTTCGGAATAGCACTGGACTTGGTTCCCAAAACAAGTTTGTAGTTGGTAGCAGCAGCAATAATGTGGGCCATGGAAGTAGTACTGGGCCATGGGGTTTTTCCCATGGAGCCATAATAAGCACATGTCAGGTCTCTGTGGATGCTCCTGAAAGCAAATCTGAAAGTAGCAACAATAGAATGAATGCTTGGGGCACTGTAAGTTCTTCATCAAATGGAGGGTTAAATCCAAGCACTTTGAATTCAGCTAGCAACCATGGTGCCTGGCCAGTATTAGAGAACAATGGACTTGCCCTAAAAGGGCCTGTAGGGAGTGGTAGTTCTGGCATTAATATTCAGTGCAGTACTATAGGCCAGATGCCTAACAATCAGAGTATTAACTCTAAAGTGAGTGGTGGTTCTACCCATGGTACCTGGGGAAGCCTTCAGGAAACTTGTGAATCTGAAGTAAGTGGTACACAGAAGGTTTCATTCAGTGGTCAACCTCAAAATATTACCACTGAAATGACTGGACCAAATAACACTACTAACTTTATGACCTCTAGTTTACCAAACTCCGGTTCAGTGCAGAATAATGAGCTGCCTAGTAGTAACACAGGGGCCTGGCGTGTGAGCACAATGAATCATCCTCAGATGCAGGCTCCATCAGGTATGAATGGCACTTCCCTTTCTCACCTTAGCAATGGAGAGTCAAAAAGTGGAGGCTCTTATGGTACTACATGGGGTGCCTATGGTTCTAATTACTCTGGAGACAAATGTTCAGGCCCTAATGGCCAAGCTAATGGTGACACTGTGAATGCAACTCTAATGCAGCCTGGCGTAAATGGTCCTATGGGCACTAACTTTCAAGTTAACACAAACAAAGGAGGTGGTGTGTGGGAATCTGGTGCAGCAAACTCCCAGAGTACATCATGGGGAAGTGGAAATGGCGCAAATTCTGGAGGAAGTCGAAGAGGATGGGGAACCCCTGCACAAAACACTGGCACTAATTTACCCAGCGTTGAGTGGAACAAACTGCCTAGCAATCAGCATTCCAATGATAGTGCAAATGGCAATGGTAAGACGTTTACAAATGGATGGAAATCTACTGAGGAAGAGGATCAGGGTTCTGCCACATCTCAGACAAATGAGCAAAGCAGTGTGTGGGCCAAAACAGGAGGTACAGTGGAGAGCGATGGTAGTACAGAAAGCACTGGACGCCTTGAGGAAAAAGGAACTGGGGAAAGTCAGAGTAGAGACAGAAGAAAAATTGATCAGCACACATTACTCCAAAGCATTGTAAACAGAACTGACTTAGATCCACGTGTCCTGTCCAACTCTGGTTGGGGACAGACTCCTATTAAGCAGAATACTGCCTGGGATACAGAAACATCACCTAGAGGGGAACGAAAGACTGACAATGGGACAGAGGCCTGGGGAAGCTCTGCAACACAGACTTTTAACTCAGGGGCATGTATAGATAAGACTAGCCCTAATGGTAATGATACCTCATCTGTATCAGGGTGGGGCGATCCCAAACCTGCTCTGAGGTGGGGAGATTCCAAAGGCTCAAACTGCCAGGGGGGGTGGGAAGATGATTCTGCTGCTACAGGAATGGTCAAGAGCAATCAGTGGGGGAATTGCAAAGAGGAGAAGGCTGCATGGAATGACTCGCAAAAGAATAAACAGGGATGGGGTGATGGACAAAAATCAAGCCAAGGGTGGTCTGTTTCTGCCAGTGATAACTGGGGAGAAACTTCAAGGAATAACCATTGGGGTGAGGCCAATAAGAAATCCAGCTCAGGAGGTAGTGACAGTGACAGGTCCGTTTCCGGTTGGAACGAACTTGGTAAAACTAGTTCTTTCACTTGGGGAAACAACATAAATCCAAATAATTCATCAGGATGGGATGAATCTTCTAAACCTACTCCTTCCCAGGGATGGGGAGACCCTCCAAAGTCTAATCAGTCTCTAGGTTGGGGAGATTCGTCAAAGCCAGTCAGCTCTCCAGACTGGAACAAGCAACAAGACATTGTTGGATCTTGGGGAATCCCACCAGCTACAGGCAAACCTCCTGGTACAGGCTGGCTGGGGGGACCTATACCAGCCCCAGCAAAAGAAGAAGAACCCACAGGCTGGGAGGAACCATCCCCAGAATCTATACGTCGCAAAATGGAGATTGATGATGGAACTTCAGCTTGGGGAGATCCAAGCAAATACAACTACAAAAATGTGAACATGTGGAACAAAAACGTCCCAAATGGCAACAGCCGTTCAGACCAGCAAGCACAGGTACATCAGCTGCTAACGCCTGCAAGTGCCATCTCAAACAAAGAGGCAAGCAGTGGCTCTGGTAAGTTTCTATTTTATGAAATCAAGCCTTGTTTTAACTTACTGTTATTATAAGATTTGTATAACAAAGTACTTGGATATGCACACAAAGGCTGTTCTTACTGTAATCCAGAAGCAGCTTGAAAAAAATTATAGGGGTGATGTTTACCACCAGAGAACAGAACTCCACTTTTGGCAGTGTTGTTTGAGTCCTGCACACTTCATTCTCTATTAGAAATGCAAGAGAAGGCGAATTGGACAAAGGCGGTCAAGTGGGAATGCTGTACACTTCTCCAAGTTGTTTTTGAGTTAGGCCTTAACTTGTGGTTTTATTATTTGACTAAAATATCTCCAGAAATAAAACAAGTATCTCATAAATACAGTACTCTCTAAACATTAGGTTGTATATTTGGCTTTAGAAGGGATTTTTTTTTTTAAGTAGGTGAGAAATCCAACTCTACTTAGATACAGTATATATGTTTGTGTATTTAAAACATTTGACAATACCTTTCTAGTATATCCTTACTTTCCTCTCTAATAATGAACTAATTCCTATCTCTGCAAATTTTCCCAACAACATTTTTGTTAAGTGTGATTGGCTACATTGTCTTTGTTAATAAAAGTTTTATTGACTTAATAGTCTCATTGGAAGTGGATATGGGAGTGCTTTCATGAGCTAACTTTTTGGCACTGAATTTTTTTTTTTTAGTCTAAGTATAGTTTGTTGTATTAATTTAGGTTTGATTCTTAAAAGGAAGAAGTATGTATCTAAGATGAAGCCTGTTGGCTTTGATTTTTTTTAATGAAACATTTATGGCTTTTTTTTTTTTTTTTTTTTTTTTTGCTTTGGACAACCTCAGCCTAATACTTCAGATTTTAAAATAAGCATTGTTCAGCATATGTAAAAAGTAGGTGACCCATTATTGTTAGCTGGGTAGTAAATTGTTTTTCCAGTGTAGGTGGTGTGGAAGGGGTACACTTGTGGCACAATTTTTTTTTTTTTTTTTTTTGGAGATGGAGGCTTTCTCCGTCACCCAGGCTGAAGTGCAGTGGCATGATCTCGGTTCACTGCAGCCTCCACCTCCCAGGTTCAAGCAATTCTCCTGTCTCAGCCTCCTGAGTAGCTGGGACTACAGGTGTGTGCCACCACGCCCAGCTAATCTTTGTATTTTTAGTAGAGACCAGGTTTTGCCATGTTGCCCAGGCTGGTCTCAAAATCCTGACCTCAGGTGATCCACCTGCCTCAGCCTCCCAAAGTGCTGGGATTACAGGCATCAGCCACTGTACCCAGCTGGTACAGATGTTATACATACACTGTCACCCAGCTTATCACCTGCTCCAATTTACAAGGTTTGGTTTAGAATGACTTGACTTTTTCAGGAATTAAACTGATGCTCAAAGGAGAGTGGTTTTCCATAACTATGCAAAAATCAGCTCTAGGTCTAGAGGGTAATTATGAAAAAAGTTAAAAAAATTCTCACCTTATATTAATGGGAAATAGTTTGTCTTTTTTTAACATAAAACAGATGCCATCTTTTTGCCTATCACAGTATCATTATTCAGTACATAAACATGAAGTTCTTCATCCTTGGTCCCTAAGTTTTCTTTATTGTCCCTTATTCCACTGCACCTCCTTACCTTCTATGCTGATGACTTCTTTTCCCACACTTTCTAAAGGCTGGGGTGAGCCCTGGGGGGAGCCTTCTACTCCAGCCACAACTGTGGATAATGGTACTTCAGCATGGGGTAAGCCCATAGACAGTGGTCCCAGCTGGGGGGAACCCATTGCTGCGGCATCCAGCACATCCACGTGGGGCTCCAGCTCTGTTGGTCCACAAGCATTAAGCAAATCTGGTAAGTTATTGACAATGCCTGGTAGCTGTTATGTAGCAGTGGCGAACACTCACTGACTATAATTAAATAATTAGATAAGGTTTCTATGTTATTTATAATATATTCATATAATGTAACATGATAGATGATGTTCAGTATTTTGCTCTTTGATTTTGTAACGTGGTTTATTCTCTTTCTGAATTTTCCTCTTTTCTCATATTTCTTAGAACTGTAACTATTCATTTGCATATACTTCATCAAATCTAAATTATATTTTACCAAATTAGGTTATCTAGGAAGAGTCTACTAGCAACTTTCATGCCATCCAGCCTGAGAGGCCAACTAGTGTAGCCATGAGGACACATATTCAGACTGTCAGATGATTCCCTGAAAGTTACAATTAGCATAGTTCAGAAAAGACCCAAGATTGAAATTAACATTGTCATTATCCCATAGGCTGTGTACAAGATGCCCGGTAGGAATCCCAAGGGCCATGTGTGAAGATAAGATGCTTTCTGCTTAAGGCTTTGAATACTCTCTGGCCATTCTCCCTAAAAATATATATAAAAATTAATTCTTTCAAATTTCATTCATCTTCTTTGTCCTGTGCATCACTATGCAGATTATTAAGTGGGTACAAACAAGAGTGCTACCATTGTCCATGTTCAAGAACTATGATTTGTTAAAGGCATGGAGGAGTTTTATTAAATTTTTAAATAAGAATATATTATTTTTCATGGAAGGTTTAGCTCAGTATAAAACATACTTTCCTTCTGTGCAGATGCAGGAAGGGAAATAAGTGTGCACGTGTGTGTTTTCTTAGGTTCTCTACCCAATTTTTAATATATACTTATTCTCCAGAAGGAATTCTTTTATTAAAGTATGTTTCTCTTTATATCACAAATCCACAATCAGGGCCAAAATCTATGCAAGATGGCTGGTGTGGTGATGATATGCCATTGCCTGGAAATCGCCCCACTGGCTGGGAAGAGGAAGAGGATGTGGAGATTGGAATGTGGAATAGTAATTCATCTCAAGAGCTTAACTCATCTTTAAATTGGCCACCATATACAAAGAAAATGTCATCGAAGGTAAACATTTCAAGGGCAAAGCCCTTGAAACTTTAAATTCCAAAGGTAGTTTACCCACAGAAAATTAACTTTTCGCCTGCCCATTTCTGGCGGTCAGTACAGTCCAGGCAGCCCCCACCTTAGGTATAGCCACTTGTATGGGCAGCCACCTAGAGAAACATAAGAAAGACCACAGGAACTTCCTTTCTCCCCACTGCTACAGCTTGGGATTTCTCTCTTCCTCCCCCTCCACCAGTGCTGCCTGGGACAACCCCTCATCCTAGGGTGGTGCCTGCAGTGGTGAGGATGAAGAGGAGGGCAAATCTCCATGTTGACTCTTTCCATCCCACTGCCAGTTCATCTCCCATTTCATTTCCTCACCTGGAGTCCCCCGCCACCCGCTTACCCAGAGTCACCATCCTCCTTATTCACCTGTCATGTTTGTCCCTATCCCATCCCAAAAGGTCCTGTGACAAAAATCCCTAGGAATGATCTGAGCTTGGTTTTGCTTTTATGTGTGGACAAATCATATTCCTAAAGCTGGCTGTACATCGAAATCCCATGGCATTTGTTAAAAATGCAGCTTCCTGTACCTCAGGTCTACTGAAGTTTTGGAAATTGGACCAAGTTTCTTATCCTAAAGAAACTCCTCAAATGTCTCTGATGCAGAGCCAGGTTTGGGAAGCACTGATTTAGAGCACTGGTTCTTAAGAGGTGGCACTGGGGGCTGCTGTCAGATCCTCCTGGGGACCATTTTCAAAATATGTGCCCAGTCCCCCAGGTGGTTCTAACATAACATCCTAACCCACCCTACTTGAGAATGATTACCTTTTGAGGGACCTTAGAAGTCAGATACCAGTGGATAGCTGGACTAGGTAACTGCCAAGGTTCCTCACTTTTAATCCTGGGATTCTAAGTCTAGGACCTGCCATTTTCATTTTTAAAATTTTTCATTTGGCTGAATTTGCCTATTGCCTTGCCATATAGCTTATGAAGTGCTTTTACATGTTTTACATAAGTCATTTGATCCTCACAACCATCTAAGATAGGACACTGATGAATTTGAGACTGGAAAAGGTGGTGACTTGCCCAAAGTTGCGATAACTAGTAAGCGACAGAGTAAGGACTTAAGTTTAGGTCTTCCAGTTCCAAACCCCATGTTCTTCCCACTGGACCATGCTGTTTTGTGACTTTGTCTTTCCTTACAGGGTCTGAGTGGCAAAAAAAGGAGAAGGGAAAGGGTGTGTAGCCTTTTTACTCTTTCTCCTTTGTTTCTACTAGTAAAAATCTTTAGAAAGCAACTGCAAACATTTATTTAGCCTCTGCTGTGTGCCAGGTACTGTGCTTGGTGCTGGGGATTCAAATACACTAAGATATGAGTTTCACCTTTCGGGAGCTCACAGTCTAGTATGGGGCATTAGGAGAGCTTCATAGAAGTGTCAGCTTGAATTTGGAAGATGCTTGGGATGGGATGTGTTAAGGAAGATAGTAGCCCAACATAACCAAAATGTAGAATTTTTAGGAAGAAGTGACAAGAGATCTGGCTCTGTAGTTGAGGCAGATTGTAGTGTCTTCAGTAGCATGCCAAGGAATTTGAACTTTATTTTGTGTAAAATATGGAACCAACGAAATTGAGTAGAAAACAACATCAGTGGGGTTTTTAAATTACTAATTTTAAAAGAAAGCTAATCAGTGATAGTATGAAATATAAATTGGTGCAGAGGGGAGACCACAGTTAGGGATCTCAGGGAGCATCTGCGTTAATTCAAGCTAGAAAGGACAGCTTGAGTTGGGAAATAAGAATGGATATATAGTGGAAGGGACTAATTTGAGAGGCATTTCAGTCAGAATAGAAAGGACAGAAGAACTTGGCAACTAGTTAGGTATGGGGATGGATGGGGTGAAAGGAAAAGGGATCAAAGCCAACTTCAGAATCTGCGGAGAGAGTTAGATGCTTGCTTCAGAGACCTGCATTTGGGGGGAAGTTGTGAAGCTGTGTTCTGTTCCACAGTCAGAAGGAATGGACAGTAGCAATGGGAAGGGGTAATGAAGTAATGAAGGCAACAGACTGAGAATGGTCCAGTGAGACCATAATGAGAGACATAGATCTCTATGGCTTCCAGCCTCCTTGTCTACCAGACTGCTGATCACAGACCCTCCATCCTCTTAACTCATGTCTCAATGGAGTTTGCGTACCACCCATACCCCAACCAGCCGCAGAGAGCCAGCCCTAAGCAGGAGGAATCCCAGGTTCAACTTCTGCTAGAGATGTTGTGTTCTTGGCAACACAAATTGAAATTTTAAAATACTTTTTCATGTGGAAAACACATGGTGTTTTTTCAGTAGGATGCATATAGCATAATTAAATTAGGGGTTAAGTTGGCTTCTTTGGACTAACCTTAGAACCTAGTCACTATTTTTTTACTTTGGTTTGGAGTGAGAATTCCAGAAATCTAAATTATAACTAATCTTACAGTTCTCCGTTACTCAGAGGCCCTGTTTTCATATTTGTGGGTCATCGAGGCCTTTTGCTTCCGTCTTTTCCTTCTGACTGCTTGCCTTTAGAGATTTCTCTGTACATTACAGCTATACCAGAGGACTGGAGCAAAGGAAGTTGAAAATCAAATAAGTTGATTTTTAATTATTAACAACTCTGATAAGAGTTGATTGGAGGAGAAATTATTGGCTAAAAATGAGAATTGGGGATTGTCTTAAGTTTTATTAATCCGTCACTATACCCAGATAAACAGAGATGGCCATGGCATCTTTTCTACTCTTTTATTTTACAAAGGGAATGATGAAAGGTGGAAACAAACAAGAAGAAGCGTGGATAAATCCATTTGTTAAACAGTTTTCAAACATCAGTTTTTCGGTAAGTATGTTTTCTTAGCAGCTCCTTCCTCTTTTAATGGTGGTCCATGATTTATCTTGATTTCACTCTTTTTAAGAATTATTTTTCATCTTCGAGTCCTTAGGAATGTACTTGATGTTAGAGTAAAATCGGCCTCCAAACCTTCATTTTTATGGTTTTAGCTAAAAACTTCAATCACATGTCTTATTTTAAAACATTTTAAAAATTACATTAGGCAGTGAAAAATGAAGCTTTATGATCCACTTGAATTTCACAGATAATGAAACACAGTAAAATTCTTCATTTTTTATTTGTTTTCATTGATAAATTAAGGTCTGCTAACATGCTGCATTTTCTTTCTTCAGAGAGACTCACCAGAGGAAAATGTACAAAGCAATAAGATGGACCTTTCTGGAGGTAAGAGAAAATTAAATCTGTTTATATTCCTCATTGAGGGACACGCACATCCATGACATGATTCTACTGAAAGAGCCCTGACGTAGATCAGGACAGGGGAGGCTGTGCTCTCCAATAGACGTACACATGCTGTGGTTAAATGAGTGCATGTGCCTTGAAAGTGCAGGACCACTGTGCAGATCAGTGGTGATATTAGTCTGATTACTTTACACATAATCCTGCCAAGAGGGAGTTACTCAGATTGGAGGGTATAGTCTTCTTGATTAGGGAACAGCACGTAGAAGGGCCTAGATGTATGACAGACTCTTAAAACTATACTGGAGGAATGGCAAGTCATTCCATAGAATGAGTCAAGAAAAACAGTTTTGGTGGGGGCAGCCGTGGTGGTGGTAGTGAAAGATCACCTGGATAAAGATGCTAGAAAACAAGGTCGGTGCTGAGTCATGAAGAGCTTGGGAATTTGAACTTTATTCTTAAAATATGGGATTAAAGTGAAGCAAGGGAATGACATGGTTTGGATTTATGTTTTAGAAAAATCATCTTGATTATAGATTGAAAATAGGATAGAAAACATTGGCAGCAGGAGATAGAGAAAAGACACTGAAGATAGCAAAACCAGTAGATAGTTGTTGCAGTAGCCAGTAATTATTTCAAAGCTCCAAACCAAGACAGTAGATGGAAATAATCTAATTCCATGGAGACATAGGACTTGGAATCAACAAAAATTGATAACCAGTTTGAACCAATTTGTTAGGCAGGATGAGGGAGAGAGTGTGATGGAAACTTACCTGGACAGTTTAGTAGATGGTATTGTGTTAATCCGAGTCCAGTCAGGAGAAACTACGCAGTAATTTGCTAACAGGAAAAATGTAGTATACAAGACTTTAACAAGGAATTGGAGTAGCAGTAGCAGATACAAGGGGAAGTAACTCAGTGAGGACTGACATAGCATGCCCAAGAAAGAACCCCCTTCCTCTCACTATGGTGCCATGCCAGTAGGAGTGCAGGAAATCCACCCTCTAAGATACCAGTGAAGGCAGGGCACAGGAGAGGTGTCTCATGGGAGGCACTCGCTACGGAGCTACCAGAGGGCATGCTGGTAGATGCTGCCAACCACTGGCGAGGTGAGCATTGTAGGTGCCTTGTTGCTGGCAAAGCTGCTGTGCTGCAGGAGACAGCAGACCAGAACTAAGAAACCAAACCTCTCCTCTTGCACCTTCTATTTACAAAATGTCAGTGCTAGCTGGCGAAGGAAAAAAACCTATAAAGGGCCTAAGTCCATTTTTTTTCACAGAGCAATCCAAAAGGGTAAAATTGGAGCTAGAGGAAATAAGTCAGTCATCCGCACAGATCATCCCAACCCTTTGACTACTCACCTTCCATATGTACTCTTCTGCACGCATTTGTCCGGTACAATGGCAACGCAACTCTGTATTTCTGCTTAACAAGATACAGCTTTCTTTCTTGCAAGTGAAGAAGTGTTCATCCTCTCTCTAAACTGAGGAGATGAACAGCCCCAAGGGTCATTGTATTCATCACTGGCTATATAATCACCCCAGAAATTCAGTCACAGTTTGTTACCTAAAGACTGAATTATAAAACCTAACATGTAATAACTTGTGAATAAGGTAAAAACAGGAAAAAAAATGCTTGGCCTATACAAATTAACACATCCATATGAGAAACAATAGAAAATATGCAAATCTACTACCATTGTTATTTCTGTAATTGCTCGTAAGCCATCATTGGTATCTGTGCCTTCCTCCCTTCACTGCCTATTCTGTACTTAACTCACTTTCAGGTTGAACCTCAGCTGCTCTTGGTTCTTTAGCTGGTGGAGTTAAGTAACCCAAACCTTCATTCACAAAGGATCTGAGCCCCCAGTTGTCCTTGCCTTTTATGGTTGCCATTGTTTTTCATTGGCCTTCACTACTGGGTATGGAAATACTAAGAAGCATCCCAGAGAATCCCCTGGGTTCCCGACAGTCTTCACTGCCTTCATTTCGTAATCACATCAGTTACCCCAGCCAGTAGACTAGTTTTGTTTGTTTGTTTGTTTGTTTGCCTGCTAGTTCATACCTCAAGGAGTGCAAAATGTCCCTGTAGCAGTCTTCATCTTCCAGGGCAGTGGAGCCATTGTTGCGGTTTTTGTTGGAAGCGTTTTCTCTCTCAAGGACTAAATTCTCTAAATCAGCAGTTGTCAGAACAGAAAGTGAGTGTTCTGTAAGTGGCTCATTAGGTATAATTGTGAGAGAAGCCGCTCGCACTTTCACCTTTTGATTCTCACAACTTACAAATTCTAGTAATTGGAGAGACACATACCGCATCCTCCTACGACAGATGCCCACCTTTTTAGGATGTTGTCTCCCAACTTGCTTTGTAACTGATTCTTTAGTAAGCCTATTAATTTGGTTAGCTACTTTCAGGCAATGGCATATATGGTAAGACCAGTTAATTCCATGGGCATGAACACAGTCCTGTATTTCCTCTGCTGTGACATGAGCTCCTCAGTAAGACATGATGGCTGTGAAGAGTGCCGATAGTGGAGAAGGCATCCTGTGAGGCTGTGGATAACAGAAGCTTTACAGGCAACAAAAATCTGTGTCCAGAATGTGAACCTTTTCCTGTTAGGACAAGTTTCTGCCTCCTTCATGGCTCACTGAATGGCACGGAAGTTGCTATGATGTCGTGCTGGTGGAACCTGTGGGAAATCTGCCCTCTAGAGTCCTGGGAAAAGGCATTCATGGAGAGGTATCTCACCGGAGACACTGCAGCACAACTGTGATGTAAGAGGGAGGGGAATGCTGGGAGAAGCTCCCACAGAGTGCTGCTGACCCACCAGGCAATGGAGAAGCTGCAAGGGCTGCCCATGCCTACCAAGTCCACATGCTGGCCCAGGAAGCAACACCCTTCCTCTTGCCCTGTCTCTCGAGCTCCCTCTTCTGACAAAGCCTCAGTACCAGCTGGCTAAGGAAAAAATGTAAAGAGTCCAGATATATTTTCATAGAGCAGTCAAAAAGGGTGAATTTGGAGCTGAGAGACAATAAATCAATAAATGGTCATTATTTGAGTTAAGAAATACAGGAATAGCAGGCTTGATAGATACTGCGTTTGAAGGTGCTCTGAAAACCACCTGGTCCAGTAAACAGTCGAAAATCTGGATGTGAAGCTCAGAATAGATGGGGCTGGTGATATGAAGTGTAATTAATTAGATGTGGATGATAGTGTAAGCTATAGGAATAGTTTGACTAGAGAGAGTTGGAGGATAATGGACCGAAGACAGTCCTGGGGAATAATGGCATTTAGGGGAGTGATCCTAAGCAGAAGTGGGACAAGTTAGAGTAGAATAATTTTTCAGACGCCAAGTGAGTACAGAGTTTTGAAAAGAAAAAACTGATTGTCAGGGAATGGATTTGACAGTGGGGCTCAGGGGTAGTCATTGGTAACTAATGGACCTTACTGGAGGACTGGTGGACTGAGGGGAGATTGCCACATTTGAGTTTCTTTTTAAAGGGATGCAGAAGTGTTGGAGAATGGTTTGTGGAAAAAATGTAACATGCTACTCTCTTTTTTTTTTTTTTTTTTGAGTTGGAGTCTCACTGAGGCTGGAGTGCAGTGGCGCAATCTCGGCTCACTGCAACCTCTGCCTCCCAGGTTCAAGCGATTCTCCTGCCTCCACGCCCAGCTAATTTTTTGTATTTTTAGTAGAGACAGGGTTTCACCGTGTTGGCCAAACTGGTCGCAAACTCCTGCCTGCCTCGGCCTCCCAAAGCGCTGAGATTACAAGTGTTAGCCACCGTGCTCAGCTGCTACTACTCTTTCAAAAGGTATTTGCATAGGCAAAAATAATGTGAATTATCAAGAAGGAACAGCTTGGAGAGAGAGTTAGGAGAACTGGTTGGAATTGGTTACAGGATTAGATGAAGAGAGTGGGGGAAAGAGTTCACAATGGCTAGCTTAGTTGTTATCAGTGAATTATGACATCTTAACAGGGAGAGAGAACAGAGGAGGGAGCTGTGGTAAGGATTATTGACATTCAAGAGAGGGCTCTTAAACAACTGTGAAAGGTGGATTTTTTAAATACCAGATTCATGACTGGAACAGTACTTCTTAGCTACTTTAAGAATTGTTTTCCTTTTCCACTTACCTGGAATGAGAGTAGTAAAGGTAAGTATTATGGTGGTGGCAGACATCTCAAAGAACAGCAGTTGCAAAGAAATGATGGATGAGATTTGAGGATTGAGAAAACGTCAAGAATGAGGAATAGGGAGATGAAAACCTGTGTTAACAGTGACAATGAGGCCGGGCACAGTGGCTCATGACTGTGATCCCAGCACTTCAGGAGGCCGAGGTGGACAGATGACTTGAGGTCAGGAGTTGGAGACCGCTTGGGCAACATGGTGAAGCCTTGTCTCTACAAAAAAATGCAAAAATTAGCTGGGGGTGGTGGTACATACCTCTGGGCCCAGCTACTCAGGAAGCTGAGGTGAGAGGATTGCTTGGGCCGGGGAGGCACAGGCTGCAGTGAGCCAAGATTGTGCCACTACGCTCCAGCCTGGGCAGCAGAGCCAGACACTGTCTCAAAAAAAAGTGACAATGGGACATCGAAATGGATGTGCTTTAGCAGGCAGGTAAAAATGTGGGACTGAGCTCAGTTGTGAAGTCTAAGCAACATGTTTATATTTGGGCATCACTTGAATGGGAGTGACTGCTGATACCCTGATAGTGAATGAAGTCTAAGGAAAGCAAGTTTACAGAGAGAGTCAAAAGACTGAGACCCTGAGTCTACTTTGTCAGCCGCAGAGTATCCCAGCATTGAAGAAGCACCCGAGGTGAGCTCAGCATGGGTAGAGGAAGAGAAACCAGAATGGACAGATGGTGAGGAGGGGTGGTAGAGAGCATTGTCCACTTTTAAAAGATTTGTTGAAATAGAGCAGTAGCTTTTGGGCCGGAGCTGGCTATATCCAGCAAAGATTTTGCAGGAAAAAAGTTTCCAGGAGAGAAGATCATTTTTTATTGCAGAGCAGTCAGAATGAGGAGAGGAGCAGACAGAGCAAAGCCTAAGAGAGGGGAAGATGTTACCCTGTCTGGTGTCCAGTTTCCTCATCTGCTAAAAGGGCGATAACAGTAGAGTTACAAACATTAAATTAGTACACATAAAGCATTCATAGGCCAGGTGCGGTGGCTCACGTCTGTAAATCCAGCACTTTGGGAGGCCAAGGCAGGCAGATCACCTGAGGTCAGGAGTTTGAGACCAGCCTGGCCAACATGGGGAAACCCTGTCTCTACTGAAAATAAAAAAATTAGCTGGGTGTGGTGGTGGGTGCCTGTAATCCCAGCTGCTCAGGAGGCTGAGGCAGGAGGATTGCTTGAACCCGGGAGGCAGAGGTTCCAGTGAGCCAAGATCACACCACTGCACTCTAGCCTGGGCTACAGAGTGAGACCCCTTCTCAAAAAAAAAAAGAAAAGAAAAAGCACTTATAATGGCGACTGACATAAACCAGGCATTTATTAAATGGTGGTTTATCACAGTGGGTGTTGATTGTTTTTATTACTTGTTAATGGAAACTTACCTGTATTATAAAACTCAGCAGATTAGAGATGGCTAAAGGTGCCTTAAGTTATGTAACCTAAGAGTCCTTTTAAAACGAGGCCGGGCCTGGTGGCTCATACCTGTAATCCTAGCACATTGGGAGGCCGAAGCGGCCGGATCACTTGAGGTCAGGAGTTCAAGACCAGCCGGGCCAACATGGAGAAACCTACATCTCTACTAATAATACAAAAAATAGTCAGGTGTAGTGGTACACTCCTGTAATCCCAGCTACTCGAGAGGCTGAGGCATGAGAATTGCTTGAATCTAGGAGGTGGAGGTTGCAGTGAGCCGAGATCCCACCACTGCACTCCAGCCTGGGCCACAAAGCGAGACTGTCTAAAATAAAAAAGAAAAAAAAAGTGAGGTTATCAGCCAGCCACCTTCTGTTTACTAGTCTATTTCAAGTTAATTATTTCAGTAAAATAACAGTATCTCCTAATTGCGACTTCATTTGTGAGGAATGCAAAATTTATGAAATGGAAGTGTATTTTTCACATACCCTTGTCTTGGCTGAAGTCATTTCAGTTTGGAAAGTGAGTGTTTTGCTTTTGTTGTAAATTTATCTGAAACCAATTGGGTTGTCTTCCTGTTTGATAACAGTCTCCTGCCTTTATTAGGAATGTTACAAGACAAACGAATGGAGATAGATAAACATAGCCTAAATATTGGTGATTACAATCGAACGGTCGGGAAAGGCCCTGGTTCTCGGCCTCAGATTTCCAAAGAGTCTTCCATGGAGCGCAATCCTTATTTTGATAAGGTAAGGTTTTTTACTTTTACCTCTGACTTGATAAACCAGTATACTTCATAGCGTAATTTTCACACTAATATTTTAAAACCTTTTATATAATATAAAGTGTTACAATCCACTACCAAATCTTATTACTGGATTTTGAAGTTCACTGTCTTTTTATGTCTCAATTTATCATAGAGGTTGCATTTATATTTTTCTTCTTAATCCCATGAAATATGTTTGGCTCTTTTTGTGTGCTCTAGAATTAACACTAATCCGATCTCTTCTGTTTTCTACCTGTTTCCTGTTGATGCTGGAATGTCATGTGACTTCTCTTCTGTTCCTGCAATGATTTCTCCCTTCCACTTGTTTGCTTGGCTGGTGTTGCACATCTTTCTGTCTGTCCAATCAGGATGGCATTGTAGCAGATGAATCCCAAAACATGCAGTTTATGTCCAGTCAAAGCATGAAGCTTCCCCCTTCAAATAGTGCACTACCTAACCAGGCCCTTGGCTCCATAGCAGGGCTGGGTATGCAAAACTTGAATTCTGTTAGACAGGTAAGTCCAGATGTGTATTTTAGGCTCTCAGTTGAATGATTTGTATTAGTAATAAGATCTCTCTTACATGTAGTTACTGTGTTTAAATCATAGTACAGTGTGGTAATGAGATGTTTGTCCCTAAAGAATCCCACTGTTACTTGTTGCTGTTTGTTTTTATAGAATGGCAATCCCAGTATGTTTGGTGTTGGAAACACAGCAGCACAACCCCGGGGCATGCAGCAGCCTCCAGCACAACCTCTTAGTTCATCTCAGCCTAATCTCCGTGCTCAAGTGCCTCCTCCATTACTCTCCCCTCAGGTAAATAAGCTTTCCTTACATTCTCCTGTTTACCTGCAAAAAGGATCTTGCATGATTTTGTATTTGAATAAAATGGCTAACTAAGCATTATCATATTTATTGGCATCTTTGAGATTCAGCTAGTTTTGAATTAACTATTAAAAAAGGTTGTAGTAAGGAAAAGTCAAGGATAATTTAAATCCAAAATTTACCATTTTCTTCTTTAAAACATTCTTGAGAGTAGGACAAAAGCAAAGTAAAATTGACTAGTTTAAGATGCACCTCTGTCATCTTTTACTTAACCCACGAAAAAGTGTAAGTGAGTGGTCAGTTAGTAAGACAGAGACAAAGACTATAACCCCCAATGAATAGTCCACAAATTTAACTGCTCTATTGACAACTGAAAACACACAGTACGTGTAGTTAGTGTGAGTTATTTTATCAAGATCATTAACTTACCATTGTGATCCTAAGGTTCCAGTTTCATTGCTGAAGTATGCACCAAACAACGGTGGCCTGAATCCACTCTTTGGCCCTCAACAGGTAGCCATGCTGAACCAGCTATCCCAGCTAAACCAGCTTTCTCAGATCTCCCAGTTACAGGTAAGCAGAGTCATAGTCTTTCTTAGTACACATTTATGGAGCATCTACTGTATGCCAAACACTAGACTCTGTGCGGGACATAGTGCACTAAACAAAACAGGCGTAGTCATAGTCCTCATGGAGCTTACAGTCTATCGGGGGAGACAGATCGTGAACATTTGTGAAGAATGTCTTGAAGAAGTGCAGAATGCTGTGAGAGGAAACCTCAGCCAAGTCCAGGGTGCTAGTGTTAGTAGGATGATTAGGAAAAGTTTCTCTGTTGAAGTGAAAGTTTAGATTGAACTAAAGACTGAATTTCAGCAGTGACTAGAAACCAGAGAGTCCAAGGAAGAGATGGTACTAGATAATGCTAGACATGTTGGCATTGGCTAGATCACGTCGTGCCTCTGTAGGTCCATCTGCTGTCGTCATTTGGAAGCACACACTTTGTAATGGTGTGATAGTAACAACCTTTTCGCTATCTTTCCTCTAGCGATTGTTAGCGCAGCAGCAAAGGGCGCAGAGTCAGAGAAGCGTGCCTTCTGGGAACCGGCCGCAGCAAGACCAGCAGGTAGAGCCCGCCCTGCAACTCGCAATGCTGTCTTTGTGTTAATAAACTCTGCTTATCTCCATTGTAGCAAGAGATTCAGAAATGTCTTTCTTAAAACAATCTTACTAAGATGTAATGCAGTATGTTTTTCATTAAGTCTGCTGGTTGCCCATGAGTTATGTGAACATTATACAGTGATTATTCACCTTTCTGCTGAGACGAAAGTGAATTCAAAAATGGAGAGGAATATGTAGTTTTCTGTAAAGACGTTTTCCCCCAGTAATTTTTTCCAATCATTTCATTGTTTTAAGGGTCGACCTCTTAGTGTGCAGCAGCAAATGATGCAACAATCTCGTCAACTTGATCCAAACCTGTTGGTGAAGCAGCAGACTCCACCATCTCAGCAGCAGCCACTCCATCAGCCAGCCATGAAGTCTTTCCTTGACAATGTCATGCCCCACACTACACCTGAGCTGCAAAAAGGGCCATCACCAATAAATGCTTTCAGCAACTTCCCTATAGGTGGGTTTCTCCTTGGCCCAAGTATTGGACTGATGCTTAGGTATCACAGGCGTGCCTCCTTCACACGTACCCTTACAGCTCTGTTCCTTCATGAAAGCTACATTGATCTCTTAGCTGTTCCCTCTCAGAGAGTTGCCATCCCCTCTCCTAGTTTTAACCTGCTCCACATTCAGGGAAGGTCTCTCTCCTCAAGAAAATCACGATTTTTCTTTTCTTTCCTTTTCTTTTTTTTTTTTTTTAGGACAGAGTCTTGCTCTGTCACCCAGGGTGGAGTGCAGTGGTGAGATCTTGGCTCACTGCAACCTCTGCCTCCCGGGTTCAAGCGATTCTCGCACCTCAGCTTCCCGAGTAGCTGGGATTACAGGCGCGCACCACCACGCCCAGCTAATCTTTGTATTTTAATAGATTTGGGGTTTCACCATGTTGGCCGGGTGGGTCTGGAACTCCTGACCTCAGGTGATCTGCCTGCCTTGGCCTCCCAAAGTGTTGGGATTACAGGCATGAGCCACCATGCCCAGCCTTCAAAATCACACTATTTCAAAAACTCCACACTCGTTTAAAGTGCATTAGAATAAAGGAAACATTTCACTTTTTAAAGGACTAGCTGTCTTAATCTTAAGTAGGATATTAAGGGTGGGAAGGAAGGCTGATGTTCTTATTAGAAACAGTACACCAGAGAATTTTTGAGCAGTGCTGTTTTGGTGAAACAGCTGGGGATGGTCACAGTCACATTTGCTAGCTCTCAGAACTTGAAGTTTTAACTACTGTCTAACTATGTATAAATGATTACTGATATAAATTTAAAAATGGAGGTAAGAAAGGAGATTGCCTTTCTTATACATGCAACTCCCCACCCCCACCCACTCTTTTTTCTCTGTTATCTCCAGGCTTTTATTCACTGGGTAGAGATTTTGAGCTTATATGTTGTTTCTTTCCTAGGTCTCTTTTTTTCTTGTGCCCTTGATTATATTTTAACCATTGATTGTTCATGCCCTGTTTATTTTGCTTTTTTTCTCTCTCTTTTCCTATACAGTGGTTTCTTGTAAACCAGCTTTGCTGGTTGTTAGCCAGAGTGTTTGAAGACCATCAGTTAACTAGTTGTTCTGGGCTGTGGGCAGAGGCTGGGGCATGCTGTTGCCCCTGCTGCTGCCTCACTCTGTGACTGAACTGGTTTGGCTCAGCCTGGTATTACCACAGACTCTCACCTGGGACATAAATTGTACTTTGAGTCCTTAGGATTGTTAGTGATCTCTGCATTTCCAAAAACAGTTCCCTTGTCAGTTACTACTGTGGGTGAATACTGAAGAAGCCATTTAGTGGTGGCCAGGTGATGTCAGAGACAACAGTTAGTAGTAAAAGAATGATACCCAAGTACAGGGAGAAGTTTTTGTCTCATCAGTGAAGGGAGCTGGCTCTTCCTATTTGACTGCACACTTGACATATAAATTGGCCACATAAGTTCTAAGCATAGGATTTCCTGCCCTGGCCAGCTTCTCAGTGAGGGATACTTCTTGATTAAGAAAGTCTGCTTAGCCCATGCAAATACCAATACAGTTATCTAAGTTCGGCAACAGGCTATGGCCTGTTGGCCAAATTTGGCCCACTGCCTGCTGTTGTAAGGTTTTGTTGGACACAGCCACATTTTCTCTAACCTGGGGTCTGTGGCTGCTTTCGTGCTGCACCAGCAGAGTTGCATGGAGACACCGGGACCATGTGGCCCACAGAGCCTGAGATACCGGCTGAACCTCTGCAGAAAAAAATTGTCAACTCCTGATCCGATTGATGGGTCCAAGAGTAGCAAATTTAATTGCTCTCTGCAAAAATACGCATGGTATTAGAGAATTTGTATTATTAAAGTTTTCAGGTTTGACAGACCTTAACATCACATGGACTCATCAGACCAGAGAATTTAAAACAATTTAATTTGGAACTTTAGAATAAGAACCTCTTGGGAATTGTGAAACAAAGATTCTGGCTCCCACTGGAAAGTCTTCATTTTTAAACAAGCGTTTTAGGTGATTCTAATATTAATAGTCCCTAGATTACTCTTTTAAGAAAAACTAGCTTAATAGTTTTCTGACCACTGTATCTAAGGTTGAAATTTCCATTCTTGTTCCAAGAGAATATCCAAGTCTGAGGGGCCTCATCAGCAAAGGTCAAGTAAATTGTGCCTTAAGATATATCTGTCCCCAGCCTAGGTGTAATTGCTAGTACAGGACATTTTTACTTTAGAATTTGCAAGCAAAAGATAGCAACTGAAAGTGACCACAGATCTTCATGCATAGGTACACTTGGGAAATAGCTAAACAGATACATTTTATTCCAAGTAAACTTATACATCTGGCTTCCTTAAAACTTTTCTCCCTCTTATTTTGCCAAGGAGTTTTAAATAAATCATCAAAATTTTATGGAGAAATATTTTCTACGTATAACTAAATTATAGTATTAACAGTTATGTGGTTTGAAAACATTAGTTACATGTTTTTCTAGGAAATAGAAGTTGTGCTACTAGAAAGAAAATGTGCTGTATTTTCTAAGGTTTTGTTTTGTTTTTTAATTTTTCAGGCTTGAACTCAAACTTGAATGTAAATATGGATATGAACAGTATTAAAGAGCCACAGTCAAGACTAAGGAAGTGGACGACAGTGGACAGCATTTCTGTGAACACATCTTTGGATCAAAACTCCAGCAAACATGGTACAAAAGATACATCTTACCAAAAAAAAAAAAAAAACACACACACCTGCAGAATACTAGATTTAGGCCTTTATTTTATTTTAAATGTGTTTTCAAAGCCAAATTATCTTAGAACTTTTCCTCATTTAAAAAAAGTTGTTATTAAGTCTTAGTTACAATAAGAGACTTTCAGATGAAAAGCAGAATTTACCTCTACTCTGTTTTATAAAGGAGAGATCAGATGATACATGTTTAAAAATTATTTTCTCTTTGGCTTTTTACATTTTTCTAAGTGATTTTATTCTTATATTATTACACTTATTAACATTTACTGGATTTAATTTGATATGTTCTTAGGACATTTAAAACTTCTACCAGGGTCCCATTCCGTCACCCAGGCTGGAATGCATTGGCATGATCTCAGCTCACTGAAAACTCTGCTCCCGGGTTCAAGCAGTTCTCCTACCTCAGCCTCCTGAGTAGCTGGGATTACAGGCCTGAGCCACCATGCCCGGCTAATTTTTGTATTTTTAGTAGAGACAGGGTTTCATCATGCTGGCCAGGCTGGTCTCAAACTCCTGACCTCAGGTGATCCATCTGCCTTGGTCTCCCAAAGTGCTGCGATTACAGGTGTGAACTACTGCACCTGGCCCATAATTTTATTTCTATCAATTCCTTATATATGGACACATTTCTTTATATAGCTTATTGCTATGTGTAAGTCATATGGATTTAACAGTATTGTCTTTTCAGCAATTAAATTTTTTTTAGAAATGCCGTTTTCATCTTATTTAGTATTATCCATTCACCCAGCAAATATTAATCGAGTATCTTCTGCTTTCCAAGGCTATGTTAGCACCTGGAATACATAGACACAATGTACATACATGCTTACAGTTGAATGTATGTATGTATGTATATACGTAAAATTACTTGCCCTGGAATTGTTCATTGTGAACGAAAGTATGTCAGCAGCTTTAGTACAATATAATAGGTAATATCAAAGTTAATATTTATAATAGTTTAATAATACCAAGTTCCTTAGGAGCATTGAGTCAGGAATAACTGCAGGTGTGGTGGGTCTAGAAAGGTGAAAAAGACTTACCTTGAGAAGAGTAAGTTTACCACACAAACAGGAAGAGCAACCAAGAAAGAATAGTGCATGCAGGGTTCAAAGAGGACTGCCTGGTGAATTCTGTATCTCGGCATATCTGGGGGTGAAGGTGCAAATGACAGAAAAGAGGTAGATGAAGATGGAATAGTAGGTGTGGTGCAAATCATGGAAAACTTGTGCCAAGAATGATTTTAAACATGAAAATGATGGGTGCCTAGAGGCAGTTAAGACTTAAAGTAGTCTAGGTAAGAGAGAGAAAGGTCAGTGGACATGAGAGGGAGTACACTGCAAGAGAGTTTCAAAAATTAAAAGCAGAAAAGCTTGGTAACTCACTTAACTCATTCTTTCATTCAGCAGTGTAAGCCTGAAACACTTGCATAACTGATCAGCTAGTCAGTCTCCAGCCCTCTCCAGACAGACCCCTCAGAGGTCAGACAAATACAGGACGGACCCGAGTCGCAGGCAGAAAAGAATAGGTGTTCGCCGTAAATCATATCATTAGAGTGGCCTAGGTGTAAGGCATGCAGAGGCACTCTTAGCTGGCAGAGTAGTCCATGGGCTTGGAGGAGCACAGGAGCTGAACAGGCGACGGTCCTGGCACACTTTGGAATGTGCAATCCAGTCTGCCATGCTAACCCTTAGCTGCACACTGCACACCTACAGTAAGAAAAGTCTGATTTGTTAAGGGGAGTGGAGGCAAGGACATTTGACTAGGAAGTTCTGCATTACAGAAGGGTTAAACTGGATGTCTCAGATACTCTATGGGCCTAAGATTCTGTGACTTCCAGGCAGTTTATAAAATCCCTTCATCTCAGCACCCAGACGGATTTGGTGACATGTATAGAAGGAGATTTTTTATTTTAGCCTTGGTTGGAGGCAGTTGGGCAAGGCTTCTAGGAGGCCTGTGATCTCTGAAGCTGAGATATGAAAGATAAACAGAAGTCAGGCAGGCAGAGGTGAAGGGAGGGGAAACGATGAGAGATGGAGCGGGGCTAGAATTTTAAGAGCCTTATAAACTTGAAGAATTTGAACATTGCCTTTTGTATGTTGGAGAGTACTAAGCCAGGAGATGACATGATCAGATTTGCACTTTCGAATGATGCCTCTGGGTGCAGTGTGGAGAATTGGAGTAGATCTAGTATAGTCATTATCCAGGAGCTGTGGAGGAAGTGGAATTGACAGGGCTTGGTGATTCTAGCTTAAGCAGCCTCAAATGTATGATTGCTAGTAAAATGATATTTTTGTGACATTCTTTTTTTTCTATTGAATTTTACTTTGAAAGTTTATTAACTAAACTTTAGGGTCAGATTTCTAGATTGTACACATTGGACTAATGATTTTCAGAAATTAAAATTGTCGTGTAATAGAAGGAACCGCTAGACCATAAACCAAACAGACCTTTGATTCTAAGTTCGTTTGCCGTTCAGGGGAATGTCACTTTGGGATTTTTTTTTTTTTTTTTTTTTTTTTTTTTTTTTTTTTTTTTTTTTTTGAGACAGAGTCTCACTCGGTCACCCAGGCTGGAGTGCAGTGATGCAAATCTCTGCTCACTGCAACCCTCGTCTCTGGGATTCAAGTGGTTCTCGTGCCTCAGCCTCCTGAGTATAGCTGGGATTACAGGTGTGTGTCACCACACCCGGCTAATTTTTGTAATTTTAGTAGAGACAGGGTTTCACCATGTTGGCCAGGCTGGTCTCGTTCTCCTGAACTCAGGTGATCTGCCTGCCTCAGCCTGCCAAAGTGCTGAGATTATAGGCGTTAGCCACCAGGCCCAGCCCGGAATTTTTCTGACCTGAAGAGAGAGAACAGGGAGTTGAGACAATGGGGAAATGGCAAAATAAATATGAATCCTAGGTTCGAGACCTAGCTCTGCTACTAATTGACTCTGTTATTCCAGTCATGCACCACTTAATGGCAATGTTTCAGTAAACAATGGGCCATATATCCAGTAGTGGGTCCATTGAGCTTATAATACCATGTTTTATTGTACCTTTCCTGTTTAGCTATGTTTAGATACACCCTTCTGTTACAGTTGCCTACATTACTCAGTACAGTAACACACTGTAGGTTTGTAGCCTAGGAGCAGTAGGCTAGGCCATAGGGCTCTGCTGTGTAGTGGGCTCTACCATCTAGGTTTGTGTAAGGGCACTCTGATGTTCACACAAAAATGAAATTGCCTAGTTTCTCCAAGTGTAGCCCTGTTAAGTGACACGTGAGTGCAATTAGCTACTTGGCAAGTAACTTAACCTTTCTGAACTTGAGGTCCCTCATCTGCCAAATGGAATTAATAGTACCTCTTGGGCTTTTTTTTTTTTTTTTTTTTTTTTTGAGACCCCAGTTGCCGAGGCTGGAGTGCAGTGGCACAATCTCAGGTCACTGCAGCCTTGACCTCCCAGACTCAGATGACCCCCCCACCTCAGCCTCCCGAGCAGCTGGGATTACAGGCGAGCACTGCCACGCCTGGCTAGTTTTTTGTATTTTTATTAGAGATGGAGTTTTGCCATGTTGCCCAGGCTGGTCTCAAATTCCTGAGCTCAAGTGATCCACCTGCTTCGGCCTCCCAAAGTGCTGGGATTATAGGCGTGAGCCACCATGCCTTGCCTTGTTTTATTTTAGATTCAGGGGGTACAAGTTCATGTTTTTATACAGGTATATTGCATACTGCTAGAGATATATTGCATACTGGTGGAGATTGGGCTTCCAGTAAGCCCATTGCCCAAATAGTGAACATTTTACCCGATAAGTAGTTTTTCAACCCTTGCCACCCTCCCCACTTGTGGAGTCCCAAGAGCCTATTAATAATTTCCATCTTTGGGTATACATTGGTTAGCTCCTACTTAAAAGTGAGAACATACAATATTTGATTTTCTCTTTAGTTCACATAGGGTAATGGCTCCCAGCTCCATCCATGTTGCTGCAAAAGACATGATCGCATTCTTTTTTATGGTGGCCCTCTTGGGATGTTTTGAGGATGAATGAGACGATGCATCTCAGGCACTTAGGTGCTGGAACAGGGTTAGACACATCAGTCAGTGGTCAGCAGATCATAGCCATCATTGCCATTACTGCCTTCATCACTATCTCATCAGATACCCTACCTCCAAGACAAATATTCTCCACTGTACATTTAGCTCTGTTTGCTTAAACTGAACCTGTCACGTAGGTTTTACATTTCATTTTGCTGATGTTCCCCTTGTGTTGATTAATGAAATAAAATTGCACCCTTGCTGCCTCGTTATATCATCTGTTTCTCTTAGATGAAATGAAGTTTTCATAAGTGGAAATTGTTCTTACTAGAAAAAAATATATAATTACGTTTATCATCTCAGGTGTAAGAATTAATCACTTGAAATGTGGCAGTTATGCTTTCCTCATGTATCCTGTACAGCCATTACTTCATTTATGTCCCATTTCACTCCCAAGTGACTTTAATTCTGCTTATAGAACAGATGCATAGTTCACACAGATCAGAGTGACAAGATTGAGGATGCCAGAGCCAGAGGGGAAATGGAAGCAGTGGAGACACACTGAGTCAGGGATAGGTCAGTGCCCACCAGCGAGAGGTGTGAGGCCCTGTCAGGGACCAGCTTCATCATCCCTGAGTTACCCATGTGGATGCTGGCACACTGTGACTTGAAGCCAGAGGAAAGAGTGGGGCTGGAGTGGCATGCAGGGCCCGGCTGTGTGTTATAGATGTTCATAGTGGGAGCCGGCTGGAGTTGCGAGCGAGGTTCTATTTGCATCCACCTCAAATTCAACATGAATGGAGGAGACTTGGTTTTCCCTTCCAAATTTACTCCTTCTGGTGTCATTTTTTTCTTTTCTTTTTTTTTTCTTTTTTTTTTTTTTTTTGGAGACGGAGTCTTGCCCTCTTCCCAGGCTAGAGTGCAGTGGCATGATCTCAGCTCACTGCAACCTCTGCCTCCCGGGTTCAAGCGATTCTCCTGCTTCAGCCTCCCAAGTAGCTGTAGCTGGGACTACAGGTGCGTGCCACCATGCCCAGCTAATTTTTGTATTTTTAGTAGAGACAGGGTTTCACCATGTTGGCCAGGTTGGTCTCGATCTCTTGACCTCGTGATCTGCCTGCCTCAGCCTCCCAAAGTGCTGGGATTACAGGCATGAGCCACCACGCCTGGCCCCATCCTTTCTTTTTTAACAGTTTATTGAGATATAATTTACTTATAATTCGGTGTCTTTTAGTATATTCATGATGTTGTGTAGCCATCACCACAATCCATTTTTAAACATTTCTATTGCCTGAAAAGAACCCCTGAGCTATCATAGCCCTCCACCATACAAGTGTTTTAATGATTTGGAAATAAGTTTGTACTCATATTCTGGTCACTTAATGATGTTTATGCATCTCATAAACTTAAAATGAAATTCACAGTTATCATTTTCAGACATTCTTCAAATGCGATGTTAGAATCTCAATATAAAAGAGTTACTCTAGAGAACACAGCCTAGAGCCCACAGATCTAATAGAAAGTGTTCATGCTACATTTGAAAAGCTATAAGAAATAAATCTGTGTGTATTTTGCTCACATTTCTCTATTATTCTTCCCTTGTTAGGTGCTATTTCAAGTGGTTTCAGGCTGGAAGAGTCTCCATTTGTTCCCTATGACTTTATGAACAGCAGTACTTCACCAGCCAGTCCTCCAGGTTCAATAGGAGATGGCTGGCCACGTGCCAAATCGCCTAACGGCTCTAGCAGTGTTAATTGGCCACCAGGTAAAATTTTTTCTAACACTTTCTTTCATGAGACTGTGTTTCCATTAAGGTTTTGTTACATCTGGACTTACTACTGATGTAGCCCAGATCGGCGTGCTTAGACTGACGTGTGCGGATGAGAAGGAATGCAGAAGTGATTGAGGAAAAGTTAAGCATGAAGTCTTGGGCAAGTGAGTGTGTCAGCCTGTTACCTATGCCTTTATGCTCAAGCAGCAGAGGTAGAAGTGAGCCCCATTGACCAGCATGAAGAATTATATTAAAAACTTTAGGCTGGGCGCAGTGGCACATGCCAGTAATCCCAGCACTTTGGGAGGCCGAGGCGGGCGGATCACGAGGTCAGGAGATCGAGACCATGCTGGCTAACACGGTGAAACCCCGTCTCTACTAAAACTACAAAAAATTAGCCAGGCGTGGTGGCGGGCGCCTGTAGTCCCAGCTACAGGAGGCTGAGGCAGGAGAATGGCGTGAACCCGGGAGGCAGAGCTTGCAGTGAGCCGAAATTGCGCCACTGCACTCCAGCCTGGGCGACAGAGCAAGACAACAACAACAAAAACTTTAATTCGCTGTTTCTCGTAAGTTGTGTCAGGGAGTAACTTGCAGTATTTTCATTCATACATAGGAGTTACCAGAAGTGCTTCTATGGCCTGCTTTCTCCTACCTGAGTTGCAGTAGCTTTGTGATTTGTCTTAAAGCTTAAAGCACTTTTAAATGTTACTGTTTAAAAATAAACATGAATCTGGCGGGTACGGTGGCTCATGCCTGTAATCCTAGCACTTTGGGAGGCTGAGGTGGGCAGGTAACGAGGTCCCAGGAGATGGAGACCGTCCTAGCTAACACGGTGAAACCCCATCTCTACTAAAAATGCAAAAAGAAATTAGCCGGGTATGGCGGTGTGTGCCCGTAGTCCCAGCTACTCGGGAGGCTGAGGCAGGAGAGTGGCGTGAACACAGGAGGCGGAGCTCGCAGTGAGCCAAGATCATGCCACTGCACTCCAGCCTGGGCAACAGAGCGAGACTCTGTCTCAAAAAAAAAAAAAAAAAAATACATGAATCACAGCCAGGCACAGTGGCTTATGCCTGTAATCCCAGCACTTTGGGAGGCTGAGGTGGGAGATCACTTGAGTCCAGGAGTTCAAAGCTGCAGTGAGCTGTGATTGCACCACTACACTCCAACCTGGGTGATAGAGAAAGACCCTGTCTCAAACATACATACATATATATGATTTTTTAACACACACACAAGTACGTATGTGTATATGTTACGTGTGTGTGTGGGTATGTATATTCACATTCAGTGAGATGATTTCAGTTGTAAAAACTTGCAAGTAATTTATAAAGAATAGCTTCTATAATACTAATTGTATTAACTGAACCATCCTCTTAGAGTATTAGTGTAAATTGGAAAGTATTTGAGAGTTGCATAGGATTCAGGAATAAAGGTTTTGGATATTTATTAATGGATTTTAAAATGATGATTAAGCTTTGAACTAATTTTAAATTTCCGTTTCCAGAATTTCGTCCTGGTGAGCCATGGAAAGGTTATCCAAACATTGACCCTGAAACTGACCCTTACGTCACTCCTGGCAGTGTCATAAACAATCTTTCAATTAATACTGTGCGGGAAGTTGACCACCTCAGGGACAGGAACAGTGGTACGTAGGGGGTGCAAATCAATTTCTGAGTGACACTTAACACAGTTTAAGAATGGCTCATGTAGTACCCAGCTACTCTGGGCGACTGAGCCCAGGGTACTCTGGGATCACTTGAGCCCAGGAGCTTGAGGCAAGCCTGGGCAACATAGTTGTGGGACCCTGTCTCTTTAAAAAAGAAAGAAAACGAAGAAGAAGAATGGCAGACAGAATTCTCTCTGTTCCCATAGGTGGCTCTTTAATTTGGCTACTTTTTAAATGGTGAGGATTTTATCATCCCTTAGTATGGCAAATATATATATTAATTTAATAAGTTAACATAAAGGACCAGCAAACCTTTGCTTTCCAGCAGTTGTATTAAAGGAATGAAAAAACAGCAAATGAAGGTTGTTACTAACTTTATACTGAGTTACAAGATTATGGTAGTTTAAAAAATGGGTGTTTCTTGTAAAAGACGTTATATTATTATATATGCTTATATACTCTGAATATTGAAGGACTTTCATCTGGAAGAGCGAATTAGGCTGTCTTTCAGAGAGTAAGAATAAGACCAATTTAAGGATCCCTGCAGTCCAGATGTGCTTTTTAATTGGTTAGCAAATAAAATCCGATTACCTGCCACGGGGTTACTTTTCACCTCAAGGCATTTAGATGTGTTTCATCCATGATTTTGTACCAGAAGAGTGTTAACGAAATTAATTTTTTAAATATTAAAAAGTATTTTCTGTCTTTTTAAAATACCATCTATACCTTTAAACAGTTTATAAAGCACATGTGAAGCAGCCACCATGTTGCGTTAGACGTGTAATTTACAGAGGTAACAAGCAGAGAAGAGTCCTTAGCATTGTGAAATGGCTGGGTTTCACAGACAGCTCTGCCCGCTATGGGAACACTAAGCCAAGCATAAATTCTCATGGCGTGGGAGTTAGTGGAAGAATCCGATGGCTCTGAAAGTCAGTAGAGTTTGAATTTGGTGTTAAAGGAAATAGAACATTGAAGGCTTTGAGTGGAAGAATCTTTAAGATGGGGTAATCTGGCTGTGGTGAGCAGAGTGGATTGGGTTGGGAGACAAGCCAGGGAACTGGTGTAGTAATCCAGATGGTGGTCGGGTCTAGAGCTCAACTAGAGTAGTGGTCGATGGGGTTTTGAAAATGGAAAGCTACACCAGGTTTGGGAGCCTGAATATATCGCGTAATGGAGAAGGCTGAAGGGCCTGTTCACTAGTAGTGTCTGTGACCAGGTGCCTTAGAGAGCAGGATAGCCAGTAAGAAGTCACTGGAGCTCAGGGGCGAGTTAGCACCAAGACTCGAACCTCCTTTTTAGACCCAGTGCTGGGAAGCAGAGCCAAGTGCTGTCTTGGTGGCTGGACCCCATTGCTAGAGCGCATCCTCACAGCCAGTGAGGACAAAATCAGAGGGAAAATGCCTGTGCTGAGCCAAGGCAGAGACAATTGGCGAGCTCGCTCAGCATGCTCTTTTGAAGGCAAGAAGGAAGATGTCTCGGGCACCATCTTACCCTGAGTGGACCTGTTTCCTTTCTTGTGGCATACTGTTAGCTTTGATTTCTCTGGAAGCTTTTGCTTTTTCTGAACCTCCACGTCCCTTGCTCTGGTGGCTGATTGGACTCTTCCCCCACACAGGGTCATCCTCATCCTTGAACACCACGCTGCCTTCAACTAGTGCCTGGTCATCCATTCGTGCCTCCAACTACAACGTTCCCCTCAGCAGTACAGCACAAAGCACTTCAGGTGGGCCTCGCCTTCGCTCAGGAAGGGAGGGTTGGTCACAGCCAGAGCCGCGGCTGTTGTTTTAATGCCCTCTTCTTTCGTCCAGTCTTCTCAGGGAATTAGGAGATTCTGTTTGTGAGCCTGGGAAATTATTTTTAACATCCCTTACTCCTTTTTAAACTTACTGTACCCAGCAGTCATCTACTAAAATCAGTTTTCACTGAACAGCTCTCATCTCATCTCAGAGCCACAGCAGCTCTGTAATTAAATGTAATTTAATCCAAACTAGTTCTCAGACTATCTGCAGCGGAGGATCTTTAAAAAAAAAAAAAAATGCCAATCCTCATAGACTGATACTTTTGTAAAATACGGTAAACATGAATTCTGAATTGCTAGGAAAATGATGGCACACTTGAGAGTTACAGGAATGTCAGGTTGCTGTCTGTCTACATATGCGCACTCTGGATTTCTGGACTCGTCCTGCAGCAGATTAGTATGAAACTGTGTTGTGGTGGTCTCCTGGCCATACCCTGAGTAGCACTGACCTAATGCACACACACTTTGTAAGTGAAGTAAGAAAAAGAGTTGATAGTGATGGAAGACAGGAATTGTTCCACTCCTTGCTGTCCCCTCATGCTTTTAGCATGATAGTTGATGTGGTTTACTGTGTACCTGGTCCCTGCATACCCACTCATGTCTCCATTGCTGCGAGGCAGTGTGTGTCAGGAACTGGGCCTGCTGTCTTTTTCTTTCTTCCTTCCTTTCCTTCTTTCTCTCTCTGTCTTTCCTTCCTTTCCTTTCCTTTCTTCTTCCCTCCCTTTTTCTTTCTTTTTTTTTTGTTTTTTTGTTTTTTTGTTTTTTGTTTTGCCATACAGGCTTAGTTTTGAATCCTGGCTCTGCATTAGACCCATAAGCAAATTACTTACCCACTCTGTCTTCAGTAGACTGTGTCAGGACCACAGACAGCACATGCCAGGTGCCCAGCAGCCAATGCTCAGCACAGAGAGGCAGGCACCCCGTGAAGATCTCCTTTGGCAGCTCCTGAGTTGGGGCTCTTTTGCAGTCCTTTTTTCCCTGAGTAAACAACAAAGTTCTAAAATTCACTTAAATGGCCTTTCTTGAGTGACTCAATTACGGTTATTAAGAATTTCACAATTGCTATTTTAGAGCAATTCAGATTGTTTTCCATTTCAGTTTGAGTACAGTTTTGGACACTGGCCTAAGAATTTCATAGGTCTTACAGCTGTTAGTAACAGATCAATGGCTTGAGTGTTTGGAGGGATGGAAAGCAGTTTCCTTTGGACTGATTTTCTTTTTTGGCAGTTTAGTTGATTTGGGGTTTTAAAGTTTCTTTTGTTTGTTAGATTTGCTTTTTGTGGGAGAATGGATGTCATTATTTAAATTTCCTCCTTTCTTAAACATTATTCCTCCCCTCTCCATTTTTTCCCCCTTTGAGTAGCCAGAAATAGTGATTCCAAATTGACATGGTCTCCTGGTTCAGTTACAAACACCTCTCTGGCTCATGAGCTGTGGAAGGTCCCTTTGCCACCTAAAAACATCACTGCTCCGTCCCGCCCACCTCCGGGACTGACTGGTCAGAAGCCACCCTTGTCTACGTGGGATAATTCTCCCCTTCGTATAGGTGGAGGATGGGGAAATTCTGACGCCAGATATACCCCAGGTAAGATGCAGTCGTAAGGTGGGTTTCTGTGGTTTATTTGCTAAACGCTAACCAGTACTAACAGTCGAGTTTAACAGAGACCTGAACGGTAAACTATTGCCTCACCTCCATCAGGGGGAATGAGAACTTCGGTAAACAAATGATCCACCCAAAGGCACACAACAGGCTGCAATAACATTAATGCATTAGGAAGCTCCATTGTCTCAGAAGTTCCTCAAGACTACATCTTAAAATGTGTAGGAACTTCCTGCTCATGGCAGGCTTAAACCACATCACATGGAGCAGAAGGCAGTATTGGGCAAGTCTGGGGAACATGGGAGCAGGCCATCTGGGCCTTGAAGACTAGGGGGGTAGCTTGGCCTGTATTAAATGGGGACATTTGAGAGTGAAAGAGAGTGCTGTTGATTAATCATACATGGCCAACAGGCATAAGCCAGAAGGCCCCGGCAGTCTGGTTCCTCTGCCTTTCCTCATTCTATAATGACTAACATTGGATTTGTACTGGCATCATTTCCTGCCTGTGCTGTCTCCACACCATACATATACACACACAGCCCCAGATGAGCCTAGCAGTTTCCCCAGTAAATACAGTCTTATCCTTCACTCTACCTTGCCTGCAAACTACCAAACATTCCCATCTTCAAGCTGAAAATGAGTAATAAAACCTCATTAATATTTTCTGATTAAATATGTAATTTCTGATCTTTAGACAGGTGATTGGCTGTAGGAAAACTTGCAGCTTTTCCTTTGAGTGCGGGTTAATTATAGGAAAAGAACACTAAAGTACGTGCCAAGCTGCTGAATGCAAGTTAACATAATTGGTGTGGTGTGAGTGGTTTTTGGTTTGGTGTGAGTGGTTTTTGGAGGCCGCAGACATCTGTCTGGATGCCAGCTAAGAGACTGGCAGCACACAGCGAGGGGCGCTAGTGAAAGTGGCCCAGGAACCCACCCCAGGGAGGCTTGGTGCAGTTGAGTGGAATTAGGAAACCTGTAGGAGTAAGCCAAGCGAACCGAGGGGCAGCCTCTGCCAAGGCCCAGACACCGGAGAAAGCACAAAGGCTCCCGTTGGAGTGATGAGAGGATTGCAGGGAGTGGAGGAGGATTCCGTGAGAGGTGGATAGGCCTGAGCTGTGTCATGGAATGGTCTTTCCCAGCACCTGAAGTGTTTGTGAGGTGCCTTGAGTTGCAGATGGGGTCAGGGATGAGGGCTGTACTCCCAGGGGAAGGGTGGATGCCACAGGGGTCCAGCAGGAAGGCCAGATGGGGAGCCCCTGCAGTAACCCCGGGGAAAACAAGGAGCATCTGTGCGATCGCAAGCTCTGGAATCCCCTTAAAGCTTCATGCCCTGAAGGACACACACGCAGAGTGATCAGACACTACTGAAGTCTTCCCCAGATGGTACCGTTTGAGATTATTTTAGCTCCTATCAATGAGAAGATCTCAAAAAGATGCAGCCTTTTGTGGCTCACTGCCCTCCTCTGTGGTGAACTGGGAGCCATTCTGAGCTCACTGTCGCCAGAGGCAGAGCCCCCTGCCATAGGAGTTAATGCCTGGCCATGGCTAGGGCGAGCTGAAATTCTGGGCCTAGGGAGAAAGCCTCCCATGTAGAAGTGCAAGGAAGTGAAGGAAGTCAAGAGGCCAGGTGATCTGCTAAGTAACTGTAGTTGGGCTCTTTCAGTCCTGGAAAACTGACTTGTCCTTTTTTTCCTTGTTTAGGTTCCAGCTGGGGTGAGAGCAGCTCAGGGAGAATAACAAATTGGCTTGTTCTAAAAAACCTTACACCTCAGGTAAGGATACCAGATACGCTGGTTTATGTGGCTACGCCAGGGAGCATGGGAACAGAGGTTCGGGTCTGTATGTGAGACAAGGGCTGCTAGGTGGTAGTGAAGCCGAGCAGAGGAAACAGCAGAGGAGTGGTCTGTAGACCTCAGGCAGGCTGTGGTCGAATCTGGTGGTTCACGCTGTAATGTGCCTGGGAACCAACCAAGCATACAGATTCCCAGGCCTCACCCAGAGATTGAGTCAGTAGATCTGGGCTAGGGGCTGGGACTCTGCATTTGTATGAGGGCCTGCAGATGAATTTGACACAGGTGGTCCTTGTTGGCACATGGAGAAATCCTGGTCTGCCCCTGAGGTGAGAGCATTTTCTTAGCCCCTGGCCTGCGCCCTCCTCTGGAGGCTGGGTGTTGAGCTCCCACCTCCCTCCTCCCTCAGGGAGCAGAACCTTGATGGATGCTGTCCTCAGGGCAGGGAAGAGAGAAGACATGGAGCCACAGTGGGGATCTGGGGAGTGTCCAGGAGTCTAGAGGCCAGAGCGGTATGGCTCTGGGAGCAGTGGAGGTGGGGAAGATGGCTCTGCACCCCGTCAGAGCAACGTCAGAGTGTCAGTGAAGAGTGGTGCCAGGAGCACAGAGCCTCAGGAAAGAGAGGAGGGGCAGCAGTGCAGCCTGAAACAGCCTCCTGGAGGGCCCGCGGTGACGCCTCTCACTGGCAGTTTCCACACTGTTTCCTAGATCGATGGCTCAACTCTGCGCACTCTGTGCATGCAGCACGGCCCGCTGATCACATTCCACCTGAACCTCCCTCACGGAAATGCTCTGGTCCGCTACAGTTCAAAAGAAGAGGTAGTGAAGGCACAAAAGTCTCTGCACATGTAAGTTGGCTGTTGGGCTCCCAGTTGGAAGAGTCTAGGGGAAGGAGTGTGAGAGCACAGCCTGACCCGGGGCAGTGCACAGGGTCCTGCGTGGGTGGCTCCTGCTGGCTGCAGTAGTGCCCTGATTCCAAGGTCGGCATTCCTAAGCGGGGAATCAGACCTGGCTAGATGGCCCTAGAAAGTCCCTTACGTTGCCCATGGCAGACAGAGGAAGTTCGCTCTGGGCAAGGCACCAGGCCCTGGAGAGCTGTGGGTGCACACTCGGGTGAAGGGAGGGCACGCAGGTTATGTGGTGTAGTCTCTCCCTCTGTGCCTTCTGTGGCTTTTCTAGCAGAGACAAGTTGCACCCTCACTTGTGAGTGAATGAAGCCCTCCTGGTGTGCTGTCCTCACGTGTCCGCGGTGCCTCTCTCCTCTAGGTGTGTACTGGGGAACACTACTATTCTTGCTGAGTTTGCCAGTGAAGAGGAGATCAGTCGTTTCTTTGCACAAAGCCAGTCTCTGACCCCTTCTCCCGGCTGGCAGTCTCTCGGGTCCAGCCAGAGCCGGCTGGGCTCCCTCGACTGTTCCCACTCATTCTCCAGCCGGACCGATCTCAATCACTGGAATGGTGCTGGGCTGTCGGGAACTAACTGTGGAGACCTTCACGGCACTTCACTCTGGGGGACCCCGCATTATTCCACAAGCCTGTGGGGTCCCCCAAGCAGCAGCGACCCCCGAGGAATTAGCAGCCCATCTCCCATTAACGCTTTTCTTTCTGTTGACCACCTGGGTGGGGGTGGAGAGTCCATGTAACAGTGTAGATGCAGACTCACCGACCGGGACCTCAGACGCGAGGGAAAGGAGCACTAAGTGGGGCTCGCCGCCTGCAGCCAGGGGCCGCCTGTGGGAACAGCTATTCTCTGCACATTTTCCACTTTGTTTTCCCCAAAACATATCAGTTTGAATACTTGAATCATGCAGGCCAATATTATAATGTGAAAAGGTATCTACTCTATTTACACTCCCAAATAGCGCCATACATGCTAAACCGTAGAGAATGAGCTCGCTTGTGTCTATTCATCATGTTTAGCCTTTGGATTCTTTTTTTTTTTTTCCTTCTATTCCTCCCCAACCCCCCCCCCCGCCCCTTTTTTTCTCTCTTGCAAAACCATTTTTTGGGCTGATAACGTATGAGCTTTTCCCTTTGCACTGAATGATGTTCTCTCCGTCTCATCGGCAGTATGGGGGGCAGCTGTCCCAGTGTCAATGTTTACTCAAGGGTGTTCTTAGGAGGCGTGCGCTCTCTACTATGCCTTGATGTTGCCTACCTTATTGTGGTATCGTGGAGTTTAAAAGATCAAGTTAGGATGCTGACTTAGGATTATTAATGAAAGTGTTGCACCAGTTTTTTCATGTTGTAAAACTAAAGAATTTCGCTCTGCAGTTTGAAAAACTGTGGCCACAGCTGTGACTTGCAGCCCACCTGCCACCCAGGACGGGCCCTGCACTTTGAATAGGCTTTCCATTTTGTTTTGGAGGTTCTCACTTTGAACCTTCTTGTTTACAGATTTTTTTGTTTGTTTTTTGAGAAAAAAAAATGTTTACTCTTCCATCATTTAAAAAAAATGTAAAAGACAAAAAAAAAATGGAGGATGATTTAAAAGATGCTTTCTATCTCTGGGAAAAAGGAGCAGCATTTGGCCATGTTCTTTTGTTTTTCTATTCCTGTCCCAAATCAAAGAGCATGGTTCTCAGGAAAACCAGTTCCCCAGTTTAAAAAAAAAAAAAAAAATTCCTTGTAGTTTCTTAGAGGAAAAAAAGAAAAACCCCAACTTTTAGCACTGATACTACATATTGCTCTGTTAAAGAATTTTCTCTGCCAAAAAAAAAGAAAAAACAAAAAAACGCTTAAAGCTGGAGTTTGACATTCTGCTTTCAGATGCTGTCTTTTTATTAGTGAGTGATGATGGTTTGCTAATAATCAATAGGTAATAATTTTTTGTAATCCCATCAAGTGGCTCCATATGTTTCTGCTCTCTCGTGACTGTGTTAATGTTTAACTGTTGTACCTTAAAGCCGAAATCAGTAACTATGCATACTGTAACCAAGGTATTGGGCTTACAGAGTTGTTTGTTGTATAAAGAAAATTTTAAATGTTGTTGCAAACTAACGAGTTACACCATTTTAAACTTTCTTTCCTCCCCCCTTTTTTTGCCCACAAATGGTATTATAATGCTTGCTTAGTCAAAGAAGAGAGACTAAACAAGGGTAAAAATTTTAACAGTACAGAATTTGCCATCATATCATTGCCTTGATTCTAACTGTTTGTGTCCTAAGATGCAAAAGAAGTCAGTGGCTTTTAACTGTTTACAAATAGAATGTGATTGTAAAATGTACAGTTTGGTTGTGTTTGAATTATGAAATTTCTTCAGATATAATAAACCATGACTTTTTGGCTGCTCAACATTAATTGTCTCCTTTTTGTGAATTTATTTGTAGGCTCTTTTTTATAATGAAAGTTTCAAAGTTGCTATGTATGAGGGTTCTCATAGAGCAACCGATTAAAAATCTAAGCAAATATTTGAACATTTTATCTGAACTCATCACAATTTCACCCTGAAATAATGTGAGAACAATGGGAAACTGTAGCTTGCTCCTTCCCACCCTCTCTGAGCATCTTTGGGATCTTGTTGCTCAAAACTCTTCTGTGACTTCATCTTCCCCACCATTTGTGCCCATCTCAAGCCTCAGCAAGAAACCATGTGGAACATGAAGCTTAATGACTTGACAGTGTACTAGTGTTAAACTCTCATACCTCTGTTACAAAGCGAGAAACGCCACACCCGGACTGGCCTTTTCTTCCCCCTTCACGGCCCTCGCTTCTCCCTGCAGGAGCTCGGGGGCGAAACCTGTGTATGGATTTCAGTGTATGACTTCAGATCATGCTCCAACTTGCCAGGTGTGAGCTAATGTTGTCGGACACCTTACTATAAGCAAATGTTATTCAGTGCGTTCAATGTATATTGACTTCCATACTGGTTTTTCCAAAAACCAAAGGTAGCTTTGAAAAACCATGTCTGGAAATGTTTGGAGCGTTAAGCTGATTGACCTTCTGACCTTGGGGCTTTGAGTAGTATATAATTCATAACTGCGTTAATTGTATTGTTAAAGTGTTTGGGAGTTTTTTGCGCTTGTTATGTGGAAATAAAGTGTTTGATTTAAAATTTTTTAAAGTGGTTTGGATCTTTGCCTAGTCCTTAAATAAATACAGCTCTATTCCCTAAGCCACCCTTACTTCTCGGTCTTAATCCCGACTGCCAGTGCCTGGATGCTGCCCTTTGTCTGGCACAGACCTGCAGCTGACCATGCTGGGCCCATGGCTCGGGGCTTTCTAGTCACGCAGAGCCACCAAGAGTCAGGGTAAACTTTTTAACACAGGCACTTAACACGTTTTTTCTTTGTTTTCTTTTTTCCTTTTCTCTTTCTACTTTCTTCCTTTTTCTTTTTTCTTTCTTTTTCTTTCTTTTTTTTTTTTTCTTTCGACAGGGTTTCACTCTGGATATCAGTTCACTGTCACCTCTGCCTCCCAGGCTCAAACGGTTCTCGTCCCTCAGCCTCTCAAGTAGCTGGGATTACAGGCACCTATCACCGAATCCGGCTAAGTTTTGTATTTTTAATAGAAATGGGGTTTCACTGTGTTGCTCAGGCTGGTCTCAAATTCCAAAGCTCAAGCGATCTGCCCATCTCAGCCTCCCAAAGTGCTGGGATTACAGGCATGAGCCACTGCGCCTGGCCTCAGGCATTTACACATTTTCAAATATCCCTCCTTGCTCTGCTCCCCTGGGTGTGTTCCCAGCTCTAATGAACCTCAACTTCTCTGCGGTGCTATGCTTTCCACCCTCAAAGACTGGAGGGCAGCTTGCCCTGGACTTCCTTCCCCAGTCAAGAGTAATTAGCTCCTTCCATCATTTCAAGGAACTGTGCTAGGCCACCACATGCTGAATAGGCTCTCTCTAGTCTTTGTAATCCACCTTCTCAGATCGATGATAGTGGCTGAATAAATATTGCAAGGAATAATAGCTGAGCTGTCACCTATTGACACCTGAGGACAGGAGACTGTGGTAGTGCCACACTGTTGGCTTGTGCAGGTGGATGAACCGGGGAATGACGACAAGGTCAAATTGGGGCCCTTGACCCAGAGGATCAAATTCAGGTTGAATGGCATGAAGGTAGGGACTGAGATGAAGGGGGAGTATTTGCATCAAGACTGAGGGATGGCCAAGCATGGTGGCCTCATGCCTGTCATCCTAGCACTTTGGGAGGCCGAGGCAGGAGGATCACTTGAGCTCAGGAGTTCGAGGCCAGCCTGGGCAATATAGTGAGACCCAGTCTCAAAAAGTTGGGGGGATGACAAATTGAGGTTGCACTGAGCAAACCATCTTAACGTTTGGCTAAGGCATCGTTTCCATGCATTGGGACTTAATTGGTTTTTCCTCTTCTCCAAAGTTCAGATCTTTTCCTGCTGACCCTTTGATTTCAAATGTGCAGAGGGGTGTCTCGGAACAAAAGCCAGAACTGGAACCCATATGGACCTTGACAGAGACCAGGCCTTCAGCCCTGGCGGAACTTTGCATGAATAGGTATTTACATGGTCCAACGGGAGGGAGGGTAACGGCATTGGTGTGTTAAGGGTTCTCTACATGCCAGGTGCTTTTTCAAAAGTTTTATTCTGTTTTAAGACAGTGTCACTCTGTCGCCCAGGCTGGAGTGCAGTGGCTCAATCTCAGCTCACTGCAGCCTCAACCTCCCAGGCTCAAGTGATCTACCTCAGCCTCCCAAGTAGCTGGAACTACAGGCGTGCACCACCACGCCCAGCTATTTTTTGTAGAGACAGGGTTTCACCATGTTGCCCAGGCTGGTCTCAAGTGATCCGCCTGCCTCAGCCTCCCAACGTGCTGGGATTACAGGCGTGAGCCACCACGCCCAGCTAAGTTTTTGTTGCTGTTGTTGTTTTTGTTTTTTGTTATTAGAAATGGGGTTTCATCATGTTGCCCAGGCTGGTCTCGAACTGCTGGACTCAAGTGATCCGCCCGCCTCAGCCTCCCAACGTGCTGGGATTACAGGCATGAGCAACCACGCCCAGCTAAGTTGTTGTTGTTGTTAGTAGAGATGGGGTTTCACCAGGTCGCCTAGGCTGGTCTCGAACTCCTGGGCTCAAGTGATCCGCCTGCCTCGGCCTCCTGAAGTGTCGGGATTATAGGTGTGAGCCACCGTGCCTGGCCCTGCCAAGTGCAGTGTTATTTTCAGAGCTTTCCAGCCTGGCCCTAGGAACAGAAAACCACAGTGCCATTTGCACTGGTGGACAGTGTCTCAAGTTGTCCACCAACATACCCCCAAAGCTAGAGGACACAGCATGCGGACCCCCCTGGGATCCAGGGGCAGAGTTTAAAGCTTAAGAATTTTAGGTTAAGCTGAATGTGAATGTTGCATTCTGCTCCACATCTTTTCCTCTAAAAATACGGCTTCAAATAGCCACTTAAATTGCTTTTCTTCAGAAAGTCTGATGCTTCCAGAAGGTGAACCACACCACAGCAGGGTGCAGTCAGGACCCAGTACCACTCTAAGAAGCAGGGCTGAAGAGGTTCCTTAGAGCTGTGCTGACAGATGACAGGTGGCAGGGAGTCCTATTGGCTGAGCCCCGGCAAAGGGGCAAGAGAATGACTCCCACCGGCTGACCCAGCCTTGAATTCAAGGGCCCTGTCGAAGCCCACGGAGACCCCTGTCCTGGCTAACAGTTGACTCCAGGTCGCTCCAGCCTGCAGGGAGAGCAGGACAGCAGTCTGCAATTCCAACCAAGTGATGCCAGGACCTAATCTGCAGACCTGAATCCAGTACATAGACTGTTACAATGTTGCTGCATCCCTGAACCGCCTGGGTTTCTATCGATTTCATAGTGATAAAATCAACTTCTGCGGGGCGTAGAGGCACGAGCCTATAATCCCTGAGGCTGAAGCAGGATTGCTTGAGCCCAGGTGTCTGACACCAACCTGGGCAACATGTTCAACCTGAGACACTCAGATCAAAAATAAATTTTAAAAAAAATTGTTTAATCAACTCCTCCAATTTCTTTATAAAGGAAAGTTGATATCATTACCTTATACAGAAAATCAGTGTCCATATATAAAAGAGAGCTATACAAGAAATAAAAACAAAATGTATTCCATTCTGGGTAGATATACTTATCAAAGGTGAGAAGAGAGGTTAGAAAGGGTTCAGGAGAGGTTAAAGTCGTGCTCTCACCATGTGGAGACTTCCTGCCTGATGGGGTCAGATGTGCTCCAGGGACACTGACACTGCAGAGGGAGAGCTCTACGCATTTGCGATTCTGCCTTATCTAATCAATCCTCTCCTGTACCCGACAGACCCCTCCCTCCCCCAGGAGTGCTGAGCCCGGGCCTTGGGAGGTTTGGGGGTTGGGGGGGCTCTTGCTTTAAGGCTTTGGCTCCATATTCTGTGGAAAGCACCCCTCAACCACTGCCCCCATATCTACAGAGAACTACTGTGAAGACAAGAGGCTGGGAGATGAATGGGGGCAGTGGGACCCCGTGGCACACTGGCAATCCCTGGTCACCCCTGCTCGGAACCCACCAAAGATGGCCTGAGCATTGGCGTAAAATACTCCTTTCTGAGGAGGTGGCGTCCAAGCAGACACCTGAAAGATGGGAAGCAACAGCCCAGCTTGGGGAAAGGACAATTCAGGTAACAGCCCGGAGCCCAGGGTGTCTGAGACAGAGTGGGCAAGGGGGACAGTGAAAGGTGACCACTGGGTCAGGTGCGGTGGCCGTCGGCTGTAATCCAGCACTTTGGGAGGCTGAGAGGAGAATCGCTTGAGCCCAGGAGTTAGAGACCAGCCTGGGCAATAGAGTGAGACCCCCAGAGAAGGAATGAGGGCAGGGCTCCAAGGCTAAGGCCGTGCTACCCAGGCCTGGCTGTCTATTAAAACCACTTGGAAATACCCCAAAGCTCAGGCGCCACCCCAGACAGTCTGATTTAATAGGGCCCCAGCATGTTTTAAAACCTTTACTTTTTTATAGCACGTTACAATTTGCTATCACTTTGTTTTCCTGCTTCATGTCTAAATGCACACGTGCACACGTGTGTGTGCGCACACACACACAATGAATACAAGTAAAACCCGGGACATCTGAATGCAGTCAGTGAACCAGATGACTGTCAGTCTCCTGGTTGTGATATTGTACTATGATAGTTTTTCAAGATGTGACTATTGAGGGGAACTGGGTTGAGAGTACAGGACATCTCTGTATTGTTCCTTATAACCACATGTGAATCTGCAATTATCCCAACACTGTGAACAAAGCTCTTATGTAGTAATGATCATCAAATGATATTTTTGATATAGGAGGTTTTTTTTATTTTTTATTTTTTTGAGACGGAGTCTCACTCTGTCACCCAGGCTGGAGTACAGTGGCTTGATCTCGGCTCACTGCAACCTCCGCCTCCCCGGTTCAAGCTATTCTCCTGCCTCAGCCTCCTGAGTAGCCGGGATTACAAGTGTGCGCCACCACACCCAGCTAATTTTTGTATTTTTAGTAGAGACGGGGTTTCACCATGTTGGCCAGGCTGGTCCCAAACTCCTGACCTCAGGTGATCCGCCCACCTCGGTCTCCCAAAGTGCTGGGATTACAGGCATGAGCCACTGAGCCCAGCCTATCGTAGATATTTTCAATGCTGCTATTCCACAAATGCCAGAGCTCCTGGTTTCCAGGTTTCTAAAAAGTAAAGTAGAACAGATTCTTTGGCCGTTCTAGAGGAATTTTTTTTTTTTTTTTTTTTTTTTTTTTTTGCTGTTTTATGAATGCTTACCTATTTGAATATTGGCAGAGAAGTAAATAAGTTGACAACAAAAAGTTAAAAAAAAAAATCATCTCAGCAAGTGACCCCAAGACCCTTTAGGACCCTGTGCTGTGGTGAGGCCTAGCCATTGATCCCGGGAGGCCCAAGGTGCAGGTTGCGGGGGGTTTTGCCCCAGTTCTGCTGTGGCACCAGAACCCAAGCCCCTTGCCATCATTGCATCTTCTAGAGTCACTGTGATGAAAATGAGATCACGTGATTAAATCTTAAGTGATTAAAATGGACTTTTCAGGCATAAAGTTAAAGGTTATGGGTACTAGCAATGACTACAGGTCGTTATTGCATAAGCAACAAAAGGCCCATTCTTCTCTTTGGGAACTTATTTTTTAGGTACCTGTATTTCATTTTGTTTTTAATTTTTGATTTAATAACATTGTTTGGTTTTATTGGGTTTTTCATCACTCCCTGTTGGATATGGCAAACAATGGTCTGTTAAGGTTTCTTTTTTTTCTTTTTTTTTTTTTTTTTTTGAGATGGAGTCTTCTCTGTTGCCAAGGCTGGAGTGCAATGGTGTGATCTTGGCTCACTGCAACCTCCGCCCCCAGGGTTCAAGCAACTCTCCTGTCTCAGCCTCCCGAGTAGCTGGGATTACGGGTGTCTGCTGCCGCGCCCAGCTAATTTTTGTATTTTTAGTAAAGAGAGGGTTTCACCATCTTGGCCAGGCTGGTCTTGAACTCCTGACCTCGTGATCCACTTGCCTTGGCCTCCCAAAGTGTTGGGATTACAGTCATGAGCCACCATGTCCTGCCAAGTTTTCCTTTTATTTGTTTGTTTGTTTAGAGACAGGGTCTTACTCTGTCCCCCAGGCTGGAGTGCAGTGGCATGATCATGGCTCACTGTAGCTTCGGCCTCCTGGGCTCAAGAGGTCCTGTCACCTCAGCCTCCTGAGTAGCTGGGACCACAGGCACACACCACCATGCCCAGCTAATTTTTTTTTTTCCCTGTAGAAATGAGATCTCACTATGTTTCCCAGGCTGCTCTCGAACTCCTGGGCTCAAGCGATCCTTCCACCTTGGCCTCCCAAAGTGCTGGGATTAGACATGAGCTATCGTGCCCAGCTAGTTTTCCTTTAAATAAATACATTTCTGTTGTATTTTAGAAGAGGGCTAAATTGAAAGAAGCTGTTAGGTAAATAACAGTTGAGGCAACGTGCAGAAACGGCAAAGTTGTGAGTGTCCGAGGTCAGGGAGCATAACAGAGGACGAGATCTTTTCACGTGCTTTTCTTTGCCCTCGGAAGTTGCTACTGGTTATTGGTTAATGTGGTCTTTGGAGTTAGACCAACCTGTTGTCATGGAATGTCTGGCTGTAAGGAGTCCAGGGCTGGTATCCTCGCTCTACTTAAGGACCCAAGACGCCTTCCATCATTGCAACACTGTCTTCATCTGCAGAGGCACAGATATCTCACTTCCACAGTCACATCCCAGCCAGTGGAGAAAGAGAGGGATGGGGAGAGCATGCTCCTCCCCACTAAGGGCATGACCCCCAGCTATGCTCACATGCCATTGGGCAGAAGAAAATCACATGAGCAGGAAGGCTGCAACTCATAGTCTTTATTCTGAATGTCTTGTCCCCAGCTTAGATGTGACACTTCTGCTATTGGGGAAGAAGGAGAGACTGGATATTGGGGAACAACTAGTAGTGCTGGTTCTAAGAAGGGAACAGTTAAATAAACTATACTTCATCCGGAAGCCGGAATGTTTAGCCACTAAGACAATGAGATAGATCTATATAAACGGCTATCAAGAGGTGTCTTTTTTTTTTTTTGAAACAGGGTCTCACTCTGTCACCTAAGCTGGAGTGCAGTGGTGCAATCTCAGCTCACTGCAGCCTCAACCTCCCAGGCTCAAGTGATCCTCCCACCTCAGCCTCCCAAAGGGCTGGGATTACAGGCGTGAGCCACCACGCCCAGCCTGCTTGAACGGTCAAACCTAACTGGATGCCAGGAAGCAAGGAGAGCCGGGTGATATCACCTGAAACCCACAGCAATCAGCTTCATGGAGCACCGAGCACAGTCAGGAGGGGTAGAAAAGGGATCCAAGGTGGGTGACGTGCTTGAAGAGCGAACATTAACCAACCCCTCTAGGAGGGTGTGGAGCAGGAACTGGAAGGGTCTGGGCCTTGAGGCTAGCTGGGAAACTAATTTGGAAGTTGAGACAAGAATTTATAAAAGCCGGAATCAGGGCTGTAGCATAGAGATGCGAGGAAGAGCTAAATGCATGAAGAGCCAATGAGATGGATGCTAGGGTCTGTGGAGAGTGAAGGAGAGGAGTCTAGGACAATCTCACGTTTCTGACTTGGTGAACCACTACTAGCTAAGGGAGAGGACCCTGGAGGATAAGAGTGGGTTTCCTGGTGCAGGGAGTGGCAGGTGGGTGTGCAATATGATGTATCAAGGAGCCTGGGAAACAGCCCAGTGGAGCTGTCCAGTTGACAGCTGCTTTTAAGTGGTGAGGACACTATATTTTTTCACCACTGTATCCTTAGCACCTAGCTCAGAGCACTGAAAATATTTGTTGGATGCATGGATGAATGGATGGATGGACAGACAGATGAACAGACGGATGGACAGATGGACGGATGGATGGATGGATGGTTGGACAGATGGATGGACGGATGGATGGATGGACAGATGCAGGGATGGATGGATGGATGGATGGATGGATGGATGGATGGATGCATGGATGGATGGATGGATGGATGGATGGACGGATGCATGGATGGACGGATGCATGGATGGATGGATGGATGAATGGATAGATGGCTGGATGGTTGGATGGATGCATGGATTGACGGATGGATGGATAAATGGATGGATGGATAAATGGATGGATAGATGCATGTTTAAGGAAGAAACCAATAATAGAGATATCAATTTGGGGTTTGTAAATCACAGGTGATGGCTGAGGCATGGAAATGGGTAAGCATGTAGAATGAGGGCTCAGGAAATATCATAATTTGAGAAGAAGAAAGGAGACTAGAGATCTGAGCAGGAAGAGTCAAAGATTCAAAGAGGCATTGATGAGGTGAGGGTTGGGCATGGACAACATGAGAGAGTGGAGTCTCAGATCTGGGGAGAGGGGAAATTTCAGGGAAGGAGAAAGCCATGGTCTGAAATGCTGCCTGTCAAGAAATCTATGGGGAAAGCCATGCATGGTTCTGTGACAGTGGAGATCATTTTTGGGGTAGAGGCAGACGCCAGGTCCCAGTGGGGTGAGGGGTTAATGGATAATGGAGATGAAGGTGGTGGTGTAGATTGGATTTCCCAAGAATCACATTCTGAGGTGCAGATCTGAGTGGAGGTGGCTTATTGGAAAATATCCTCAGAGTACATTGATAAGGGAGGAAGGGAGGCAGGACAGGGCAGAGGGAGAAGTTGAGCTGCAGTGAGGTCGCAACAGAGGCCTCAGCCAACCTCTCAGGGAGCTGTGCAGCTGGGATGTCCCTCAAATATGCTCTGCACCCAAGGAAGGACAGGGACCACCCCACTGACCAAGCACTGGATTTAGGCTGTGGATTTAGGGGAATTGTCCTTCCTCTGGCTAAGGACAATTCCTTTTGGGGAGACTCAGCTGGGAGCTGGCTGCCACACTCTCCCAGCAGTCAGGCAGTGAATGCCTCCACCCTGCAAGGAGGTCGGGTGCGCCCCACAGGGAGTGGCAAGTGTAAACTGTCAGGAACTGATCAGTGGAGGGAAAGAAGGGAAGCCAGTGCAGCAGCTAGAGGGAGACAGAGGTCAGAAAAGCCTTTGTGTGTAGCTCTAGTTCATAGTTTGAGAAACACTGCAGTGTGATCTTAGGCTGGGAGAAGAAGCCCCTAGAGAGTGAGAATGAAGACCCAAGAGTGAGGATAGACCTGCCACACTTTCTGTTTAACCCCCAGAGCTTAGAACACTGCCTGGCACACATTTGCACTTAAGAAATATCTGCGGAATGGCTGAATCCAGGAGTACATTCCAGACATTTTAACACTGAATAGCAGAAACAGAGTGCCGATATTTAGCTCCATGAAGAAATACATACGCATTTAAATATAGGAATGTACTTGAAGTTGGGCACAGTGGCTCACACCTGTAATTCCAGCACTTTCGGAGGTCAAGGCAGGAGGATTGCTTGAGTCCAGGAGTTAGAGATCAGCCTGGGCAACAGAGTGAGATCCCCATCTCTACAAAAACTACAAAAATTAGCCAGATGTGGTGGTGCACACCTATAGTCCAAGATACTTGGGAGGATGAGGTGGGAGGATGGCTTGAGTCTGGGAGGTCAAGGCTGCAGTGAGCTATGATTTTGCCACTGCACTACAGCCTGGGCAACAGAGCAAGACCCTGACTCTTTCAAAAAAAAAAAAAAAAAGTACTTATAAGGGGAACCAAGACACTCAAATACTGCCACACCACCGTTATAATCTGTAGTGCATTCACAATTTCATGGAAGCCCACAGAAGCCAAGAAATTCCCTCCAGCCCCTAATCCTCCATCTCAACTTCAACCACGGCTTCTTTCATGTAATGTTGGTCCATGTTTTTCCATAAGAACCCATTTATATAAAGACTTTTATGATTCCTTAAAACAACTTTGTTGAGGTAGAAATGACATGATAAACTACACATACATGTACAATTTGAAGAGTTTTGACACAGGCATAACCGATGAAACCATTACAGGAGAACGAACATACCCATCTGTATTAGTCCATTTGCACACTGCTGATAAAGACATACCCGAGACTGGGTAGTTTATAAAGGAAACAGGTTTAATGGACTCACAGTTCCACATGGCTGGGGAGGCCTCACAATCATGGCAGAAGAGCACAGAGACATCTTACATGGCGGCCGGCAAAGAATGAGAACACAGTGAAAGGGGGAACCATATAAAATCATTAGATCTCGTGAGACTTATTCACCACCTCGAGAACAGTATGGAGGAAACTGCCCCTGTGATTCGATTATCTCCCACCAGGTCCCTCCCACAGCACATGGGAGTTATGAGAGCTACAATTCAAGATGAGATTTGGGTGGGGACACAGCCAAACCATATCACCATCGCCCCGAGAAATTTCCTTCTTCCCCTCTGTGACCCCTCCCTCCTGCCTTTCCCATCCCCAGGCAAACATATATCCATCACAAGAAATTTGTTCCCGGATTCTACATTTGTATGTAAATGAATCAGAGTATGTACTTTTTGTGTGTCTGGCTTCTTCCCTTGGCAAAATTATTTTGGAATTTTTTTTTTTTTTTTGAGACAGAGTTTCACTCTTGTTGCCCAGGCTGGAGTGCAATGGTTAATTTTGTATTTTTAGTAGAAATGGGGTTTCTCCATGTTGATCAGGCTGGTCTCGAACTTCCGACCTCAAGCGATCCATCCGCCTTGGCCTCCCAAAGGACTGGGATTACAGGCGTGAGCCACTGCGCCTGGCCTGTTTTTTACGTTTGAAAGTATCTAACAGAGAAAAGCCTCAAGAGAGTGCTTTGTTCACAATTCTGTCCTGTTTGTGCTTTTTCTCAGTAGTTTAGACACACACATAGAAGAATTATATTTATTAGCTGGGCTTGGTGGTGTGCACCTGTAATCCCAGCTACTCGGAGGCTGAGGCATGAGAATCACTTGAACTCGTGAGGCAGAGGTTGCAGTGAGCCGAGATGGTGCCACTGCACTCCAGCCTGGGCAACAGAGTGAGATTCTGTCTCAAAAAAAAAAAAAAAAAGAGAGAGAGAGAAGAAGGATTATATTTAATTGAAATTCTCATAATAACCAGGTTGATGGCAAATGGGCTGTTAGTCAAGCTGGAGGGCTCCAGAGAAGGATTTACCTTTGTTAGCAGACAGTTGCTTTGAATTCACGTTTCTTCCTGGAGGGTTTTAGCAACTTCTGAGTGGGAATGGGAATGGGAGAGTTTGAAGGTTTTTCCTTCCAGTTCCCTGGACTCTGGAGACGGTACCTCACAGGGAGACGCTATGGGTCAAAGGGCAGTATTTTCTGTAAAGGGCCAGGTAGTAAATATTTTAGGCTTTGCAGGCCATGTGGTCTCTGTCACAGGTATTCAGCTCTACCATTGTTGCACAAAAAGAGCCAGAGATGACAGGTAAACAAATGAACATGGATGTGTTCCAATAAAACTTTATTGATAAAAACAAGCAGTGGGCCAGATCCGGCCTGGCAGATGGAGAGAATGGTTTGCTCGCCTTTGCTTTAGTCAATGGAATGTCACTAAAGCCTCCCCTCTACTATTTATTATGGATGTGGGTGATTATGATAATGAAAGTTGTAGAATTTAGACGACATTAGAGACGATGATATAATATGTAACCCATGAAATATTTGAGGTTGGGCATTGTGGCTCAGGCCTGTAATCCCAGCACTTTGGGAGGCCGAGGCGGGTGGATCGTTTAAGCCCAGGAGCTTGAGACCAGCCTACGCAACATAGAACCTGTCTCTACAAAAAAATTAAAAAACTAGTCAAGTGAGTTGGCGCACACCTATAGTCTCAGCTACTCAGGAAGCTAAAGCAGGAGGATCGCTTGAGCCCAGGAGGTCGAGACTGCAGTGAGCTGTGAGCATGCCACTGCACTCCAGCCTGGGTGACAGAGCAAGATCCTGTCTCAAAACAAACAAACAGAAACAATCAGGGCTGGGCGCGGTGGCTCACACCTGTAATCCCAGCACTTTGGGAGGCCTAGGTGGGTGGATTACCTGAGGCCAGAAGTTTGGGACCAGCCTGGCCAACATGGTGAAACCCCATCTCTACTAAAAATACAAAAATTACCCAGGCGTGTTAGGGGGCACCTGTAATTCCAGCTACTCGGGAGGCTGAGGCAGGAGAATCGCTTGAACCCGGGAGGCAGAGATTGCAATGAGCAGAGATCGCGCCACTGCCCTCCATCCTGGGCAACAGAGCAAGACTCCGTCTCAAAAACGAAACAAAAAAAACAAAAAACAAAAAAAAAAACAATCAAGACAATTTGCTTCTTAGAGCCAGGCTTGCATTAAGGTCTAGGCTGTAGCCACATCAACAGACACCATGAGAACAGACATTTCCTAAGGTGTAGCCAACAGGTCCCATATCTGCCTTCTCTGTTTTATTCTAACTCCCCGTGGGCTTTGGCTATGTGGGGACAGGAAGGCCCTGGGACTGAAAACCAGATGCTTTTCACTATCAGGTGATCATCCTGCTGGGCAAAACACCTGCAAGATGCAGCGACCAACCCCGGATTCAGAACAACTTCAACAGGTGGCAATTTATGATCTGCTCCCTACTAGGAATACGGAAGATGGTCATTAAAATAGTAGCACACAGTTATTTAGCACTTACGGAAGAAAGCTCAACAGTTTACAGGTGTTACCTCATTGAAGGCTCGCCACTATTCTGTGAAGGAGGTGTTGTTATTTCTCCCTCGTTTAGCGGATAATGAAGCAGATTTGCAGAGGTGAAGTAACTTGCCCACGTCACACACCTACTGAGCCGTGAAGTCTAAAGACAAAGCGTGTGTCTCTGCAATGCTGCAAAAGAGTCAGAATATGTTCTGTGTGGCTGGGCGTGGTGGTCCATGCCTGTAATCCCAGCACTTTGGGAGGCTGAGGTGGGCAGATCACTTGAGGTCGGGAGTTCGAGACCAGCCTGACCAACATGGTGAAACCCCTGCTCTACTAAAGACACAAATATTAGCCAGTGTGGTGATGTGTACCTGTAATCCCAGCTACTTAGGGGACTGAGGCAGGAGAATTGCTTAACCCAAGAGGCAGAGGTTGCAGTGAGCCAAGATTGTGCCACTGCACTCCAGCCTGGGCTACAGAATGAGACCCTATCTTAAGAAAAAAAAAAAGGTGTTCTGTGTGTCTTTCCTGTGCTGAGACTGGAGTAGCTGTATCCTTCTAGAGCAAGACAGCAGGGTCCTAATAGCAAAGTTTACCCAGCCCTTATCATGAGCAGCCACACTTGGAAACAATGTGCATGAATGTTTTAGGGTGAAAGCCTGCACTGTTGTAACAAGTGACTCAGCAATAACACGGCTAAAATAAGGAAATTCATTCTGTTCCATGTCTCGGTCCACGGGGAGGCTCCAAGTCAGTGGCTTCTCTGTTCCAACAGGAACCCAGGCTGCTAGCAGCTCTACTGTTTTCCTTACACACAGCCTGCAAGGGGACTCAGTCACCATCCTGACCAAAAAGAAGTCAGAAAGGAGGGGAAGACAAGGGCAGGGAGCTCCCTCTTAATCACGGGAGGCAGAAATTGTGTGAATCACAGTCCCTTTCATTCCACTGGCAAGAGTTAGCCACAGCTAGACACAAATCGGGGCTGCCCAGTGCAATCAGCCTTGTGCCCAGGAAGGGAGGAGGGCAGGTTTTGCTGGCCATTTCCCACCCCAGAGCATTATTTTATTTAATCCTTATAGCAGCCCTAATTATTTGACAAATGGGTAGACTGACACACAGGGCAGTGAATGGGGATACTTACCATAAGTCACGAAGTCAGTAGAGCCAGGATTTAGCTAAACACTGAAGGCAGAGCCCAGGTACTTACCTACATGCCATGCAACTGCCCCCGCGCTGGAACTTGCCACAAATGCCCATGACAGTGGGTTATCAGTAAAGTCACCTGCTATAACCCAGATTTGTGCTGCTGGAAGTTTTTGGTCAACAGGCTTCCACGGGATCTTGTTCCACTCCAGTAATCTCCAAGTGTCTTGAAGTCACACTCCAAATTTTAACCTCTCTGCCATGGTTGACCTACTGTTAAAGTGTTTAATGATTAATTTTTAAAGACCTTGTTGATTCATTAACAATCTACTATGTACTATGCACTAACTGGCAAGGTTTATTGAGATATAAACAGCTTGTACCCCAACAGAATCTACTGCCATAAATAGGCTTTCCGGTAAGGGTCTATTTTCATCAGAAGACACCTTTTAACCGATTATGTGGCTTTCGGTTTAGACATAATGTTTACAAGAGTTTTCCTAGGTACACAGGCTCATACAAGTTGGCCATAGAGCACAAGTTCTAAAACTGGTCACAGACCTCTTAACACCAAGGACTCCAAGGACCTTTTGTTATGTGGATGATAGCTATAGATATTTATCATATCAGACATTTAAATTAATAAACAATTATAAATATGTACTGCTTTTTTTTTTTTTTTTTTTTTTTTTGAGATGGAGTCTCCTAATGTTGCCCAGGCTGGAGTGCAGTGGCACGATCTTGGCTCACCGCAACCTCCACCTCCTGGGTTCAAGTGATTTTTCAGCCTCCCAAGTAGCTGGGATTACAGGTGCGCACCACCACGCCTGGCTAATTTTTGTATTTTTAGTAGAGATGGGTTTTCACCATGTTGGCCAGGCTGGTCTTAAACTCCTGACCTCAGGTGGTCTGCCCCCCAAAGTGCTGGGATACAGGCGTGAGCCACCATGCCTGGCCCACGTACTGCTTTTTTAAAGAATAATAAATCCACTGCATGTTAAATAATTTTTTATTTTTTAAAAATCCCATATTTTCCCAAAAGATTTATTGGAAACAGTGGCATCGTTTTATGTTTTTACAAATCTTTTTAATGCCCAGTTTAAGAGAAGACAGCTGGAATCTCATATTTGTTTCTATATTCAGTCTGTTACTACATCTCATGCCACTTAGTCTCTGGAAAACTACACTGGACTTTCATGAATAGAGAAAAAAAAACCTTAGTATTAAGAAGTGGGCTGGCACAGTGGCTCATGCCTGTTATCCCAGCACTTTGGGAGGCCAAGGCGGGCAAATCACCTGAGGTCAGGAGTTTGAGACTAGCCTGGCCAACATGGTGAAACCCTGTCTCTACTAAAAATACAAAAATTAGCAGGGCATGATGGCAGGTGCCTACACTCCCAGCTACTTGGGAGGCTGAGGCAGGAGAATCGCTTGAACCCAGGAGGCGGAGGTTGCAGTGAGCCGAGATTGTGCCACTGCACTCCAGCCTGGAAAAAATAACAAACAAGAAAAGAAGAAGGAGAAGGAGAAGGAAAAGGAGAAGAGAAAAGAGGAGGAGGAGGAGGGGAGGAGGGGGAGGGGGAGGGGGAGGAGCAGCCTCGACCTCCTGGGTTCAAGTGATCCTGCCTCCTCAGCCTCCTGCGTAGCTGGGACTACAGGTGCACACCACCACACCCAGTTTTTTTTTTTTTTTTTTTTTCCTAATTTTTGTAGAGACAGGGTTTCACCATGGTGCCTAGGCTGGTTTCAAACTCGTGGGCCCAAGTGATCTGCCCACCTCGGCCTCCCACAATGCTGGGATTACAGGTGTCAGACACCATGCCCAGCCCCATCTCTGGGTTCTTAACCCACACAGTCTCCTGCAGCTACTGTGGATGAAAAGCAAGCCAGGTTTGTGAGAACCGTGACTCTTGGGAGATAGAAACAAAACCAGAGAGAGAGAGAGAGAGGGAGAGAGAGAGAGAAAAACTGTAGTTTTCCCTCTTTGAAGCCACACTAAAGAGCAAGAATAAGCCTTGAAATCCTCAGAGTCAACTAAATGCCAGGTAGGCAGCTCATGGTTAACTTAGGGGATTTTGGGAGAGCTAGGGAGGAAACTGATTGCTCAGAGAGACTGAGACTTGCCCAAGGGCTCACTGTTGCTAAGTCAACAAATGTATCTTGTCTTAACAGGGACTCTTTCTCCCAGGCTTGCATGTTGCCTAGAAAAGCTTATTTCAGTTTTGAGGATTTGCTCTTTTCAATTCTTGCAACAAATAGCAACATTTGAGTTGTTAGGGATGTGGGTAGGCAAAGGTGTGTTATTAAAAGTCTGCAGAAAATCTAGGAAGAAATCACATCTTGAGCCCTCTAGGAGAACATGCGACCCAGGAATACAGATTCCAAACAGAGCCCCGTGCATCATTTGACACACCCCGCATTTTAGCTATTTTGTTGCTTTTGAATTTACCAAACCTTACAAGTCATCAGAGTTTCTATTAAAAACAAAAACAAAAACAAAAAAAACCCAGACTTAGATTTCTCTTGCAAAAGGAATGCTGGCAACATAAGACCCACGTTCTTACGTGGTGACAATGGGCTGGAACTAAAATCTGGGAGACAGACTCGCAATAACTGTATTTGCTCAGTGTATTTGCTCTGTATGAATTCACTGTTTGTATATTTGCTCTTTTTTTTGAGATGGAGTCTCACTCTGTCACCCAGGCTACAGTGCAATGGCATGATCTCGGCTCACTGCAACCTCCATCTCCTGTGTTCAAGCGATTCTCCTGCCTCAGCCTCCCGAGTAGCTGGGACTACAGGTGCACCCCACCACGCCTGGCTAATTTTTGTATTTTTAGTAGAGACAGGGTTTCACCATGTTGGCCAGGATTGTCTCGATCTCTTGACCTCATGATCCGCCCACCTCGGCCTCCCAAAGTGCTAGGATTACAGGGGTAAGCCACTGTGCCCGGCCATCTGCTCTCATTTTTAAAGATATAATTTACATACAATAAAATGCATGAGTCAGCCAGGCGCGGTGGCTCATGCCTGTAATCCCAGCACTTTGGGAGGGTGAGGCAGGAGAATCACTTGAACCCAGGAGACAGAAGTTTAAGTGAGCTGAGATGGCGCCATTGCACTCCATCCTGGGTGATAGAGTGAGACTTGGTCAAAAAAAAAAAAAAAAGCATAAGTGTTCATCCTTCAATTCACGGGGTTTTACCAATTGTATATACCGTATAATTACCACCCAATTCAAGATAATAGAAATTTCCATCACCTCTGAGAGCACACTCCCACCCTCTTCCAGTTGTTCACTGGGTCCTGTTCTTTGACTTCTGTCACCACAAATCCATCTTTCCTGTTCTTGAGCCTCACATAAATTGAATCATAAGGTCTGTACTCTTTTCATGTCAGCTTTTTTTTTTTTTTTTTTTTTTTTTTTTTGAGATGGAGTCTTGCTCTGTCTCACCCAGGCTGGAGTCCAGTGGCGTGATCCTGGCTTACTGCAGCCTCCACCTCCTGGGTTCAAGCAATTCTCCTGTCTCAGCCTCACGAGTAACTGGGACCACAGGCGCACACCACCACAGCAGGATAATTTAATTTTATATTTTTGGAAGAGACAGCGTTTTACAACATAGGCCAGGCTGGTCTCGAACTCCTGACCTCAGGCGATCCACCCACCTCGGCCTCCCAAAGTGCTGGGATCACAGGTGTGACCACCGCACCCAGCCCAGGTCAGCTCCTTTTGCTCAGCATAATGTTTCGTAGAGTCTTCGATTCATCCGTGGTGTTGCGTGGGTTGGGTAGTTCATTCCTTTCGATGAAAGTTTTTCACGGTGTTGGATGCACCGCAGTTTGTTTCTTCACTCACCTGTCGATGGAACTGGTGTTGTTTCCACTTAGAAACAGTTTTGAATAAGGCCACCATGAACACTTGTGTGCACAACTTTTTGGGAACATATGTCTCCATTTCTCTTGATAAATACCTAAGAGTGAAATTGCTGGGTCATGGGGGAGGTGTATGGTAACTTTATTTATTTATTTATTTAATTTTATTTTTTAGATGGAGTTTCGCCTTGTCACCCAGGCTGGAGTGCAATGGCACGGTCTTGGCTCACTGCAACCTCCATCTGCCTCCCAGGTTCAAATGATTCTCCTGCCTCAGCCTCCTGAGTAGCTGGGATTACAGGGGCCCACCACAACACCCAGCTAATTTTTGTATTTTTAGTAGAGACGAGTGCAGGCTGGTCTTGAACTCCTGACCTTGTGATCCACCCACCTTGGCCTCCCAAAGTGCTGCGATTACAGGCATGAGCCACCGCGCTCGGCAAAGTGTATGGTAACTTTATAAGAAATGTCCAAATAGTTCTCTAAAGTGGTTATACAGTTCTTTTTTTTTTTTTTTTTTTTTTTGAATTGAGATCTCATTCTGTTGCCTCGAGTGTAGTGGCACTATCATGGCTCACTGCAGCCTTGAACTCCTGGGCTCAAACGATTCTCCCACCTCAGTCTCCTGAGTAGCTGGGACTACAGGTGCACACTGCTATGTCCATCTAATTCTTCCTATTTTGTGTAGAGATGAGGGTCTCACTGAGTTACCCAGACTGGCCTCTAACTCCTGGCCTCAAGAGATCCTCCTGCCTCAGCTTCCCAAAGCTCTGAGATGATAGCATGAGCCCCTGCACTCCACCTCTCCTATTCTTTATAGCACTGAGGGTAAAAATGAAAAACCTGACAGAGAAACAATCGGAGGTGACAAGCCAAGGGTCGAGCAGGCCACATCTGGCCCTCAAGGATGCGTAATCATGAAACTTTGCAGAACTTCTCTAGAACAATCAGAAGTTCTGACCCCATTGGGCCTGTCTTCCCCCACGTGGAGCTGGGTCGTGGCTGTCCTCTTCAGCTGGGACACATGCTCTCGGGTCAGCCTCAGCTCCACCTGCCCGGCTTCACTCACTACCACGCCTCTTCTGTAGACACCCTGCACATGGCTAAGGCTCCCCAGACATTCCCAAGAAGTCAGGACTGGACCCCAGGTTGGCGAAGCAGTGCACCCTCGGTGGCACCCCACTGCCTTTCCTGGTGCTGTGGCCTCTGCTGCAGATCACAGATTCATGGCCTTCTGTCTGTCCCTCTTCTCCAATCCCAGCTGTTCCTTCTGTAAATCTGTCCCCCAGGGCAGGTCCCTCCCCCAAAGGCCCCATTCATACTGGTGTTGGTCAGTCACCCAGTGTTTGCTCACCCAGGCCACCCTTTATCCAGTCAAGCCACCCTCCACTGCTCCTGCAGGACTCTAGAGCCAGGTGGCCTGGGCTGAAATCTTGCTGTGTCACTTACAACCCGGGTGATCCTGGGCCGATGACTCATCTCCTCTACCTCTGTTACCTCGTCAGTAAGATAGAGATAACAGGACCTAACTTCGAGGGTTGTTGGAAAGACCAAGTGAGTAAAGGCATGTTGTGCCCTTAGAGCCTGGCACGTGTTCATCACTGCTATTATTTCTGGCTACTCGGTGCCAGGACAGGGGCCTCAGCTGAGGGCCCCCCAGAGCCTGGCAGGCCCAGTGAAGGAGTGAGATGGGGAGGCCACGACTCCTCCCCAGTCAGCAGCTGTCCTGTGGCCATGGGGGCCTGGTGAGGCCAGATCTTCAGGTTGTTCTAGAAAAGTGAGTATTCTAGAATTATGTTTCAAGCCTCTTGGTTTGCAAATACTAGTAACTATTTTTAAAATGTTTTGGTATTTGGCCTGGCACAGTGTTTGACCCCTGTAATCCCAGCACTTTGGGAGGCCAAGGTGGGAGGATCACTTAAACCCAGGAGTTGGAGACCAGCCTGGGCAACATAGCAAGATTCTCTCTCTACCAAAAAAATGAAAAAATTAGCTGGGTGTGGTGGTGCACGCCTGTAGTCCCAGCTACTCGGGAGGCTGTGGTGGGAGGATCACTTGAGCCCAGGAGGATGAGCCTGCAGCAAGCTGTGATGCCACCACTGCACTCCAGCCTGGGTGACAGAGTGAGATCCTGTCTCAGAAATAAAAAGTAAATAAAGTTTTGGATGCTTTGAGCATCTGGCAGAAATCTTCGCTATGCCCCGCTGATGTCCTGGGCCCGATGTGGGCGCCTGGCCATGGCTCGGTCACTCCTGACGGTTTTTCAGGGCCTCAGACACCTCTTCTTCTTCTTCTTCTTCTTTTTTTGAGACTGATTTTCGCTCTTGTTGCCCAGGCTGGAGTGCAATGGTGTAATCTCGGCTCACCACAACCTCCGCCTCCCGGATTCAAGTGATTCTCCTGCCTCAGCCTCCCGAGTAGCTGGGACCACAGGCATGCACCACCATACCCGGCTAACTTTGTATTTTTAGTAGAGATGGGGTTTCTCCATGTTGGTCAGGCTGGTCTCGAACTCTCGACTTCAGGCAGACACCTGTTCTTTGCCATGCCTCTGTCTGAAGAGTATATGGAAAGGGGTTGCACAAGCAATGGTTGCTGTTCCTGTTGCTGCCACTGCGGTGAGGGCTGTGGCTGGACGTCCCTCCTGGCACTTTGCCTCTGTCCCCTCCATCCGCCGCCAGCATTTTTCCTCCCCTCCCCTTCCTCCAGCTCGTCCCAAGCCTGCCTGTCCCCAGCGTGGAGGCGGGACAGTGGAAGACTGGGTGAGTGAAGCAGGATGGTGCCTTGGGCTCCAGCGTCTCCCCAACCCCTCCATGCCATGGGTCCCCACGCAGGTGAGGACCCTGGTGGAGGACGGTGTGGGCAGAGCGTGGGACATGTCACCTTCCCCACCTGCTCAGAGTTCAAGGGTCCTGGGCTGGGCCCCGTTCTCTCTTCTGCCCTGGGGAGATCATTCACGCTTCCTTTAATCCCCGCTGCAGCTGAGGCTGGAGTTTGGAGTTTGACCCGCTTGGAGGCTCTCTCAGCAGCGGGCATATAGGAGGAAGGGTCACTGCTGTCTCCGGAAGCTCTTGGCTGCAAAGAGAGAGGATCCCGGGTATCTCCCTCCTTACAACCACCGCCACCTCCTAGTGCCTTAGAAGCCACTGACAGCCCCCAGGGCAGGTGAGCCCTGCATCTGGAATAAGGTAAGACACCCCCTGCCCCCAAACAGGTAGCCACTCTCCAAACTGGGAAGTTGGTCTGGGGACAGGTGCTGGCAGAAGGACTCCAGCTGTCACCTGTGGGGCAGGGGAAGCTCAGCCCTCTCTGCAGAGAAAGCTTGTCATACACCAGGACAATGGAGTGTGTTTGTGGGGTGGGCATGGTGGTATGAAGCCAGCAGCCGGCAGCCAGCAGCACCGTACGTGGGTCCCAGCTCTTCCACTTAACCAAGGTCAGGGACATTGAGCCAAACATTTTGCCTCACCGAGTCTCAGGTTCCTTATCTGTCAAATGGGAATATGAACCTCAGGCTGACCCACCCCACAGGTGTGTTACCCAGAGATAACGAAGGTAAATGTATCCACATAAGCATTAAAAAGCTATAGGAATGTATTTACTACAACTGCAGCTGCTGTTAACTACAAGGCAAATACAAGTCTTCACTGGTACGTGTCAGACACGTGCAGAGAACTTTACGCCTGGATCTCATCTAACTGACACAGAAACCCTGTAAGGTAGGTACAGCACCCCCTAATTCATGGACAGAGTCTAAGGGTCATTAAATAACTTGCTCAAGGTAATACAGATAGTGAGTGGCCAAGCCAAGACTCAATTCCTGTGGCCATGAGCTCAGCCACAATATCAGTGATTTTCTTTTTCTTTCCTTTCTTTCTTTTTCTCTTTCTTTCTTTTTCTTTCTTTTCCTTTCTTTTCTTTGTTCTTTCTTTCTTTCCTTCTTTCTTTTATTTCTTTCCTTATTCCTTTCTTTCCCTTTCTTTCTCCTTCCTTCTTTCCTTCCTTCCCTCCCTCCCACCTCTCTGTTTCTCTTTCTTTTCCCTTTTTTCTTTCTTTCTTTCTTTCTTCTCTCTCTTTTATTATTTATTTCTTCCTTTCTTTCCCTTTCTCCTTCCTTCTTTCCTTCTTTGCCTCCTCTCTCTCTCTGTGTGTGTTTTCTGTTCTCTCTCTCTCTCGTTTCTTTTCTGTCTTTTCTTTCACAGGGTCTCTCTGTGTTGCCCAGGCTGAAATGTAGTACTATCATAGCTCACCAGCATGCCCTGCTAACTTTTTTATTTTTATTTTTTGTACAAATGGGGTCTCCCTGTGTTGCCTTGGCTGGTCTCAATCTCCTGAACTCAAGCGATTCTCCCGCCTCAGCCTTGCAAAGTGCTGGGATTACAGGCATGAGCCACTGCACCCTACCAATCAGTGGTTTTCAAATGGTGTTCTGCTGAATTATTCTGGGCAATAGTTGACAGAAGTGTCCTAGCCCATTGGGCATCCTGCAGATAGGACTTGGAAAAATGCTGTCCCTTTTTTGGGCGGTCACAGCGTGCAAAGGATCTATAGCAAAGGCTCTAAAAATCCCACATTTATTTGTTGTACCAACATTTATTGCATGCCTGTTTTGGGGACACAATGAGAGTGACAGAGACATGGACCTTTCTTTATGGGGCTTGCTGTGCAGTGCAGACAAGGGGTAATCACACACATCAAGTGTTACACTTGATTAGACTGTGATGAGAAGTTGTGTTTGCCATGAAAGCAAAAAGCTTGGGGACCCAATTTATATTGAGGCCAAGAGGGGGCTCCTTTGGGGATATACAGCAGGCTGACATCTAAAGGATGAGTAGGAGCTTGTCCAGCAAAGAGTGCAGGGAAGAGCATCCCAGGCAGAGGGAACAGAATGGCAAAGACCCTGAGGCCAGAAATCGTGTTCCAGGAATAAAATGAATGCTAGTATGTGGTGGGGTTGGAAGCACAACAAAGCACCCCAGCAGCATGGAGATGTTTTGAGCAGGAAAATGATCTGATCTGACTCATACTTAAAGATTTCTCTGGCTTCCGTGTGAGGGGCGGATTAAAAGGAAGCAAGGCTGGGTGAGGTGGCTCATGCCTGCAACCTCAGTGCTTTGGGAGGCCAAGTTGGGAGGATTGCTTGAGGCCTGGAGTTTGAGACCCGTCTGGGCAACATAGCAAGACCCCGTCTCTACAAAAAAATTACAAAATAAGAAGTTAGCTGGAGGCCAGGCATGGTGGCTCACACCTGTAATCCCAGCACTGTGCAGGGATCATTTGAGCCCATGGGGTTGAGGCTGCAGGAGCTGTGTTTGTGTCACTGCACTTTAGCCCAGGCAACAGAGTGAAACCCTGTCTCAAAAAATAAAAAATTAGCTAGGCATGTTGGCATGTACCTGTGGTCCCACCTACTTGGGAGACGGAGGTGGGAGGATCCCTTGAGCACAGATGTTCGAGAGTTTGAGGCCACAGTGAGCTCTGATGGCACCATTGCACTGCGGCTTGGTCAAGGGAACAAGACCCTGTCTCTAAAAATTAAGTAAATTAAAACAAAAATAAAATAATAAAATAAAAAGGAAGGAAGAATGGATATCGGGGAGGTAAGACTGGAGGGTCTTTCTCTAACCTAGACAGAAGTGATGGTGGCTCAGACAAGGGTGATAGCACTAAAAATGAGGGAAAATGTGTGGATTTATTATGTTTTGGAAGTAAGAGAGAATGGAATTGGGAGTGAATAGATTCTGGGAGGTGAGAAAGAGATGCTATAAATTCTTCGATGAGACATTTACATACCAGGCACTCTTGGTGCTTAGATGTAGTGCCTGGCACATAGAGGTGCTCACAGACCACTTGATAAGTGAACAAATGGACTAATGCCTTATAGATGACTCAGGTTTCTGGCAGGAGTGGCAGAGTGGCTGCAGCTGTCATTTAGTGAGGTGGGGAAGACTGGAAGAAGCACGTGCTTGGGCTGGAAAGCTTGGTCTGTAACTCGCACGTGTGAACTTTCAGACATCTATTAAGTAACAATGAGAAGCCGGGCACGGTGGCTCACGCCTGTAATCCCAGCACTTTGGGAGGCCGAGGCGGGTGGATCACCCGAGGTCAGGAGTTCAAGACAAGCTGGGCAACATGGTGAAACCCCATCTCTACTAAAAACACAAAAATTAGCCAGGCGTGGTGACACATGCCTGTAATCCCAGCTACTCGGGAGGCTGAGGCGGGAGAATCGCTTGAACCCGGGAGGCAGAGGTTGCAGTGAGCAGAGATTGCACCACTGCACTCCAGCCTGGGTAACAGAGCGAGACTCTGCCTTGGGGGCAAAAAAAAAAAAAAAAAAAAAATATATATATATATATATATATATATATATCCATGAGAGATGCCACGTTGGCATTTGGATGGACAGGTCTGGGCTCAGAAGGTGCTCTGTGATGTCTATTCTCTCTGGAATAATGAGACAAGATCATCCCTGAAAGGCAGGTGAAGGACAACGCTCTGCCGGGTCCCCTGCACTCACTGGGCATATGCCCTGTTACCCTGCTGTGGACCATTCAGGGAACGCTGCCCTGCCCTGCCATGCCTAGAATTTATTTCCAGATACCTGAAGCCGTGGCTCTTGCTAACGGACTAGGGGTGATCCTGGCCTCTGCTTCAGCCTCAAATCCTGAGATGTCTTTTTAAAATTTTTTATTTTATTATCATTATTATTATCTATTATTTGAGACAGGGTCTGGAGTGCAGTGGTGCAATCACAGCTCACTACATCCTCAACCTCTTGGGCTTAAACAATCCTTCTGCCTCAGCCTCCCAAATAGCCAGGCCCACAGACACACAGCACCATGCCCAGCTAATTTTTAAAAATTTGTTGT